>NC_000001.11:113493228-113796259 GCF_000001405.40 Homo sapiens | reverse complement strand
GCTGCCCAAGATGTTGGAACACCATGTGCAATAAAGGGCTTCGTCTTGGATTTTGGCCTTATTACCACAACCAGGTACCGAAGTGCTGACTTTTGTAGTAGATTTTCTTTTTTCATTTTCATTTTTTTTTTAAGTTTTGCCCTTTGAAGGTCAAGGAATCCTATTTTTATAAATATTGCAGATGAGACTGAAAACATTTCTCCTAATATAGTCCATAATCCCCATAAGTTCCCTATTTAACAAGGAAAGATATTGCTGAGAGCAGAATCAACATGCTCTATCATTTTTTTAGTTTAGAAAAATGCAGCAAATTTTCTCTTTTGATAGACCAACAAGCATTTCTGAGAAATAAGCCAGAAATTTGGGGGAAAACTGTCCCAGTTTTGTAAGGGTGTCTTTTTAACATTCATATTAGTTAAAGTGGATCAAATTTGTATGTCAACAGACAGTATCCAGTCTAAATAGTTAATAAAAGAAAATATCTTGAAATATTCCCTGCTGATTTTTGTCCTCCAATTAATTTTTTAAAATGGAGCTGAAATTTAAATGACTGTACCAACAACTTACCTTGATACTTACTTTGAGATTTAAAAAATAACCACTTTTTAAGAACATTTCAGATTATGATTAAATTAGATATTAAACGCTTCAACCACATAAGAATATTGAGGACTGTTGAATGAGTCCTGTGCTCTGGTGGTCCTGGAACTTAATTTTATTTATGAATTTTCAGTCATTAGAGAAGAGTATGGTGTGGATATGGGAGGTTGGATTAGCCGACTAAACTTTGAAGTTTGCAACTTTAGCAGATGTTGGGATAGAAGTTAACACAGTAGTTCAAATTGATTTCGCACTTCATGGTTTATAGAAATGCTTTCACATTCATATCTGAATATTTGAAACAACCTAGTGGGTAGGTAGGTAAGCAATTTTATCTGTGTTTCCCATGGAAGAAACTGAGGCTGGGAGATGTTCATTGTTTGTTATCCAAGGTCATATAGCTAGTAAGTAGAAGAGTCCAGATGCAAACCCAGGCCACCTGAACAATGTTCACATCATTTTACCATGGAGAAGAGATTAGTGCTTTTATTTGTCTAACACTCTGGTCAGTGAAATTAAAGTATCTCCGTGTGAAACAGCATGCAAAAGGCTTTGTTTCTAATATTTTTAACAAATCCCTTTAGATCGTTGGGAATTAAACAAATACCTAGGGCAGTGTGGACTTACCTGAAGTCTTTTGACATTTTATGAAGTTCTGTTAAACCTAGAAATAAAGTCAAATAAATTTTTTATTGCTTTAGAGACATAGTTATTGGAAGTTATTTATAGTTTAAATATGTAGCCATAATAATTATTCGTGACTATATTTCAAGATAGTTTATTCAGCAAGCACTTACTGAGAACCTACCATGTACTGGGCACTGTGTTCTTAAAAGGACTAATTGATGAGCTCAGTCTAGTGGGGGAGATGAGTAAACCAGCAATTATAATACAGAGTACTACTTGAGTAGAGGTACGCATAGGGAAAACCCTGTAATAGAGGGAGCACTGTCTGTGTTACCTAATGCAGACTTGAGGTAATTCGAAAAGGCATGTTAAGCCATGTGATGCTTGAGTACAATCTTGAAAGCATGTTAATACTTAACTTGGTAAGAACATTTTAAGCGAATAACAGCCTATGCAAATACACAGAGGCATTTGAGAATGCGGCACTTAGAGGGAGCTACAAATAGATTGACATGGCAAGAGTATGCACTGACTGTTAAGGGATGGAAGGAGTTGAGACCAGAGAGAGAGAGACATGATTAGGATTGTGAAGAGCCTTAGATGACATGCTTTTAAAAAGTTAGTACTTTTTCCTAAAGATAATTGGGAGTCATTGGTGAATTTTAATAGGGAAATGCTTGCTATCCATTTATGTTTGCAAAGATTACATAATAGTGTGGAGGATGGAATTGGTGGTGCAGGATATGAGATTGGAAGCAAGAATACCAGTTAGTTACGATAGTAACCATGTCATAAATGCTCCACGTCCAAACTGGTACTGACATTAGAGAGAAAAGAAAGAAATTTGAGAAATAATTAGAAGGTTGAGATTTAACTAGTCTTGGTGAGAGAGAGAGATAGTCTTCAGATGTGGTTTGGACAAATGGGTGGATGGCGATGCTGGTCAAAGCCAATACATGGTTGAAAAAGCCGGTTTCTGTGGCTAGAGGGTGTTGATGAGCTCAGTTTGAGATATTTTGAGTTGAAGGTACCTGTGGGAATTTACGGTTAGAAATAACTGTTAGGAGGCTGGGCATGGTGTCTCACATCTGTAATCCCAGCAGTTTGGAGGCTGAGGTGAACAGATTGCTTGAGATCAGGAATTTTGAGACCAGCCTGGTCAAAGTGGTGAAACCCCATGTCTACTAAAAATTCAAAAATTAGCTGACATGGTGGCGGGCGCCTGTAATCCCAGCTGCTTGGGATGCTGGCTTGAACCTGGGAGGTGGAGTTTGCACTGAGCCAAGATCACGTCACTCACTCCAGCCTGGGCGACAGAGCAAGTCTCAATAAAGAAAAAAAGAAAAAAAAAAAAAGAACTCTTAGGAATTGAATGTATGGATCCAAGTTTGAGAGATGTGTCTAGGTTGGAGATGCAGAAGTTGAACCCATTAATGCAGGAGATGCGGAGATGCAGAAGATGGAACCAGCAATAGCAGTGGAAAAGAGATGAAACTAAGGGTGGAATCTTGTGATGCATCCACAAGTAAGTATGATGAACATGGGAAAAGACCAAAAAGAAAGGCAGGCAGAAGAAAGACTAGAAGTTTTCTGCATTTTAAGAATGAAGTGTTTATTTTATCCATATGAAGGATCCAGTAAGTAAGGATGGGAAAGTGGTAGGTTTATCAATTAGGAATTGAATTGGAGACATGATCAAGATTAGTGCTTTGCAAACCGTGGACAGGTAAATACTATTGTAAATTATGCCTTTTCTTTAGAACCTTGCTACTAAAAGTTTGCTCTATGTATGAATTTGGCACCACCAGGGAGCTTGCTAGGAGTGTAGACTGGGCTCTTACCCAGATTTTCTGAATCAGAATCTGCATTTTTAAAAGGTGATTCATATGCACATTAAACTTTGAGAAGCTTTAGAACTCAGCTCCTCTAAGCAGGAGAAAGTAAAATGTAGATTTTGTGCAAGAAAAATGAAAACTTCTGTTATTTTTATATTTTTAAATTATTGTGGTGGCTAAAGCTAGGATCCACATATAGGGTTTTCTTTTAACATTCTAGAAAACTCAAATGTTCTAATACCAGAGCAGAAAAATTTATATGTCCATTGAAACAGTAAGCTGATCCTTGTTTGATTACTTAACTCTTAGCAGTTGATACAGGATAACTTTATAAAGTTGAGTTTCCTTCCTTCCTCCCTTCCCCTTCCCCTCCCTTCCCTTCCTTTCTTTCTCCTTTCTTTGATGAGGTCTCGCTCTGTGGCCCAGGCTGAAGTGTGATCATGAAGTGTGATCATGGCTCACTGAGGCCTTGAACTCCTAGGCTCTAGTAGTCTTTCTACTGTTTCTTACTCCACTGTACCCCAGTACATAAACTTCAGGAAGTGGTGGAACTCAACTTGTTCTTCGCTTTCAGGTGCTATTTCCAGTGCCTCAGCCTCTAGAGTAGCTAGGACTACGGGTGTGTACTATTACAATTGGCTAATTTAAAAATTTTTTTATAGAGCCAGAGTCTCACTATGTCGTCTAGGCTAGTCTTGAGCACCTGGTCTCAACGGATTCTCCTGCTTTGGCCTCCTAGCATGTTCGGATTACAGGTGTGAGCACTAGCTTTGCTTATAGTCTGCATTTTCTGGTGATGCTGATGTTGCTAGTAAATGGACCACCAAGGCCATATAGGTCTCAAAATCTGTACATAAATTGCAAGCGCAAATAATAACAAACACTAAAAATACAGTGAAGTTAAAAGGGAATTGTTTTCAATATCACCTCTGAGATCTTCTGGCAACTAAGTAATTGAAGGATGTACATGGAGAGGAGTGTGTGTTATGTGTTTGCTGGGGGTAGGGAAGATTGGCAAATCTGCATGTTTTAAGTATCTTTTTCAAAAATTTTCATATATAATTTTGAGGTTTCACTGAGAATCAAAGCTTTTTAACTTTAGGTAGTTTTATTTCTTATATTACTTTTATTACTCTATAAAATGATAATGTTCTGTAGCATTGGCGTGTATAATTTTAGTGTCTACGGTTCCAGAGAAAAACAAAAAATGTTATTCCCTCGTTGTGTGTTGGGACAAGGCCTTATATGGGCTTGTTATATGCACTCTGATCTTTGATTGATTAACATTTTATAATGAATTGGTAATACTAATAAGAATAGAACTAGTAGAGTAGTATATAGCTTGGGAAATAGCTCAGAAACCCTTAAGGAACTGTATGCATTATTAGTGTGTTATAGAAAAGGAGAAATAAACATTTTAAGTAGCAGGTTTTATAAAATAAAATGGCATAAATAAAAATGGTAGGCTTGATTCTTTTTTTTTTCCTCTTATTTTAAGTACTCACTTTGACCCAGTCACACTGTTTTTTCACTATATATTTTAAAGTAGGAATGCCTTTCTATTCACAAGGCACAAGGTTAGGAAGATCGCTGGCTAATTTTTTCCTTTCTGTGTTTTAAAAAGTCAGCTTGAATAGGCTTCTTCCTGAAACGTGAGTTCTGTGGAATAATCCACACCCGCTCTCAACCCCCATACACAGGGTTTTCCACATAGTGCTTTTTTAGCTTGGTGTTCTCCTGAGTTATTAACAGATTTATAATTGTCCTTTGTAGAAGCTCTATGTATTGGGGACACAGTTGAGCTTACTTAATTCAGAAATTCATACAGGATAACTGTGAAGTTGAGTTTCTAATTTAAACACTACATATGTATTGACAGCAGTATATATATTCAAAGATAATTGTTTAACATTTTATAGATATTATAAAGAGAATAAATTTTATGCAAAACTATTATTTTTTTTAATAGGCATATTTCTCTTTGATGCCACATCCTTCTCCCCTCCCCACTTTGCCTTCTGATTTTACCAAAGACTGTGTTTTTCCTGTTGGCGTTATGTCTCCTGCTTCCATGGCAGCTTTAGTTTTTTCTGTTCTTTGGTCTCGTACTTACCTCCCTCCAGTCCTCCCAATTCTGTTTGTTCCTCCACTGTGCTCCAGTACATAAACTCCGGAAAGCTGTAGAATTCAACTTGTTCTTTGTTTTCAGTTGCTATTTCCAGGCCAGAGTTTCCCAAACTTGCCAGATCCTAAGAATAATTTGGGGTTGCTAGTTCAAATATACATTAGACTCTCAGGTTCCTCTTCTGGAAATTTTGGTTCATGAGGTCTGGAGTGAGGCATGAAATAAGTACCTTGACCGACTTGATTCCTATGATCAGGCAAGTTTAAGAAACACTGTTTTAAACCATATACCATCTACCATTACTCTAGTTCCTTTCATTTGACCTGTAGATAGCATCTTTTTAGAATTTCAGAGCATCATAAACTAAGAGATAATCTTATCTGACCTCTACAAAGTGCAAATTTTAAAAAATCATGTTTTGATTGGCCATCACTGGGGACTTTGTCTCTTCATGACATTTTATAATGCTTCCCATTGGGTTGTCAACATTGCCTGGGAAGCCTACTTCTTTTCTTTGTTTAGCTTGTTTACCTGTTCTTCATAAATACTATTTAAACTTTATCTGTATACATCTTTTCCTCATTCTCTCCTGTTACAGTAGAGAAGATATTCTATCTCCTCCTCAAAGGCTAATTTGTCAGGCTAATTTGTCTACTTGTGTTATGAATACCATCCCTTAGCCTGCTAAGGTTTTTAAAAAACTGTTGTCAAATATACACAAAATTTACCATTTTAACCATTTTAAAGTGTATAATTCTGTGGCATTGGGTATATATATTGTTCTATTACCACTACCGTTTCCAGAACTTTTTCCTCATACCAAACAGAAACTCTATACCCATTAGGTTAGGATCTTTGATGTCAGTTACCCGCTACTACCCCTCCAACCTTTCCCTTCTCCATTCCCACTCCCCACGTAACTAAAAGTATAAAATATATTAAGCGAATTTCTGCTTCGTGTCTTTCCCCCGCTTTTTTTTTCTCTAAATAAACTTTTCCTTTCTCCCTAGAAGTAAATCTTTATTCTGAATTTGTGGCTTATCATGTCGTTTTATCTTTTAACATTTTACTAATACCAAATGAACATAAAAACAATACTTGTACCTTTGTATTTTAAAACTACAGTGTATTGTGTGTATCATTCTGCAGGTTATTTTTGTTCAACATTGTTTTTGAAGATTATTTTGATACATCTAACTCTACATTAATTTTAACCATTATATTTGGTATTTTGTTGGGCAGCTGTATCACTGTTTTTGAACACTTTACTTTTCCTCTGCTCTCAAACAACAGCAATCAACACAGAAGACTTCTTTGCCCAAATGTGGGAGATTTCTCCCCCACAACAAGCAAGCAATCAGTTCTTCAGCAGACACCAGCTGGGTGTCATCCAATTCAATTCCGACACTACCCAGAGTCAGTTTTGGATCCCAGATAGAGGGCTCAGTCCCCAGGACTGGCCTCTCCTTCCCACCAGTCACAAGTCCAGGCCTCTGGAACTTCTGACCAACTGGCTTCAAGTTGGGGTTCCCACGATCCCCTCTTTGAGTTCAGTGGATTTGCTAGAGTAGCTCAGAGAACTCAGGGAAATACTTATGTTTATGGGTTTAGTGTGATGGATATGTTAAAGGGTGCAAATAAACAGCCATATGAAGAGATACACAGGGCATGGTCTGGAAGGGTCCCGAGCACAGGAGCTTCTTTCCCCGTAGAGTTGGGGTATGCCACCCTCCCAGCAAATGTATGAGTTCCTGTTGATCTTCCTGTCTGCTTCCACATGTTCAGCTATCCAGATGCTCTCAGAACCTCTTCAGTTTTTATGAAGCCTTCATTATGTAGGCTTGATTGATTAAGCCAGTGGCCGTTGGTGGTCAGCTTGACCTTTAGCACCCCTCCCTGGAGGTTGGGGGTAGGGCTGACCGTCCAACCCTCTAATTGTACCTTTATTTTTCAGGTGACCAGCCCCGCCCTAAAGCTGTTAGTCAATATTAGCATACAAAAATAGAGCTATTTGGAGATAACAAGGAGTTTAGGAGCCCTACCTCAGGAAATAGGGATGAAGACCAGATACATATTGCACAATATCACACTCACTATTTATTCTCCTATTCTTGGACATTGAGGTTGTTTACAGTTTTATAATATTATGGTGTTACAGTAAGCATTTGTGTAAATGTCTTTTTTTGGGTCGGGGTGGGGGCAAGGTAGAGGGTCTTCCTGTGTTTTCCAGGTTGATGTCAAACTCCTGGCCAAGGGATCTTCCTATTTTGATAGGTCTTTTTATCCACGCATGTATCCTGGGGTTTCTATTTGTCCTTTCTCCTGTCTGGCATTCCATGACTCTTGCCTGAATTCAGTAGCTCAATTCTCACATCTGAAGAATTTTTCTTTAACTGTAACATTTGATTGATGGGTCATTTTTCTTAGCTTTATAAAGGCATTGCTTCAGTGCCTTTAAACTTACAGTGTTGCTGTTGAGAAATCCAATGCCATAATGATTCCTGATTTTTTTTAGCTGTTCTGCTTTTTTCTCTCTGGAAGCTTTCAGAATTTCTACTACAGAATGTCTGAGTACCAAGGATAATGTGCCTTGAGATGGATCATTTTTCTTTAAAAAAAATTACTATGAAATATTTCAGACGCAGATATAAAGAATAATAACAATCACTCTGGCCCAAGAAATAAAACATCATCAGTGCAGTTGAACCCTACCCCCCACCACCCTTTTTTATGTGGAAATCCATCCTTTATGGAGTTTTTTCTTGTATTACTTGTTAATTTTCTTTCTCAGTTATCGTTTTTTTCTGAAACTTTTATTAATTGTATATTAGGCCTCCCGATTCAACCTCAATTTTCTTATCTTTCCTATTATATTTTTCATTGTCTTTTTTCCTGCTTTCTGGGGGTAGATTTAACTAGCTTCTTAATGTTGATTAATGTCAGCTGTAATGTTTTCAGTTTGAGAGCTTGTTCTTGTTCTCTGTCCCTTTTTTAATAACTTCCTATTGTTTCATGGATACAATACCTTTTTTCATCTCTCTGATACTAATTATACTTGTTTTTAAGTTTTCTTTTATACTCTTAAGTTGTTCAAGTTCTTTTTTATTTTTATTTTAGTCTTCTGGTTATGTTTTCATCAAACATGGTGATCTGTTCATATTGAAACATGAGTCGTTATAAAACATTAGAAACTCAGTGAACACGTGGGTGGGATTTGTCATTTGAAGACTGGATAGGGAATGTGGTCATATTGTGAGAAAAGCTCTAAATATTAGTGTTTAAAGATATTGTTTCTTGGGCCTTTAGTTTCTACAGCTAAAAATCTACCACATTTTTGTCAGGGGATGGAGTAGGTTACACACCTGTCTGCTAGAATTCTTGGAAGGAGGTAGGCGATTGCATTGTTAAATAACTGGGATTTTGCTTAATTCCCTGCTTCCAGTGTAATGGTTCTCTCCCTTGCTTGTGCCTTGTATCCTTGTGTCTGTAGTCATTTAGTTCACTTTTACCACAAATAAGGTGAGGAAAAAGGAGCATGGGATAGGAAGGTAGAATGTAAGTGGAAGGGTCTCACTGACTCAAGCAGATTTTAAACCCACCTTTTTTGTTTTTAGTTGCATGCTTTGTTCTTGCCTTCTATAAAAGTTAGCCAGAGTTCTCAGTTTGCAAATTTCCCTGTACATTTTTCACCTTCCAAAAACATTTTGATAGCTTGTATCTGTAGTTTTTACTTCTGTTCTCTTTGACTATCTGGGATTTTAGCCTTGATATTTTATTCTCACTTGAGTGGGATTTTGACAAGGAATAGAAAAAAATCATACATCCAGTCTACCATGTTTAAACAGCAGTCCTCTTCACCTTTTCATCTTTATCAGATTCTTCCTATTAGTGTTGAAACATGATCACACAAAAGAGGACTTAAATGGAAACATATATTACTGTGTTCCTGGGGAAGAAGAATCAATATCAGAATGACAATTTCTCCTAAGTTATAAATTGAACACCATCCCAATAAAATAGAAATAGTTGTTTTTTGAGACAACCAAGCAGATATTGAAGTTTATATGCAAAAATAAGTAGGCAAGAACAGCCAGAAAAGAAAAAGTAACGATGGAGGAGTGCCTTACCTGGTACCAATATATTCTAAAGATTTAATTATTAAATCAGTGTAATTAGTTTATGAGCTCTGTTCAGCAAGATAGAAAATTTAGAAATAGACTACAGGCACTCACCACCACGCCCGGCTAATTTTTTGTATTTTTTTAGTAGAGATAGGGTTTCACCATGTTGCCCAGGCTGGTCTTGAACTCCTGGACTCAAGTGATCCGCCTGCCTTGGCCTCCCAAAGTGCTGGGATTACAGGTGTGTGCCACAGTACCTGGCCCCCAAACAATGGCTTAAAACAACGCAAATTTAGTTTCTTACAGTTCTGAAGGCTCTGAGGGAAAAAAATCAAGTTTTTGCCTTTTTTAGCTTCTTGTGTCTTACATTTCCTAGCTTGTGGCCCCTTCCTCCATCTTCAAAGTATATTACCCCAGGCTATGCTTCTATCATCACATCGCCTTCTCAAATATCTCTTTGCCTCAGTCTTTAAAAGACACGTGTTATTACATTTAAGCCCACCTGGATAATCCAGGAGACTCTCCCCATCTCAGGATCCTTAATTTATTCACATCTGCAGAGTCCATTTTGCCATAAGGTAACATTCACAGATTCTGGGGATTAGGTTCTAGGGGTTAGGTTCTTTGGAAGCCGTTTTTCAACCTATCACATACTTCTGGCTCATCATGTCCAAAACAGTGAAACCTGATCCTCCTCCAGAAGAGAGAGTAGTTGCTCTTTCAGGTTCCAAAGTACAGAACCTGGTAGTCATCTTTCATACTTCTTTCTCTTATCTATCATATCCAATCTTTGTCCACATCTTGACAATTTTATCTCCTGTATAATTTTCAGATCTCTTTGTTTTTCTTTTAAAAAGAAGTCCCTATTTAAAATCAAGTTATTAGCTTAGCCTAACATTTCTTATTTGGCATATTATAGAATACTCCTAGCTGATCTCTTTACTTTTTGTGCCCCTCTGAGAAAACTAAACAAACAAAAAACCAAAGGCAAATTGGGTAACTTTCCTTCTTTTCAGATCCTTTAGTGGCTTTCCAGAATCCTTGATGTGATCTTCTAGGCTCTCCATAATCCAGCTACAGCTGATTTTTCCAGTCTCATCTTTATTTTTCTCTTTTGCTTTCTGTGTTTATTATCATTAGCTTTCTTTTAGATCTTGGAAAGGGCAATGCTTAAGAGATTTTGTTTCCCTCTGAACTTGTTCTTCAGATTTGAGCTCAATGTTACTTCAAGGAATACTTTATTCCCCGGATCAGGATCCCATGTTCTTTTTCATAGTGTCATACATCTTACATTCTGAAGATCAAAGTTTATAATTAAATGTTTATTTAGATTAGTGTCTGCCTCTCCTTACTAGACTGTAAGCTTCAAGTGGCCAGGAATAGGTCTGGTTTGCTATACCTGTGTTGAGTACAGTGGCATAAAATATATGTTTATGTGCTATGTAGTGACGTTTCAGTCAATGACAGACTGCATATGTAACGCTGACTCCATAAGATTATAATGGAGCTGAAAAATTCCTATCACTTACTATATTTACTATACCTTTTATCATTATTTTAGAACATACTTCTACTTATTAAAAAAAAGTTAACTGTAAAACACCCTCAGACAGATCTTTCAGGAGATATTACAGAAGAAGGCTTTGTTATCATAGCAGATGATAGCTCCGTGAGTGTTATTGCCCCTGAAGACTTTTCAGCAGGACAAGATGTGGAGATGAAAGACAGTGATATTAATCATTCCAACCCTGTTGTAGGCATAGGCCAATGTGTGCATTTGTATCTTTGTTTTTAACAAAAAAGGTTTAAAAAAAGTAAAAAAAAAAGTTTTTAAGTAGAAAATACCTTACAGAATAAGGACGTAAAGAAAGTATTTTTGTATAGCTGTACAATGTGTTTTAAACTATGTGTTATTACAAGAGTCAAAGAATTAAAAAACTCATAAAGTTTATAAAAATTACAGTAAGCTAAAGTTAATTTATTATTGAAGAAAGAAAAATTTTAAAAATCAGTGTAACCTAAGTGTACACTGTTTATAAAGTCTACAGTAGTGTACAGCAGTGTCCTAGGCCTTCACATTCACTCACCACTCACTCACTGACCCATAACAACTCCCTATTCTGCAAGCATGGGAAGTTAAATGTGTTTAGATACATAAAAACTTACCATTGTGTTTCAGGTATCTACGGCAGGGGTCCTCAACTGTACTGGTCCCCCAGTACTGGTCTGTGGCCTGTTAAAAACCTGGCTGCAGCAAGCTATAATAGCATTGCTGCTTGAGCTCCGCCTCCTGTCAGATAACCTGCAGCATTCGATTCTCATAGGAGTGTGAACTCTGTTGTGAATTGTGCATGCGAGGGATCTAGGTTGCACACTTCTTATGAGAATATGACTAATGCCTGATGATCTGAGGTGGGTCAGTTTCATCCAGAACCATGCCTGCCAACCCCCTGCCCTTTTCCGTGGAAAAATTGTCTTCCACAAAACCAGTCCCTCATGCCAAAAAGATTGGGGACCACTGGACTACAGTATTCAGTACAATAACATGCTGTAAGTTTTGTAGCCTAGGAGCAATAGGCTATGTCATATAGCCTAGGTGTGTAGTAGGCTATACCACTTAGATTTGTGTAAGTACAAGCTGTGATGTTCTCAACCACAAATTGCCTAATGACATTTCTCAGAATGTATTTCTGTCATTAGGTGACACATGACTGTACAATAAACTTGTGGTAAATGAATGACACCTGCTTTCCTGTAACTCATGTTACAGGCCTCCAAGTATTTGAAGACTGTTGTGTCCCTCCTTTAATCTTTTCAAGTTAAATACTTTTGAAATACTTTTGATTTCTTGCATTCTTCCTCCATTTTGTATGGTTTGCAAGTCCCTAATCACTTTAAATGTTCTATTTTGGGTGTGCCCTAGTTATAGATATTTTTTAGGCCAGATCGGGAGATCACACCCCAGATGATATCTCTGTGCAATGCAGAATATTGCCTCCCTCATTACAAAGTATACAAGGTATAGGCTAAAAAACCATAACAATGAGGACCAATGTGCAGTGGCTAGAACAAAAGTTTGTCTCTTGTTTAGCAGTCCCGAGGTAAGCAACTCTGTTCCTTGTTGTCATCCAGGATGCTAGTTTCCTTCTGTCTTTAATTTTTGTCGTTCCTACTGGTGTTGTCATGTGCATGATTGAGACTAGCTCTTTACCACTCTGTGTTGCAGCCCTCAAAAGAGAAAAAGGAAGTGGAGGGCAAGCCACTTCCTTATAAAGGTATGCCCTGAAGATTGCATATGTAACTTATGTGACTGTCTCATTGGCCCAAACTTAGGCACAGGCCGCATTTAGCTGTCAGGGAGCCTAGCTTATTGGCCATATGCCCAGGAAATTTTCTTACTAAAAAGAAGGAATACTTTGCTTGTTTGGCATTAGTTTCCTACAGTTGGTGAATGTTTTTTTGTTTTATCTATTTTTTTCTCTCTTTTTTTTTTTCTTGTCAGCCTTTTCAGGTTGAAAGTTGGTGCATGTTGAATTTGTGGTCATAACTGCTGTTCATTGTTATGCTGTTAATTATTTAAATGTATCACAAACATTTGCATTTATTAAATTTTTAAATGCAAGTGATAGACTGGTAATCAGCAGTTCTTCTTCTCCCCCTCCACCCCTTTTTTTTCTTTTTGCCAGAGTTTGTGGTTGATTACTTCATTTCTAGCCTTAACATACAGAAATTCAACAAATATTTATGACTACATACCAGGCACTTTGTATTACAGATATATAATATTGAATAATACAGATTGTTCTCTTTCACAAAGTTTGTATTCAAACATATTGCTTGATTTCTTTTGTGAGTGGTTTAAATTGGGGGTTGGCAAACTTTTTCTATTAAGGACCAGATAGTATTTTCTGCCCTGTGGCCTAAAATTTATGTAAATAATTCAAACAACCCAATAACAACAACAACGAAATAATCTGATTTAAAAGTGGGCAAAAGACCTAAATAGACATTCTGAAATTTGAAGACATACAACAGGTATATGAAAAAATGTTCAACATAATTCATCATCAGGGAAATGGAAGTCAGAACTACAATTAGATATCACCTCACCCCAGTTCTGGCTGTTAACAAAAAGACAAAAAATAAATGCTGGTGAGGATATGGAAAAAGGAGAACTTTTATACAGTTAATGTCAATCTAAATTAGTACAGACATTATGGTCAACAGTGTGGATGTTCCTTAAAAAATTAAAAATAGAACGACCACATGACCAAGCAATTCCACTTCTTGGTATATGTCCAACTCAAGGAAATTTAATCAGTATGTTGAAGATCTGCATTTCCATGTTTATTGCAGCACTATTCATAACAGCCAGTTTGTTTTTCTTAAAAAATAGTTGTCCTTGACCATTTTTGAAACGTTATTCTTACATCATTTTAATTGCATTACTTCTTAACTCATCCTTTCACAATTTCTTTAGCTAACTCTTCCTCCTGTCTGTCAAATATCTGTTTTCCTTTAAGTGCAGTTCTTGGTTCTGTCTCTTTCTATTCTTTCTCTCAAGTCTTAGTCACTTAAAAAATTATATGTTATAGACAATTTCCAAATCTATGCATCTATTCCTTACCTTTTTTGATCTAGTTATAACTCCAAATCTAACTTACCTAAAATCTGTAAATGTTATGTACTTTCGTTCTTTGAGCTTGAAACCTTATTTTGAGTCATTTTATACCATCAAGGAAATATAGGAGTTGTAAAGGTGGACAATAACATGTGAAAACTTGTGGAGGCAGCAGAAATTATTTAGAATTTGCGAAATGTATATTTAGAATGTGGCAAATGTGGAGAATGTGGCAAATCTTGGTCTGTTATTCCCTTGGAATAATAGATCAGGAGGGGCTTTGTCTTCCTTAAAAAGGATTTTCTAGTTTGATGCTACAGGTAATATGGAGCTACTAAAGGATTTAAAATGGGAAGGTTGAATGATAAGATGTTTTTTCCTAGATTATTTGTAGCAGTATGTAGGATGGCTCTTGGGGATAGGAATCCTGAAGCAAGGATACTGGTTAAGAGGTTTTACAATTAGGTGAGAAATGATAATTTCCTGAATTAAGGCAGTGGTACTGCAGATTTAGTTAGAAGGATAGATTTTGATTTAAGTGATGAGGAAGAGGGATTTATCAATTCCTGATTTAGGACCTGAGAAAATGAATATTATTAACCGGCGAAGTACATACAGAAGGAGAAAAAGAAGGTTTGGGAGGGGAAGGGAACCTTACAAAAAAACGAGCTCTGTTTTGTAGGTATTAAATTTGAGGGTGTCTGTGGGCTGCCCAGGAGGCATTTGTATGTTAAGATCTGAATCTGAGGCAGAGTTTTAAGTTAGAGATGTAGATATGGAATGTAGTAGGGTACAGGTGGTAGTTAAATCTGTAGTATAATTGAAACCACCCACAGATAATATGTGGAATGAAAACTGGGCCAACTCTGCAACAACCACGTTTTGGAGAGGAGGAAGCCTGGAAAGGGAAATCAAGAAAGCAGGTGATTGCAAAGCATTCCTTGAATTTGGTTGTGAAGAGGTCATCAGTGATTTGTTTCAGGGGAGTGGTATGGGCAGAAGCCTGATTGCAATGATATGAGATGTGAATAAAAGGTGAGGTGAGGCAATAGAGACAGGTACTACAGACTAGTATTACAGAAGTAGGATTCTTATGTGAAAAAGGTATATATATCTTGGTGCTTTTGATGGCAAGTTGCAGGATAGTCAATTTTAAAATGGGCTTAAATGATGAAAGAGATTTATTGGCCTATGGAATGGAAAAGTCCAGAGGTGGGATGGATAGTTTGAATGTTTCAGGCCTGGGGTTTGCAGGCAGGGCTGGTGGAAGGACTGGGATAGAGGATGAGAGTGTGTTTATGAGAGAGGGATAAACCTTGAGGTTTAGACTAGATATGGAAGCAGCTGAAAGAAGGAGGGGACTGATACTGAGAAAAAAACGTAGGTCACAGAAAGCTAGAGGTCTAATTTCATGTAAGTAAAGGAATGAAAACAGGAAGGTTGTGGTTTACTAATAAGGGCTTTCTCTAGCTAGGCTAAGTTAGCTACAGTTATCCAAATAGGCTTTATACATTGCAGCTTTCAAAATCCAGTCCTAGTATTTTGTAGCATAGTTGTTTACTTGATGGCTCTTCTGCCAGGAAATAAAAATTGAACATTGTTAATTCTTTGTCACTCATGGATACAACATTGGTACTCACACAAAGGTGTGAACCTGAAGATCCTCGTAAGATGAGAAGCTTTTCTTTGTGTATATATGAAAATAAACATGTTGGTCTTGGCGAAATTATGAGGTCGCTATATTTTGTGGTCATACCCTTTCTTTGTCTTCTGTTGCTCCCGCCTTCCTCTTTTTTAGGTTTACTTTTTATTCTCTTTGCAAATAGGAAAAGATGCTTCATATTTATTCATGTCACATGTTGATTATTCTAGGTGTTTACCTTTCTAAGTTGTCTTCAAGTTCAGTGCTGTTGAGTTTAGTGGTGTTTGAATTAGGTAAACTTGGAGTGGTGTGATATAAGAATATTAATTCAGTCTCACTTTGTGTGTAAAATTTAAAGTAGTATGAATTCCTTCAAATTAATAATGCATTGAGTTGTATAATCTCAGGCCAAGTAAATTGAAAACTGCCACATGGCAGTGTACTTCTTTAGGATTGGTCTTGAGTTTTGGCTGCTTTAAATTAGGATAGGTCTTAAGAGTCACTTCTGGCTGGGAAAAAGATTTTAAAAAGATCATGATAGGTCTTTAGGACATTTGTCCCATAAAATGCCTGTATAGAGAGAAAGCCTTTCTTAGTAAAGGAATTTCTGAGACTGGGAATAGTTGGGAGAGGTGTTTGGGGGAGACTGATATTTCTTTTTTTTTTTTTGAGACGGAGTCTTGCCCTGTCGCCCAGGCTGGAGTGCAGTGGCACGATCTTGGCTCACTGCAAACTCCGCCTCCCATGTTCAAGCAGTTCTCTGCCTCAGCCTCCCGAGTATCTGGGACTACAGGCATGCACCACCGTGCCTGGCTAATTTTTGTATTTTTAGTAGAGACGGGATTTCACCATCTCGGCCAGGCTGGTCTTGAGCTCCTGACATCATGATACACCTGCTTTGGCCTCCCAAAGTGCTGGGATTACAGGCATGCACCACCGTGCCTGGCCGAGACTGATAATTTCTTATTACCCCTAAAAGCATATGATTCCTAGAAATGTTGCTGAAGGTTAAATCTACTTTAGTTGTTTTAGAGTGCTTAGAAAGGTTAGAATAATGATTTAAAAAGACTTACCTTTCTTCCCCTTCCTTATCTCTATATCCCATGATGAGCCTTTGTTCCATGCTGCCACCCCTGGCTTTTTATGGCATGATGATCATACCAAACTTATGGAAAGTAATTCATATGAATATATATAAAGTAATTCTGGCCTGGGTGGCTGCTGCTTAAGAATCATCTAAAGTGATCTTGGGGGGAGGATTTGTAAGGAATTAAAAAATCCCTACCCCTGCTATTTGAGAACAAGATCTACAGCCTTTTTTTCTGTGTATATATGTGTGGGTGATGTTAAATTGTCTATGGAAAAAAATTGATTCTAAAAATGCTGCTAAAGAACAAATGGTGAAGAATTGTGGTAAGATATCCTAGATGGTCATTTATGTAGACTGTTTCCTATTAAGGCAAAATAGGTGGTATTTAAAACATGACAGTAGATTCTTTAAATTTTTTTTAATGTTCATTAAAGAGCCATTTTATATAAAGGTACAGCTATATGTTAGGCTTTTAAATTTAATCTGCATTTTAACAGAGGTAGAAAATGCTAGGTAACTGATCTGAAGTGGAAATTCTGGTTAAATACAGCATTTCTAGTCTAGTCCATTGCTATGTACAGGATCCATCTCTCTATCCTTGAGAAACTCTAAATTGGAGATTACATAAGATAAGAACATACATGAAATGACTAGAGGAATAGTATCAGATTGTATGGAATTAATGATAGATTCCATTCAGATGCTAGATAGGATGCTCTGGGCTGCATATTTATGTAGGATATGTCCTAAATTCACTGGAGAGTTGATATAGAGAAAATATATGTTGCTCATAGGTAACATTAGACTTCAGAGAAGGGAGAGATCATGGAGTGTGACCAGAAAGACTTCTGGAAAAAAAGAGCTTTTGAACTGCTCTTTGAAAGATGGATACGATTTGGGTTGACAGAAAAGAGGACATTCCAGATTGGGCAGATTCAAGAGAAAAATCACTGGAGGTAGAAATAAGTTTGTCATAAGTTGAGTAGAGAAAAAGATTGGGGCCAGGCTTGGTGGCTCACACCTGTACTCCTAAAACTTTGGGAGGCCAAGGCGGGTGGATCACTTGAGGTCAGGAGTTCAAGACCAGCCTGGCCAACGTGTTGAAACCCCATCTCTACTAAAAAAATACAAAAATTAGCCAGGCATGGTGGCGCACACCTGTAATTCCAGCTACTTGGGAGGCTGAGGGAGGAGAATTGCTTGAATTGGGAGGTGGAGGTTGCAGTGAGCTGAGATCATGCCATTGCACTCCAGCCTGTGGGACAAAGAGTGAAACTCCATCTCAAAAAAAAGGAAAAAAAAAAAAAAAAGATTGGCCTGTCTTGGTAACAGTGAGCCTCGTATCCTGGTATCTGGGCTAAAGTGAAGACTTTGAAGCTAGGGAGTACAAAATGAACATGGAAGATTAATATGACTATGGTCTTTTTTTCTCCCTGCCCTGATGATTTTACTTTTATATGTTTTTTTCTTAAATAAAGATCACACTCTAAAATATTACAAAGTTAAAAAAATCATTTTTAGAGAAGTTTAAGTATTAAATAGATATTAATGTCTTCAATGTTTCTTTGAGATCTTCAGGTTAAATCACACATTGAAATTTGCTTGTGGCATATGTATTAGTGTATTTGTCAGTGTGCTTGGGTGCCTCTCTGACTTTATTCAAGGTATTGACCATTCAGTTCTTAGTTTGTAGAAGAAATGGCAACGTTGGAAACAATAACCTATTTTAATTCTTTAATTATATTATAGTTGTACCTCAGTCCATTTTTCCCTCTTTTGTTTTATCTTAGGTCAACAGGACATACTGCTGTGGCACCTACCGAGCAGGTCCTATGCGGCAGATAAGTCTCGTTGGAGCAGTAGATGAAGAAGTTGGTGATTATTTCCCAGAGTTCCTTGATATGTTAGAAGAATCACCATTTCTGAAAGTGAGTGTTAATTAAGATTATTAAAGTTTTGATCTTTACTTAAGTGGGCACTTTATATGTTGAAGAGTATTTAGCTAATATTGCCTATTGAAATTAAATTTATCCAGTGTTTTGCACAGAAATGTTTAGATAGAATAATATTAGTACAAAGTACTTAAATTCAATTATTCTTTTTAATATAAATTACTATGTAAATAGCATTTATTTCTTTATATACAGTTGTAAAAAAGCCTTCTTAGAACTTTTATTTGGGTGGGAGGATTAACTTATAAATCATTGAAACAATTTTTTAATGTGACTAATCCGTCTGATTTCTAGATGACTTTGCCCTGGGGTACACTTTCTAGCCTCCGACTCCAGTGTAGGTCCCAGAGTGATGATGGGCCTATAATGTGGGTAAGGCCAGGAGAACAGATGATCCCTACAGCAGATATGCCAAAGTCACCCTTCAAAAGACGACGGTAAATATTTCTTTTTCTCAAATAAGCAAAACTACTTTTTTTTAGTTGGTTGCTTATAAAAATGAGCACAGTTTGAAAACCATTTGTCTTGGGCTCCCTTAAGTAAATGTTTTAGTTGTCGGTTCCTCTTTTCAGTCCAATCATCACAGTTATCACAGTGAGGCATTTTTCTAAAACACAAATTTAATTTTTACTTATTTTTTAAAAACCTGTGCCCTAACTGCCTGCAGGATAAAAGATCAAACCCCTTAGTGTGGTTTACATTAATAATCAGGTCAACTGTACCTCTTCTAGATGTATCTGTGTTTAGTCTTCTCCGGCCATACCGAATTCACTTTCCAAACCATAGTCTATCATAACTCTTTGCTTTTGCACTATTTTTTTTTTTTTTTTTTTTTTGAGATAGGGTCTCACTCTGTTGCCCAGAGCTAGAGTGCAGTGGTACAATCATAGCTCACTGTATTCTTGAACTTCTGGTCTCAGGAGAGCCTCCCAAGTAACTGTGGCTATAGGTGTGTACCACCATGCCCATCTGATTAAAAAAATTGTTTTGTGTATTTTATTTTTGTAGAGATGGGGTCTCACCATATTGCCCAGGTTGGCTTTGAACTCCTGGCCTCAAATGATCCTCCTGCCTCAGCCTCCCAAAGTGCTGGGGTTACCGTCCCACAGCAAACTTAATACATTTTCAAAACTTAGCTTGAGCTGGGCACAGTGGCATATGCCTTTAGTCCTAGCTACCTGGTAGGCTGAAGTAGGAGGATCAGTTGAGCCCAGGACTCCACGACAAGATCCTGACTCAAACCCAAACCAAAACCAAACAAAACTTAACTTGGACGTCACCTCCTTTGTGAAGTTTTTCTTTCCTTCCTTAGGTAATTAATTGTTCCCTACAATGTTCTGTTCATTAAAGTTTTGTTTACATGTTTTTATTTTCTACTAACATTTGAGGTGTGCTTTGGGAAGACAGGGACTATTTTATTCATCTTTGTCCTCATGACATATACTAGGTAACCAGTATTTGCTACATGAAACCAATAATGTTCTATAGGACCGAGCCTCAGTAATTCATATTGTGCTAACATGTTTTGTGTTTCAGACTTTGAAGACAAATGTAGATTAACTCACTCTCTAGTACTTTGAAAAATCTAATTTAATGAGACTGAAAATGATCTATACCTGCTTAGACTACGAAAATAGCAATTCAAAATAAGTGCCCAGAAGTGAGTTTTAATGGACTAATCTAAACCTTAACTTAAGGCTCATAGGAGAATGATACTTGAGCTAAGTATGGAATAATCTTAGGTACTTGAAATGTATGAAAATACTTTGAAAACATTATGTACGATGCAGGGTGGTGGCATGGTAAAAACCCAGGAGTCATTTGAAAGTTCTGCACATTGCTAGATTATAGCAGTTTTTGTTGCAGGATGATGACGAATCTTGAAATCTTATTAAATTGTTAAATACTATATACATTTTTTGTTCTGTAATCTTTCCTCAAAAAATGACCATCATTTGTTTCCTGATTTTTATAAACTTAAGAAAAAAGTAATAGGAAAGAGTAAAAAGAGGGCAGGTGCAGTGGCTCACACCTGTAATCCCAGAACTTTGGGAGGCTGAGGCAGGCAGATTGCTTGAGTCCAGGAGTTCAAGACCAGCCTGGGCAACATGACAAAACCCTGTCTCTAGTAAAAATACAAAAATTAGTGTGGTGGCACGCTCCTGTAATCCTAGTTACTGAGGTGGTTGAGGCATGAGAATCGCTTGAACTCAGGAGGCCGAGGTCGCAGTGAGCTGAGATGGTGCTTCTGCACTCCAGCCTGGACGACAGAGTAAGACTCATCTCAAAAAGAAAAAAAAAAAGAAGAGTAGAAAGAAGGCAGGCTGGGCATGGTGGCTCACACCTGTAATCCCAGCACTTTGGGAGGCCAAGGCAGGCGGATCACCTGAGGTCAGGAGTTCGAGACCATCCTGGTCAACATGGTGAAACCCCATCTCTACTAAAAATACAAAAATTAGCTGGGCATGGTGGCAGCCGCCTGTTATCCCAGCTACTCGGGAGGCTGAGGCAGGAGAATTGCTTGAACCTGGGAGGCGAAGGTTGCAGTGAGCCGAGATTGTGCCACTCCACTCAAGCCTGGGGGACAAGAGCAAGACTTCATCTCCAAAAAAAAAAAAAAGGTAGCCACCATTTAGGCATATTAACCTTTCAAATTATATATAGCCATAAATAATCTTTTTACAAAATCCATTCTTTGTGTGATGTTTACTTTAAAACTTGGGAATTTTTACTGTATGGTTGTATCAAGATTTATTTAACCAATTCTTGGTTTTTGTTTTTGTTTTTTCTTTGAGACAGGGTCTTACTCTGTCACCTAGGCTGGAGTGCAGTGGCATGATCAGGGCTCACTGTAGCCCATCTCCCAGGCTCAAGTGATCCTCCCACCTCAGCCCCACCAAGTATCTGGGACTACAGGTGCCTGCCACCATGCCTGGCTAGTTGTTTTTTGTTGTTGTTGTTGTTGTTTTTGAGACAGAGTCTTGCTCTGTCACCCAGGCTGGAGTGCGGTGGTGCGATCTCGGCTCACTGCAAGCCCCTCCTCCCGGGTTCACACCATTCTCCTGCTTCAGCCTCCCAAGTAGCTGGGACTACAGCCTCCCGCTATGATGCCCGGCTAATTTTTTTTTTTATTTTTAGTAGAGATGGGGTTTCAACGTGTTAGCCAGGATGGTCTCGATCTCCTGACCTCGTGATCCACCCGCCTCGGCCTCCCAAAGTGCTGGGATTACAGGCGTGAGCCACCGTGCCTGGCCTGTTGTTTTTTTTAATTTTAATTAAAAAAGAGTTGGCCCTCACCAACTCTTTATTAGTGTAATTTTTTCCCAGGTTTTCAATGTAAACAGTATTTTGAAAACATGATACTGGTGTGCTGGAGCCAGTTTGTACCTGTTCACAAAGGCCATCATTAGCATCACTTTCCAGTTCCACATTGCGTGATGTCACGTTAGTAACTGGAAATCATTCGTGTTAGGTGTATTTATACCATAGAAATCAGCAAATCAGCTAAAATCAGCCACCTCCCCTGACCCTCAAGTCAGATGTAAAGTATATAGAGCATACCACTGATTGTATATGGATGGAAGTTTGGTAGATATGTATGTTTGTGCATATGCGTGTTTGTTTTCTTTTTTTTTAATATTTTTTGAGATGGAGTCTCACTGTGTTGCCAGGCTGGGGTGCAGTGGCGCGATCTCGGCTCACTGCAACCTCCGCCTCCCGGATTCAAATGATTCTCCTGCCTCAGCCTCCCGAGTAGCTGGGACTACAGGCATGCACCACCATGCCCAGCTAACTTTTGTATTTTTAGTAGAGACGGGGTTTCACCATGTTGGCTAGGATGGTCTCGATCTCTTGACCTTGTGATCCTTCTGCCTCAGCCTCCCCAAGTGCTGGGATTACAGGCGTGAGCCACTGCACGTGGCCATGCGTGTTTATATTCTTAGTAAAAATTCCTAAAGTCTCAAAGTATACACATTTCTAATGGGCTTCCAGAAATATACCAATTTATATACCCACTCATATAATACAGTTCCCTTTTTCTCATACTCTCCACTAACATTTTAAACTATATTGATCTGATTGGATAAAAATGTCCCATTTTATTTTATTTTAAAAAATTGTTTTAGACAGAGTCTTGCTCTGTCACCCAGGCTGGAGTGCAGTGGTGCGATCTTGGCTCACTGCAACCTCTGCCTCCCGGGTTCAAGTGATCTCATGCCTCAGCCTCCCAGGTAGCTGGGATTACTGGCGTGCACCACCACCACTGGCTAATATTTGTATTTTTAGTAAAGAGGGGTTTCGCCATATTGGCCAGGCTCGTCCCAAACACCTGGCCTCAAGGGATCTAGCCACTTCGGCCTGCCAAAGTGCTGGGATTTCAGGCGTGAGCCACCACGCCCAACCCAAAAATGTCTCATTTTAATTTGCTGTTTTTTGAGGGGTTTCTTATTTTGTCTTTGGTGATTTCCTTTTAATTTCCTTTATACATGTTTCTATTTTGGTGTTTTTCTTTTGTAAAAATCCCATATATATTATGACTATTAAGCTTTTTTTCCCTTCTGTTCCAAGTTTTTATCTTTTTTTGGCTTTCAGCTTCGGTGTTTTTTTCTTTACTTACAGAAGTTTTTGTTTATATGATCTATCCTTTGAGGTTTCTCCTTTAGCAATAGGCTTAGAAGAGCCTTCTTTTATTCAGTGTTATAAAATACTCACCTACATTTTCTCTTAGTACTTCTGTGCTTTCAGTATTTACATATTTAATCCACCTGGAATTGGCTTCAGTATAGAGGAAGAGATTTACATGTTTTTCCAGGTAGTTAGGCAGCTGTACCAACATCATTTATTTAATAATGCATCTGAGGTGCCATCAAATTTTATTTCTGTTGGTATTAAATATTCTTAAGTGAGGCATTCAGAAGCATTTTGAATTAGAATTGAATGAATCAAAATGTAAATACTAATGTCCATCTTTTTGTGTTAGTGAAAACTTGTGGAAAATGGTGGAATAAAAATGTGAGAAGCTGTTCAGTTACCAAGGACACTGCTACTGAAGCTCATCTTTGGATTTATGAACTCTAGAGTTAAAGAAATATGTGTACAGAGTTTTTTAAAAATAAAATAATACAGCAAGACTTACAATGGAAAATCCTGCCCACTTTTCCTTCCCAGAGGCAAATATATTTTTACGAGAGGCAAAACCCATTTGTTTATAATACTTTTTTAAAAAGGCTTTGGCAGGGTTTTTTTTTAATTAAAAATTTTTTTAATCTTGTGTATATAATAGTTGCATATATGTATGATATACATGTCATGTTTTTATACAGGTTTTGATTTTTTGGTATGATAGCAGGTATTCCGTCCTCTTACATGTTCTCTGAATAGTTAGATGACCCCTACTTTATCCTCTTCCTCCTCATTTCTTCTTTCAGTCAGCTGTCCCTACACATTGCTGGGGTTAATTCATATTCTGTTTTTAAAATTATCATTAGGTCTTACATGCCTTGTCAATAAGTGGATTCTAAAATATTATGGCTAGCTATGTTTACTGCAGACCCAGCTATTAAGTTATTAATTCATATTCTAAGGTTTCAATGTTATATCATCACTCAAAGGAAGAATATGCAAAAGCATCTTTCTTTTCTATATTTCACCTACGTACTTAAAACCATGTCACATTTTTTGAAAGTTTTATATTTGGTACCATAACTTCTTTTAAAAAAAAGTCTTGTTTTTCCTGCAGTTTCTGATTGCCCTGTTTTTTGAGGTAGGAACATAAAAAAGTGTTCTGTTTTTCCTGCAGTTTCTGATTACCCTCCTTTTTTTTTTTTTTTTTTTTGAGGTAGGAACATAAACTTTTCTTGACCATCCTAAATATCTTCTGTTCTCTTTATTGCTTCCCATCTTTTTATTTATTGCTTCCATTCTCCTTACTGCTTATAGGGTTAGAGTTAAGGTACATTACTTTCTTCCAGAACCACGCTGACTTTCTCATCTGTTTGACTATGGCTTTCTTTTATAACCTTTTTTTTTTTTTTTGAGAGGACATTGGTGTTGGTAGTTACCTAGCATTCTGTTCTTTTATCATATCCTCATGCCTTTTAGAATTTTTTTCATACTGTCTGCTGTAACATATCAGTTTTTTTATGTGGATATCTTTTGGAACTCTGTGTTCTGCCTATAGAAGGCTTATTTCAGTTATCCACCTAGGACTTCCTATTTAATGCTTTTCTGCATTAACCTATGGTTGTTGTTTTCCTAGATTTATTTCCTTCTCTTGCTTAAACACATTCTCAAGGAATAGTCTTAAGAAAAAGGAGGTATTCTGAGTTATTATATGTCTGAAAATTTCTTTTTCTGTTAATAAACATGATTTATAATTTAGCTGAAGTCCAGAAGTTGTGTTGTCTCTTAGTGTTTTTAGCAGTGCTCTGTTGTCTTCTGGCATCTAATATTATTTATGAGAAGTCCTAATGCTAGTGTAATTTTTATTCTTTTGTAGGTATCCTATTTTTTTCTTGTCTGCAAGCTTATAGCATCCTCTATCATCAGCAGTCTGAAATTTCACAATATGTCTTGAGTCTTTCATTCTTATTTTTTAATTATACTTTTTGTTGTTTAGTAGTCACCTTAAATTGAAAGATTCATGTCTCCTTTCCTTTCTGATAATTTTTCTTACTTAATTGGTTTGGTAATTTCTTCTTCATTTTCTCTTATTTCTTTCTGAAACTACTATTGGTTGAATAATAGAGCTCCTGGTTTGATGGTCCTCATATTTCCTATTATCTTTTTGCTTTTGATTCGGAGACATTTACTGGACTTTTGTCTTCTAACCTTTCTTTGGTGTTTTAAAATTTTAGCATTGTTCATTTTGGTTTTTCTCTGTCAGGCTGCTATCTTCAGAAGCTGGTGATTCTCGGTTGACCCATTCATATGTTAAAATAAAGCATTGGGTCTATTGTGAGTTCTATTTATATTTTGGTGAGTCTTGTCAACAGGTAGACAATTGTCAGTTGTCAACTTAGAGTGAACAGGCATAGAAATGGACACTAAATGATGTGCCCAAATTTCAGAGGATTATGTTCTATTTTTGTGGCAATTTCCATGTGTTTAGAGAATGTGCAGTTTTTCTGGCTGAAAGTTTATCAGGATGTTTTTGGCTATAAGCAACAAAAATTTTGGTTCAAACTTGTTTATAAAATAAAATGTCTGTCTTGTATATCGAGAAGTCCAGAGAGGTTGGTTCTAGGCACCATATGGTCAGTGTGTCAGTGCTGTTATCAAGGGACCAGATTCTTTCCTTTTCTCTGTTCTAACATTCTCTTGGCTTAGGCTATTTACTTACACTAGCTCCCTTTATAGTTGCTAGATGGCTGAGGCAGTTCTAGACATCACATCTTGATTTGGCTATATCTAATAGAAGAAGATAGTATCTTTTCTTGTACTTCTTTCTTAGGAGCTAGGAAACTTCCCAGAAGTCTCTTCAGCATATTTCCTTTCATACTATTAGACAGAATCAGTTCATGTCTATTCCTAAATCAGTCACTGTCAGGGGAAATGAGCTTACCATAATTTACCAGTACTCATCAGAAATTAACTCTGGAGCTTGTGAATGAGGTCACATACAGGGCAGAATGAGATGCCTAATAAAAATTAGGGTTCTGTCAGGGAATTAAAGGGGAGGAATGGATGCTGGGTGGGTAGCCATAGTCTACTCCATGTGGGGCTAAATGTCTGTCTACATTTCTACCTGCAGGGATGACTTGTTTATTTGCAGAATTTCACTTTAATTCCCCTTTTCTCAGCCTCACTTCATTTCTGTTCATCATTATTATGCCTGGCTTCTTTTTGGACTCAGGCTTTTCCAAGGTCTGTTGGGCAGGTCTGCTGCCTTTTTGGCTGCTGATCCCTTCTTGTGTATTCTATGCCTGTGGCTTTCTCTGCACAGTTTTATTAGTCTCAGGTACTAGGAT
This sequence comes from Homo sapiens, assembly GCF_000001405.40. Taxonomy (NCBI): domain Eukaryota; kingdom Metazoa; phylum Chordata; class Mammalia; order Primates; family Hominidae; genus Homo; species Homo sapiens. The sequence continues at coordinate 113,769,676 of NC_000001.11, read as the reverse complement.
CATTTTCCATCTTGCAAAAGTTTGTTGATATTGCTCATTCATTAATTCATTTCCTTTGTTGCTTCTTATTCACTATCATCTTTAGATTATTATATTTAGAAATTCTTGAGCACATAAAAAAGCAGAAAACAATATAATAAACTGCTGTGTGTTTAATATACAATCAACAGCTGTCAACTCATGGCTAATTCTGTTTCATCTGTACTCTAATCCATTCTCCCATCTAATCCCCACTTCCCCTATTATTGGTTTGAAGACTTTTACTTTCATTTTAATGTAGAAGGAGATAACATGGATGCCTGGTTTGCAATCTTGAATCAGAACTCTAGTTTAACTATAATAGGGTCATTGCCTGATGCACATGGCAAGTCAGTACACCAAAACAGCAGACTGCAACAGAGAAAGTTTAATTGTAGGGCCACTAAAGGAGGAGATGGGAGGAAATCTCAAATCTGTCTCCCTGAGGAGTTTGGGGGTGAGGGTTTTTAAAGGTTTTGGAATGGGCTGATGTGTGGAGATGTTTATTGGTCCGAGAGTACAAAGTGAAGTCATGGACAAAGGGATGAATAAACTATTATCATGCTGATTAGGTTTTTCTGTGGGGGTCTTTAAATTGGTTGGCAGCAGCTGTTTTGCCAGAATTCAGGATCTGCTTAAGCCATTCTTAACATCAGAGATTCTATCTTAAACAAAAGCCTTATGATGCTAACACTAGAATTCTTTTTTAAAAAAAGTATATATATATATATTTTTTTTTTCACAAAAAGGTTTTCCCACTTCCAAGAAATTCTATCTGTAGGAACAACAGGGATGCAAATGGTCAGTATCTAGTGTTACCTGACTTTTAGTTATAAGAAAGTGGGTCTAAGTGCAGCCTGATTAATGCTTAATTATAGCTATATTTCCATCCAGAGTTTTGTTAACTGTGTGAGGGCAGCCTCACTAGTAGCATATTTTGAGAGTTGGAAATAAGATGAATGAGGGTAAAGAAGCCTTAAACTTTGACTTTTATTTTCTGTTGCTAGAACAGAAGCACTACATTTGAGCCTAATCTAAGATATATTTTCAGCTTTATTATGGCACACAGGGAGAGGAAGGTAATTACATTAAGCATTATAATATAGTGTGTTAAATGCTAATGATCATAATCATTGAACCCTTCTCAGTCCTCATCTTATTTAAATCTGGTATTTTAGCAGACTTTTTTGCCTTACTGCTATTAATTAATTTTTTTTTGGTCTCTTTCTTCCTTGCTTACCCTTTGTTTAACAACCAAATCAACTCTAGATCAATGAATGAAATAAAAAATCTCCAGTACCTACCTCGGACCAGTGAACCCCGCGAAGTTCTCTTTGAAGATAGGACTAGAGCTCATGCTGATCATGTCGGTCAGGGGTTTGACTGGCAGAGTACGGCTGCTGTTGGAGTTTTGAAAGCTGTACAATTTGGTGAATGGTGAGTTAATTGAACTCAACTGCAAGGTTGGTTAATATTGTATAAGACAATGTGGACTCTATTTAAAAGGTTTAGGACCAGTTTTTTAAATTGTGGTAAAATACACATAAAGTTTGCCATCTTAACCATTTTTAAATGTACATTTGGTAGAGTTAAGCATCTTTACATTGTTACGAAACAGAGCTCCAGAACCTTTTCATCTTGCGAGGCTGTAACTCTATACTCACTGAACAACAATTCCTCTTTTACTCTCACCCCCAGGCTCTGGTAACCATCATTCTACTTTGTTTCTATGAATTTGACTACTTTACATATTTCATATAGATGGAATCATATAGTGTTTATCTTTTTGTGACTGGCTTATTTCTCTTAGCATTGTCCTCAGGATTCATCCGTGTTGTAGCAAGGGTCAGAATCTCCTTCCCTTTTTAGGCTGAATAATAATTCATTGTATGTATATACCACATGTTGTTAATCAGTTTATCCATCAGTGGACACTTGGGTTGCTTCTACCTTTTGGCTTTTGTGAATAATGCTGGTGTGAACATGGGTGTATAAATATCTCTTCATGTCCCTGCATTCAATTATTTTGGCTATACACCCAGGAGTGAAGTTGCTGGATTATATGGTAGTTCTATTTGTAATGTTTTGAGAAACTACCAGACTGTTGTCCACAGTGGCTAAACCATTTTATATTCTGTTGGGGCCCAGTTTTAACAAAGCTCAGGACATGGAGATACAAAGTGGCGAGAGGACTGCAAATGCAACTAGTTTAGAATAAAACTATTCTTTTTAGCCATTTTTGTTTTAATTTTACAACAGCAAATCTGATTTTTATGGCTTTTTAAGCTTTAGTTTTTTTCAAATTAAAAAAAAATTGTATACCTAGTCCTTAGAAACTATGCATCTATTTCTCTGCTGGTAGAAGCATTTCCAAGAACAAAAGAACTGAAATTTGTCATCATTTTTCATTGTGAGATGTTTGTCTCTGAAACTTAATTTTGTTAATCTTAGGAGTGACCAACCTCGCATAACCAAAGATGTGATTTGTTTTCATGCTGAGGATTTTACTGATGTTGTACAAAGACTTCAGTTAGATCTTCATGAACCTCCAGTTTCCCAGGTAATAACTTATGTTTTATCACCATTTGCGATATTAGAAGTAAATATCTATACCCATTTTATTTTGAATTTTATCTTACAGTCTGATATGTGGGATAGTGAGTTTAATTTTATTACTGTTAAAGACTGGGGTGGGGGTGGTGCTGAAAATCATTTAAACAGAGCTTCCCTAGCAGAATGCTTGAAATCCTTTCAATCTTTGGGATACCAGGTGGGCCTGGGATGGTTAGAGGTCCCAGGCGGCTCAGTTATGGCCATGAGCTGTCTCACTTGTTAACCCCATTGCACTGTGTCCCCTCAACTGCAAAAGGCTGAAAGACACACTAAAAGAAAAGAAAACATGTTGCCTTTATGTGTGGTAAAGAATATTGATACTTAGCTGTACTTTGAAATACTTAAATGATTCTCTAAGCCATTCTGATTTTAACCTGTACTTTGTTACTAAAGAGGTAGTAAAATAGGAGGAAAATAATTTCCCAGGCATTACAAGAATTTTTAGAGAGTTACCTATCATTTAGTGTTGCTTAATTTTAATTTGATTATTGTTATGACACATTTTGTTTCTACTGTTTTCCTTTGCTAATTATTTCACTTGACTAAATTATTACATATTTTAAAGTCTCACGTAACTTTTTTCTTTCTTCAGTGCGTACAGTGGGTAGATGAAGCTAAACTAAACCAAATGAGGCGGGAAGGCATTCGTTATGCTAGAATTCAGCTTTGCGACAATGATATCTACTTCATCCCTAGAAATGTCATTCATCAGTTCAAAACAGTTTCGGCGGTGTGCAGCTTAGCCTGGCATATAAGGCTTAAACAGTACCACCCTGTTGTGGAAGCCACTCAAAACACAGAAAGCAATTCTAACATGGACTGTGGTTTAACTGGAAAGCGAGAATTAGAAGTTGACTCCCAATGTGTGAGGATAAAAACTGAATCTGAAGAAGCATGCACAGAGATTCAGCTGTTAACAACTGCTTCATCATCTTTCCCACCTGCATCAGAACTTAATCTACAGCAAGATCAGAAGACTCAGCCTATTCCAGTTTTAAAAGTGGAAAGTAGACTGGACTCTGACCAGCAACACAATCTGCAAGAACATTCAACCACTTCTGTGTGATATGTACATATTCAAACACATTTTTTAACTTTTTTAAATTTTGATGTGAAGTTATAGTTTTATAACTGGCTTAAGTTAAGTTTTATTGGAGAAATCTTGCCTATAATTCTATAAAGAGAAATGACATTCCACAAATGTCAAGCATATCTTTTTTACACAGATTATGCAAAGTTAAGAGTTGTATCTTATCCCGTTAGTACAGTATGTAATAGTGGGTCTGCTGCTACTTTCTGTTTTAAGGTGTGAGGTAACAATTCAATCTCTTCTTCAAATCAAAATGAGAATTCTCTGGAATAACAGATTCTTGTTTGGTAAATTATTCACTTCCCTTAATTTTATCTTGCCTTGTCTCTTGCCATATTTGCTGTTTTTATGGATAAATAAGATTTATGGTTTAGTACTTGTGTCTTTATGGCACAGGTTCAATTTCTACAGTGAAAATGGCATAGGTTGCAGGAAAGAATTTCTGCATCTGGTACATGGGCAAGTAAGTTATTTAGTTCTAACCACAAATAACAAGTAGTTTCCAAGGAAATTTCAGTGGCTCTCTGGTTTCTTAACAAAAGAGAAAGCACAGCACTTTCTGATCCAAACTGTCTTTTTTTTGTATCTGTTATTTAAAGCCCAGTGGATATTTCAATTAAAAAAAAAATCTAAAGATGAATAGTCCTTGGTCATTCATTATCCATGGCTCATTAATCTCTTCTAGAATATATGCTAACTGTTGAAGATATTTTGGGTAAAAGAGATAATGTTGACATGATACTCTATTGTTCTGCTTCCTGGCATCCTCACATTTTGTGGGGATAATTTTGCTTCCTAAACTGATCACAACTATTAAACTTAGAGAATAATAATAGTCTTTCTGATGAGGCTGCCATATTTTGAGCATCAATCTTATGATAAACTATTCTTGTCACTTGGCATCAACCTCTTCATGATAAATATCTACTACTGAGACACTTCAATTCACAGTTTTAACTGGTGAATACCTGGGTTTATTTACTATTACTCTGTGTTGCTATTTTCTAAGAAAGAATACAGCACTAGACTTCATCCTAGAGTTTCAGGTAGGCTAATGCTTAGTGCCTGAGTATTTAAATTTTCTTTTCAAACAGGCACAGTTCACATTGCTAGTATGGTCCTAACTTTCTGTTATTTTAGAATGTTAACATGATTCACATTATACTTTCTCTTAGTTAATAATACAGTAGGCCTTTTGTTTATTAATGGAAGAGTACTCCCCACACCTAAGACCAGATTCTTATATCTCCCTGGTTACAGTGCAATTTGGAGATTTTTTTTTTTTCCTGGATGGTAAGATTTGAAATATTTACATTAACATAGGCAAAAAAAAAAAAAAATACAAGATGCTGCTTTATTATGTCTGTCACCATGAAAACTTAGCTGCATCTTTTGAAATATCAAATATGAATTTTCTCTAAAATATTCTGAAATAGGTTAAATCTTATATAAATATTACTTTGTGCAATATTGTTGTGTAGTTAAATGCATATTAGCAAAGTATAGAGGTCACTGTGTAAACCGATAGAAAAGTAACCATCAGCAAATACTGCAGTGATTAGTTAGAATCTGTATTATTCCTTATATATATGTATATGTATGTATTCTCTGTTACAAAGGATGAAGACAAATAGGGATACATTTCAATGTAAACCATTTATGAATTGGAAGTGATGTTGGCTTTAGTTATCTTTGTAAATAAGGTAATTAGAATGGTATGAAAGGTAATGTGATTATTGCAGGGGTGTTTTTAAATCTTGGGTATAAATTCTAGGGTAAATTCCAGTTTATCCAGACTAGTTTTTAACGGGACCTGCCTTTGAGGGTGTTTTTTGTTATTTTGTTGGGGAGGGGTTTAATCACAAAGTGTGTGGGTTTGGGTTATTTCTTGTTTTTATTTTTCTGTCCAGAAGAGCTTTACCAGGCTGTGCAAAGTAAAATTCTTCTCAGGCAACATTTGCTTTTAAAAATAATCATGAAGAGAAGGCTGTTAAAGCAAAAATTTTTTTTTTTTAATTTTTTCTTGTCTTCCAAGATCCGATTTCCCCATCTCCCACTTGCCATCCAGCAGATGCCATCTGTCATCCAAGCTGGTCATTGCTAATAAACAAGGAGACTGTCTCCTGACAGCCAGCACTGTGTATTATCACTCAGGAACCAGCGGATCTGCAAAGACCTACAATCAAAAGCAAATCCCCATTTTCCTTTTATAAAACATTCTACCCTCACCTCCAATATAAACACATTAAAAGAGTACAATAAAAATGTTTAAAATCATGTACTAATAAATTCATTGTATGTTAGAATTGCAATAGAATGAAGAGAAACATTTAGCTAGTAACGTGATCTGAAAACTGAATGTCCTATGTGAGTATTAGATTTTAATAGCATGCTTTAAAGACTGATGAGTATAAAAGCAGAAGTTTTGCGTTTTTTACTGCTTTCAAAGCTGTATCCTAGTTTAGTGATACAAATGATTGCAATTTTTCTAAATCATTAAATTATTTGGTTTGGTGGAGTGAGGCATGGAGCAATCTGGCGTCTTCTGATTTGTTAAAGTAGTGATGGCAGTGAAGTTGTAACTGAAATTTAAGCTGATCTTCCTTTTTGGTATATTATCCGTTGTGCCAGCTCTTGAGATTACTTGCACAATGTGGCTATAAGTTTTAATATTTTGTGGAGCAGAGGGATGGTTTTTAAATGTGCTTATGGAAAGGACCCAATAAATGAATATTCCTAACTTAGTAAAGTAGAATAATTTCATGGTATTCATTAAAAAGCATAAAAGTCTTCCTCTTGCCCCAGAAGTAATTCTCTATACCAAGATATGCTAGGAGTAGGATGATGATTCAAAGTGGTAACCCAAATTCATAAAGCAATAATAATAAAAACCTATATAGTATGTTCTCTCCTCCAAAGTTTTAACTCTAAAAATTGGTTCCTAGGTTTAATTGTACCTTTAATTTGCTTATTCAGTACTTAGAATTTGTTTAACTGGTACTTTTATTATTTTTTAGTGAAAGACTTTTGAAAAGTGCCCTTTCCCCTTAAGAGACAGTTGGAATACCAGTTGACTAATATTACAAGCTCTTGTAGGGGGAAAAAGGAGCTTATTAAAGTTGTTTACTAAACTTTAGGAAAAGATGTCTTGCATCAGTCTTACTAGGCATAAAAGTCACACTTAATGACTGGAAAAAACTTGCTTATTGCCTTTCCCTATATAAATATTAATTGTCTAGAATGAAAGCTAATATAGGAACAAGACTCCCAAATCCATGAAAACGCTTAGTGAATATATTCTTAATCATTAATAAATTAGCCCATTATATTTTCATCTGTATTTGCCATAAAAAATTTATTTGCATTTATGCCTTTAGGATAATTTTGTATCTTTCTAATCTGTTTTATCATTGCTACAGGTTTTTAAAAAAGAACCTTTCACTAGCTAGCACATGCCAGAGGTTCACATCTGTTTTGTTTTTCAAACAGGTCGTAGCTGTATTTATTGGCCATGCAAGTAGAGGAAATGCACAGTACAAATGTTTTTCTTTAGCACGTAAGGGACCTATCCTTGTCTTGAAAGTTTGTTGCTTTAAAAGCAAGTATCTCTCCATAAATATTATGGCCTTCCATTTTCTTCATACATTTTTTAGGATCCACTTGTGCATGTAGTTGAGACCACTGTCTCTTAAAATATAGCACTTTTCAATTCTCTCTAAAGAAATACTTATGTACTACTATCACATGTTGTAAATTTTCATGTAATAGTGTTTTCTGTGAGTAAACTCCATTTTGATTGGCAGCTAAGACTTTTTTTCCTGTGGCTTTTATTTATCTAAGAGGTCTTTGCATATAGATGAAATGTATATTTGCCTGGCGGACTATTTGCGTTGTGTGGCCTTAGTTTGTTTATTGACATTAACGAGTGTTTTAAAAAGGTTTTTAATGAATAGTCTTAAATCTAAATTTGTGTGAATAATCCTTTTAACACAGTGCTTTTTTGTAGCTGTCTAAGTGTGTTAAATTGTTAAGCTATTTCTTTGTAAAATAGGACAATGGAATGCATAGTTTTTTTTTTTCCTGTAAAGTATTTTTTTAATAAAAAAAGTCTGATTTGTCCTTTACTGGTGTTTCATCACAAAATGCATAGCATATGTGAGTTCTAAATACCTGGAACCTGTTTTTAGAGGACGAATCCCTCACCTACTGTATCCCCTACTACTTCAAAAAAAATTTTTAGAAAATCTTATGACTTCTTTCCTAAAGATGTCTGGGGAAAATTCCATCCATATTGAGATGCAATTAGTTTGGGGGAAGAAGAAAAAATACACTTGACATTTGTTGTAGTTAATGCCTCTTAATTGCTTAAATTGGTGTGTATCTACTTAAAAGAGGACAGTCTTAAATTTTTATTCTGGTGATGTGGATTTTCTTGAAAGTGCATTGAGTATTAATGAAGATGGCGTATAGACTTTTATGTCATTGATGTATTAATGTGACACAACAAAATGGATTTCTTTCCTCATCAGTTTTTGTGTGAAGTTATCTTTAATTGAGGTACCTGTCCTAAGCACTGATAGCCTTTGGTTCTGTCTAGGAAAGGAAAAGAAAGGGACTTCACATTTTTTGAGTAACTGCCATGGGCCAGGCAGTTTATATGAGGGTTTCTCATTTAATCCTCACATCCTTAAGAAGGTGACTATCTCCATAATACAGGTGAGAAAACAGGCTTGTTAGTTGAATAAATTGCTTAAGATCACAGATTATTGGTTGGGAGCAAGGATTCAGACCTTGTTCGCTGGTAGCCGCAGGAAGCACTGAATAGTTTCCAACAGGGCACCTGAAAAATGGTTTACTACTTACCACTATTCTCTAATACTTCTTACCTGATTCAGTTCCTCCAGACACTCCCTGAAAATCTGTGTGCCAAACAGTGAAGTAAAGTACTTTTGCTATTAATGTAATTGAGGTTAAATATTTACGTGTGCAAAATTCGACGTTTTTCACTTGTCATTTATCTCTTTTTTCAAGTTGGCCATTTGTCTTGAAGCTCAACAGAATTGTAATGTTTAGCACTAAGGAAAGGAAAAGCTGTCAAGGAGCAAAAGCAGAAGGAAACCACTGCCAATGTGTGCAATATAAAAATAAGGGTAAAATAATTTTTACTTTATTTGAGACAGGTCTCTGTTGCCTAGGCCGAAGTGCAGTGGTGCAATCATAGCTCACTACAGCCTCGAACTCGTGGACTCAGACGATCCTCCTGCCTCAGTCTTCGAAGTAGCTGGGACTACAGGTGCGCGCCACCACCCCCGGCTAATTTTTTTTTTTTAAGAGACGGGGTCTGGCCATGTTGCTAAGGCTGGTCTCAAACTCCTGTGCTCAAGCTACATTTCCGCCTCAGGCCTCCCAAAGCGCCCAGATTGCAGGCGTGAGCCACTGCGCCCAGGCTGGGTGAAGTAATTTGTAAAACTTAGTCCTGTGGGAGTTATTTTAGCTTAGTCGATTTTCCTCATCCGTGAAATGGGATAACTTCCACCTGGTGCCCACTCAATAGATAAGAAGAAATAATGTCTGCAAAACATTGAGTACAGCGCCTCTTAGGCTTTCTTAAGTGAAGCTATCATCTGTCATTAGCTTTCTCTGACCCAGATGCTACACGCTGTGGGCTAGCAAGAACACGGCTTCAAATAAGGTGGGGAGAATGGCTGTAAGGGGACAGTGTTCCATTAATGGCCAAAAAAAAAAAAAAAAAAAAAGCAGCCTAAAAATCCTTTTAACGTATCCTTAAATATTCACTTGAGGGTTCAACCTTTCTTTCCTTTCTCCTGACCTCTATCGGCCCTAATTAACCTGTTCCTGCCGCCACCTAACTTTACCCTAATTTGGAAAAAGCTGTGACTGCCCAATACTTGTTCCTCTTTTCCCCCTACACCTTTGAGCACTAGAAAGCTCCAGACCCAGAGCTGCTGAGGGGCGGGAGAGGAAGGGAGTCACTAAGCCGCAGCCTGGCCCTTCCTCCCAGGGCAGCGTAAATTCACGCAAACATTGATTCGTTCGCTCAACAAACATTGGGAACCTAAGTGCCAGGCTTGTGCCAGGCCCCAGTCTCTGACCTCATGGAGCCCACAGCCCACTGGGGAACAGAGATTAAGCCATGAAACACGAAAATGAGTGCCACAAAGACGTGAGCTACTAGAGTATCAGGACCGACCTCCTTTAGACCGCTGGATGGGAGAGTCGTTTGTGAGGAAGTGACTTTTAAGCTGAGGCCTGAAGGGTGATCTGAGGGAGCTGCTCTTGGCCATCGATATGCCGCGCGACTCCCCAGGCCCTCGGACCCGGAGCCTGGACCAAGGCTGGGCGGGAAGGCCCCGGGCCAGGGGCGGAGCCACCTCGGCGGCGAAAGCCGGAAAGCGGAAGCCGAAGGCTGCTGCCCGGTGGTCGGCTGAGCGGCTCTAGCCCAGATCTCAGACGGCTGAGTCACTGCATCCCGGCGCGGCCCGCAGAAGACGAGCGCCGCTGCCGCCGCCTCCTCCTCCCGGGCTCCCGGGCTCTCGGGGTCCGGGGCCTTTGCACCTGTCTTTTCCAGCTGGGCACAAAGCCTTTTGCTGTCGCCGTGGCGACTGGAGGCCTTCACTTTTAATCCCCCTCATTTTCCAGTTCATTCTCTGCTTATTTTCTGGTCAGTCCGTGACCCTGTAGGCGGCCTCTGACCGGCGATCGATTTGCCGCCCTCAGGGCGCTGGGCGGCCGGCTGCCTCCGAAGCTGGGGCGGCCTCCGCGGTCTCCATGGTAACGGCCTCTCCGGCGTCTCCGCCTGGAGGGGAAGATGCGGCCTGCCTGGCCCGCCGCCTCGCCCCCGGCCTCACGGTGGGACCCCGGGCACTGAGGACGGAGGTCCCGGGCGCCGGCCCGCGGGGCAACGGGCACTAGGTGAGAGCCGGACGCGGGCGAGCGAAGGAGGCGGGTGCCGGGCGACTCCAGCGGCGGCCCCTGCCCCTCCCCCGCACCCACGAACACGCTCGCCCGATATATTGCAGAGGCTTCTCCGGTCGCCGCTGCGCCAGTTTTTTTTTGTTTGTTTGTTGTGTTTTCCCTGGCAAACAGCTGGAGAAAGAGCAGCTCATGGAGAGGCTGAGAGAAGCGGTTTTCGCGTCCTACCCAAACTGGGAGAGTAACCTTCAGCAGCTGGACTCACCGATTGGTTTTCCTTCATTTTCAGTGAAATCCCATTCTCTGGCTGGAGACACAGATGGCCTCAAATGAGAGAGATGCTATATCGTGGTACCAAAAGAAGGTAATACATATATATATTTTTTTTATTTGTAAAGCATTCTTCCTGCAAAAAGCTCCCACAAATAATATAATGTTACTTTCCCCCGAGTTTAGTAGTGCCAGGTGTTCATGTATACTTCAACATAAATGAAAAAAAAAAAAAAAAGATGTACAAGGTCATTATGTCTTTTAAACCCGGTTCCAGGTCCCAGAATAAGGTTTACAAGCCACCTCCTTCAGGCTGCATACACAATGCCACCGCAATGCTTTGAAAGTTTGCTTCTGATCAAACTGCTTAAAAACAAAAAAGACATGAAACCTGTATGTGCACAGCTCAGATTGATACTATCAACAATCTTATTGAGCTGTTCCTTATCTTTTATTCCTCTCTAGTTTTTCTAGTGCTCTTTTCCTTAAGAAGTGGATTTTTTTTTTTTTTTTTTTTTTTTGAGACGGAGTTTCGCTCTTGTTGCCCAGGCTGGAGGGCGATGGCGCGACCTCGGCTCACTGCAAGCTCCGCCTCCCGGGCTCAGCCTCTGGAGTAGCTGGGATCACAGGCGCCCACCACCACGCCCGGCTAATTTTTTGTATTTTTAGTAGGGACGGGGTTTCACCATGTTGGTCAGGCTGGTCTCAAACTACAGGCGTGAGCCACCATGCCCGCCCAAGAAGTGGAAATATCTTTTAAGGTAATATTAATTTGAAATATTTTGGGCATTGCTTTTGAACTTACTTTTAGGTCCAGCTATTTTAGATTTTTGAAGGAAACAGTCCTTCGAAGTATTGATTTATTCTAACTTTTGAGAAGCATATTTTCCACATAGCATATTGATACTTAATAGGCTCATGACTTTTATGAGGCTTGACTTAATAATGTAAGGATTTCCTTTGCATCGTTTAACTAATAGACTACTCCCTCTTTCAGATTGGAGCCTACGATCAGCAGATATGGGAAAAGTCAATCGAACAGACTCAGATTAAGGTAAATTGATTTCTTTGATTCCGCCTATGTTTCACTGCATTAATATGAAGAGTGGAATTGTACTTACCTGGTAAACTCTGCATTTAACTACCAGTATGGCATTCTTTAATCTTTGAAGGTTATAAGAAAAGCAGTGCAAGCATAATGAGAAGTGACACTTGATTTTTGGCCTCACTATCAGGAAAACAGAAAGGAGTGAGTTGTTCTATGATGAATTAGAGAGCAAATGTCCCATATAAATAGGGCTGGGGTTACTTAGCTCTGGCTAGTTTTTACCACTTGGCAGTGCAGGTCCAAATATTGCCAGAGTTTCAGATTTTTCAAGAGAAGCTGGAAATACACATTTTTATATGAAATATATTGTGCATTTTGTGTCGGATTTTTAAGAGACTCTTCCTTCTCTTCCTCCTCCTCCTTTGCAAGCCAAATAAAATCCATTTGTGGCCTGAATCCAGCCTATGGTCCCCCATTTTATTCAATCACTGGCTTAGAGTATGTGTTTTTGTTTGTTTTTTTGTTTTGTTTTGTTTTTGAGACAGAGTCTCACTCTGTCGTCCAGGCTGGAGTGCAGTGGCGTGATCTTGGCCCACTGCAAGCTCCGCCTCCTGGGTTCACGCCATTTTCCTGCCTCAACCTCCAGAGTAGCTGGGACTACAGGCGCCCACCACCACGCCCGGCTAATTTTTTGTATTTTTAGTAGAGACGGGGTTTCACTGTGTTAGCCAGGATGGTCTCGATCTCCTGACCTTGTGATCTGCTCACCTCCGACTCCCAAAGTGCTGGGATTACAGGCGTGAGCCACCGCGCCCGGCCTAGAGTATGGTTTTAAGTTTTTCAGGTTCTTAAACTTTTTTCTACACAGCTCTTAGAACTGAGAGGATTCTTATTTTATACTAACCAAGTGACCAAAAACTGTTATATAATTCAGAATGCCAGTTTATTAACTTATAATAGGGGAGGAGAGGGTTAAATTATCTTCTGATATTCCAAAGTCAGAGTTGTGGGGTTAAGCCATTTGGGGATGCTGGTACAAATTCATCATGGAATGGTTGCTTGGTAACCAAATGTAATTGGATAGTCTTGAGATGTGGAAAAGCCTAAAGAACCATCCTTGGCCCTCAAAAGAATATAACTCTCTGCGACTTTAATACTTACTTAAATCTTATGGATTCAGGGCCTCACTTCCTTGCAAAGTGCTGATAAATGCCAGCTGATTCTTGTTTTTGCATTACCTTTCAAAAAGTATTGCAGCAGACCCTTCATTAATACTTAAAAAAACTGGGTGAATACAACTTAATATTATCTGTTCTGTTAAATAGGCCAATCAATAGAAAGCTACTTGAACAACAAGTAGCCGACTAACTTTTCACAATTTGGTATAGTCCTTGATTATTTATATTAGTGGGAGATGGGGTTAGGATGAATAAGTCTCCAGATTTTATTTTGTGATTCTCTAAAGCCTGTCCTGTTATTTTTTTGTGAGCTGCTAAACATCACTGATAGTAAGTATGGTGTAATGGAAACAGCATAGAAGTGGAGTTTGATCTTGTTTTGTGATCTCTAGCCTTGTTATCTAACCTTCTTCCCCTAGCCAATTTAAAGATTTCCTTCACCCTTTTTTTTTTTTTTTTTGAGACAGAGTCTCGCTCTGTCACCCTGGTTGGAGTGCAGTGGAGCGATCTCGGCTCACTGCCAGCTCCGCCTCCTGGGTTCACACCATTCTCCTGCCTCAGCCTCCCGAGTAGTTGGGACTACAGGGGCCCGCCACCATGCCCAGCTAATTTTTTGTACTTTTTTTTTTTAGTAGAGACGGGGTTTCACCATGTTAGCCAGGATGGTCTCGATCTCCTGACCTCGTGATCCACCTGCCTCAGCCTCCCAAAGTGCTGGGATTATAGGCATGAGGCATGAGCCACCGCGCCCTGCCTGATTTCCTTCACTCTTTTCCATGTCATTTAATACATACCTTCCTTTTAGTGCATGATATCAAAGTTATTTGTTAACCTATGTGTGTTCATAGGCCTAAGGGTAGGAAGTGTGTTTGTTTCCTACTCTTAGAACATCTTGATTCATACTAGGAACTCTGTCTGTTGCTATAGTTAATTGAACCCTATCCATCATGCATATTTTTTACTCGTTCTCTCATAGGGTAATCTACCTAACCACGCCTTAATGTATGCTTTTAAATTTAGCGGCGGTGGGAAGAATGAAATGTAAAATAACTATAAACATTTACTGAGCTTTCAGTGTGATAGTAGAAAGCTGAAAAAAAAATTACTCAGCTAATGTGCCACTCTTGTACTAGGTGCTGAGAATACAGTGAAAAAGATAGATGTGATTGTTGCCTTCATGGGTTTCACAGTCTGATAGTGATGGGAGAAAAGCCCAGATATCTTTTTAATATGCTTAAGTCTTAAAAAATGACCAAAGTATAGCATACAAAAAAATTAATGCTAAATTTAAAAATACATGAACACAAATACAATTTTTTGAAAACAAAAAATAAAAACAAAAAATAAAAGAACAAATAAGCAAAAAAAATTTTAAAATAAAAATATTAACATCATATCACAGTACTGTTATATAATTTAAAATTATATATTTAAAAGTATAATTCAGAATTATGAAAGATAAATTTTAAAAATCTTAACTTGGGTCATGAAAAATGGTATGAACTCTTCAATAAGCATTTATTGAACTACAATGTTTAAGGCATTTTGTTGGGTGCTGAGCACAAGAGAAAAATATTAACAAACAGAAGTATAAGACTTGTTTAGAGGAAGAGCAAGTAAGTAGCCCAATATGATTGGAGAATAAGGTACATAGATAGAGTGATAGGCCATAAATCTATTTGAAGGTTACTTGACTGCTTTACTAAGAACTTTAGATACTATTCTGTAGAAAATTGAAAGGTTTTAATGGTTTTTGAGTAGAGGAGTCACATCATATCTGTGTTTTTGAAAGATAGAAATAAAAATATAGACATTATAATAAAATCTATGGAATATTTCCAGAGTAGTACTTATTATTCTCAATGTCTATATTAACAAAAAATGTCTAGTTTGACTAGGAAGGTTTACAATGAATCATATTAATATTGAAGAATCTAGAGAAAGAAAATGTAATCAACCAAAGTAAAACAGGGAAAGAAATACCAAAAATAAAATGAAAGCATCCATTACGTATTTATTTAACAAATATTTGTTGACTGCTTACCTACAATGTGGCAGACACTAGCTATGCCTACATAATGGTAAGTAAAAACATTCAATCATTTTTTTTTTTTTTGAGACAGGGTCTGGCCCTGTTGCCCAAGTTGGAGTGCAGTGGCATGAACACAGCTCACTGCAGCCTCAATCTCCTGGGCTCAAGTGATTCTCCCACCTTAGCCTCCTGAGTAACTGGGACCACAGGCATGCACCAACAGGTTTGGATAATTTTTAAATTTTTTGTAGAGACAAGGTCTTGCCATGTTGTCCAGGCTGGTCTCGAATTCCTGAGCTCAAGCAGTGCTTCCACCTTGTCCTCTCAAAGTGCCGAGATTATAGGCATGAGACGCTCTGCCCAGCCA
The DNA here is from genome assembly GCF_000001405.40 of Homo sapiens. NCBI lineage: Eukaryota > Metazoa > Chordata > Mammalia > Primates > Hominidae > Homo > Homo sapiens. Next base: position 113,754,127 of record NC_000001.11, on the reverse strand, counting down.
TATTCAATATTTTTATTTTCATGGAATTTATGACAAAGTGGTTGAGAATAATAAAAAGAATCCTTCTAATAAATGCAAATTACTTAGTGGCAAATACTGAGAAGAGGTCTGTTTACAAGCTACTATACTTATAATAAGGGAAATAAATGAGCCTAGTTGCTGGGCATGGTGGCTCATGCCTGTAATCCTAGCACTTTGGGAGGCCAAAGTGGGAGGATCGTTTGAGGCCAGGGATTTGACACTAGCCCGGGCAACATAGGGAGACTCTGTCTCTACAAAAAATAAGTTAGCTGGCCATGATGGCATCTGCCTGTGGTCCCAGCTACTCAGGAGACTGAGGTGAGAGGATTGCTTAAGCCTGGAGGTCAAGATGACAGAGACCCTGCCTTTAAAAAAAAAAAAAAGGCTGGGCACGGTGGCTGATGCCTGTAATCCTAGCAGGGAGGCCGAGGCAGGCAGATTGCATGAGCTCAGGAGTTCAAGACTAGCCTGGGCAACATGGTGAAACCCCTTCTCTGCTAAAAATACAAAAATTAGCTGGGCATGGTGACACGCACCTGTAGTCCCACCTACTCAGGGGGCTGAGGCAGGAGAATCGTTTGAGTGTGGGAGGCAGAGGTTGCAGTGAGCTGAGATCATGCATTGCACTCCAGCCTGGGCAACAAAAGCGAGACTCCGTCTCAAAAATAAAAAAAAAAAAAGAAGAACCTAATTAAGAAGGTCAGATAAGCTTTTGCTAAGGAATTGATTAAAATGAGATCTGAAGCATGAGTAGCAGTTAATTAGGTCAAGAACAAATACACTAATTCTACACAAACTTTTTCAGAAAATAGAGAAGGAAATATACTTCTCAGCTCATTCTATGAGACTAGTATTACCCTGAAACCTAAACCAGACAAAGACATCATAAGAACATTCGTTATGAATGTATGTGTGAAAATCTTTAACAAGATATTAACAAAACCAATTCTACAACACATAAAATGGCTTATCTACTATGACCAAGTGGGAGTTATCCTGGGAATGCATTAATTTGAAAACAAAGTAATGTAATATGCCATATTAATAGGATAAAGGACAATCATATGATCTTCTCAGTAAATACAGAAAGAGCATTTAACAAAATTCAATGCCTATTAATAATAAACTAGGTTCTTAGGGGAACTTCTTCAACATAGTAAAGGTTGTCTAGGAAAAGCCTGCAACAAACTTCACACTTAGTGGTTAAGACTGAATGTTTTCCCCTAAAATCAGGAACAAAGCAGGGATATCTGCTCTTACTATTTTTATTTAACATTGTACTGGGAGTCCCAGCCAATGTAATAAGCAAAGGAAAAGAGATGAAAGGCATTGAGATGGAAAGGAATATGAAAACTGCCTTTACTCATGACAGCATAATCCCATATTTAGAAAATCCTAAGAATATATATAAAAAATGACAGTAGGCTGGGCGCAGTGGCTCACGCCTGTAATCCCAGCACTTTGGGAGGCCAAGGCGGGTGGATCACGAGGTCAGGAGATCGAGACCATCCTGGCTAACATGGTGAAACCCCATCTCTACTAAAAATACAAAAATTAGCCAGGCGTGGTTGCAGGCTACTGGGGAGGCTGAGACAGGAGAATGGCGTGAACCCGGGGAGGCAGAGCTTGCAGTGAGCCAAGATCGCGCCACTGCACTCCAGCCTGGACGACAGAACGAGACTCCGTCTCAAAAAAAAAAAAAAAAAAAAAAAAAAAAAAAATTACAGTAACAAATGAATGTGGCAAGGTCTTCAAATACAAGATCAGTACACAAAAATCAGTTGTATTTCTATATACCAACAATGAATAATTCAAAAATAAAATTAAGAAAACAATTTTATAATAGCAACAAAGAATAAAACACTTAGGAATGACATAAAAAGTGTAAGATTCATACATGGAAAACTATAAAACATTGCTTAGAGAAATTAAAGAAGGTCTAAATAAATGGAATAGCATTTCATGTTCATGATCTGGAAGATTCAATATTGTTAAAATGTCAGTTTTCTCCAAATGTATCTATATATTCAATGTAATCCCTTCAAAATTCCAGCAGAAGTTTGTTTTTGGTAGAGATTGATGAGCTAATTCTCAAATATATGTATGTAATACAAAGGATGTAGAATATTCAAAACAAATTTAAAAAGAATAGTGTTGGAAGATTTACATTACTACATTTATAATACATCTGTTAGAACAAAATTAAAAAGATTGACAATACCAAATGTTGGCAAGGTGATGGAGGAACTACAACTCTTCTACTCTTCTACACTGCTGTTGGGCATGGAAAATGGAAAATAGTTTGGTGGTTTTAAAAATGTTAAATATGTACTTCTCACATGACCCAACATTTCCACTCCTAGGGTATCTACCTATATTTAGGGTATCTACTATATTTAACATTTTCTATCCAAGAGAAGTGAAAACATAAATACATGCAAATGTTCATAGCAGCACTATTCTTAATAGCCAGAAGTAGGAAAAACCCACGTGTCCATCAACTGGTGAATCAATTGGTATAAACAAATGTGTTATAGTCATACAATGAAATACAATTCAGCAATAAAAACTGTTAATACATACTGCATCATGGATGAACATAAAAAATGTCATGCTAAGTACAACATATTGTGTGATTGTTTATATGAAATTTCTAGAAATCTATAGAAATAGAAAACAGATCAAAAGTTGCCTATGGATTGAGGGGAACAGGGCTTTCCTGCAAACAGGCAGAAAGGAACTTTTTGAGGTGATGGAAATGTTCTAAAACTTGAGTGTGATAATGATTGCACAACTCTACAAATTTACTAAAAATCTAAATTATTTACTAAATCTGTAAAAATAGTTTAGTTTAATAGTATGTAAATTATACCTCAATAAAGCTACTTTAAAAATTATACCAATAGTAAAAGTAGGAAAAATCATAATATAGTACACCAAAAATGTAAATGTATACATATTCACAATTAAAATTGTTTTCTAAATTTTTAAAAAATATTTTATATTTTGTAGAGACAAGGTCTCACCACATTGCCTAGGCTGGTCTTGAACTCCTGGGCTTAAGCAGTTCTCCCTCCCTGGCCTCCCAAAGTGCTGGGATTACAGATGTAAGCCACCACACCCAGCCCTAAAATTTTTTAATTGAGAGAATATATTAAATCTAATGTCTAATATTATTTTCAGTGATGGAGTGTAACTTAGTCCTCCAAAATAAGCCTAAAATAAGAATCTCCCCTTTTACTAATCTTTTTTTTTTTTTTTTGGAGACAGAGTCCTGCTCTGTTGCCCAGGCTGGAGTGCAGTGCTCACAGCAACTTCCGCCTCCCAGGTTCAAGTGATTCTCCTGCCTCAGCCTCCCGAGTGGCTGGGATTACAGGCGCACGCCACCATGCCCAGCTAATTTTTGTATTTTTGGTAGAGGTGGGGTTTCACCATGTTGGCCAGGATGGCTCGATCTCTTGATTTCATGATCTGCCTGCCTTGGCCTCCCAAAGTGCTGGGATTACAGGCGTGAGCCACCACGCCTGGCCCCTTTTACTACTCTTTAGCATACTGTTTGAGATACATTTGCTAAGATGAGCAAAACATTCTAATTAATATTAATTAATATTATCTTTTCTTTTTTGTGTGTTTTATTTTTAAAAATTAATATTAGAGTGAACAAAAATCACTGTTTGAAGATAGCATGGTTTTGTATTTAGAGAATAAAAAAGGCTAATCAGAAGCACAGAGACTACTTCAGCTGTATTTATAATGTTTTATTTAAGCAGGATGGTGGCCATATGATAGATGACACTGACACTCCTCATTAAAGATGACAGTTTGAGGCCATGCGTGGTCGCTCACGCCTATAATCCCAGCACTCTGGGAAGCCGAGGTTTTTGCTCGAGGCCGGGAGTTTGGGACCAGCCTGGGCAACATAGCTCTACAAAAAGATAAAAAAATTAGCTGGGTGTGGTGGGCATGTGCCTGTAGTCCCAGATACTGGGGAAGCTGGTTGGGGGGGATCGCCTGAGCCCAGGAGTTTGAGGCTGTGGTGTGCTATGATTGTGCCACTGCACTCTAGACGGGGTGACAGAGCAAGACCCTGTCCTGAAAAAAAAACAAAAACAAAACAAAACCCAAAAAATGGTAGTTCAAATACATGCACTAATCTCTCCTGAAACCTCTTTAAAAGTACAACAGATAAGAAAAAATCATGGCAGCCTGCAAGGACTTAAAGAATGGAAGAAGAGACTACAGTAAATGAGAGCTATCAATACAATTTCGAAGGTTGGAAAATGAAAGAAGTAAAACTCTTAAGTGCCTGCAATAGGGAAAGCCAATAGGAAACAAGTAAAACCCCTGTAATTAACTTCTGAAAGACTCAGGAATTAGATGTATCAGGTATAATCTGTAGGAGTGAGAAAGAACTAAAGACAGGATTGTTTGAACATGTGTATAAGGGATAATAGATCTACCCCCAGATCTTCCTTATTCCATGTAGCCACATAGTTACCCTTATCTTCCTCTGACAGAAGACCGGGTTGAAGCTTGCTCTCTGGAGAGGCTGAGCCAGAGAAGTTCTGGATTCTGGAAGACCAGAAACAAATCAGAGTCTGGTGAGATGCTGCACTAATAATGGGGATTAAGTGAAAGTCTGGTCGTCAGATTTATAATCTGCAAACAGAAGACTGGAATTTCTTTTCGTCAAAACTGAGTAACCAAAGAGAACCTAAGGATACTGAAAAGTGAAATGACTGGCCACGCCTCTATAGTGAGGTCCACTATTCAAAATGCTTCACGCATTGCACACTGAGCTTGCATTCAGTGTGTTAGTGACTGTTAATTATAAATGGATAATTAAAGATCATCAAATATTTAAGACCTAAAGAAAAAGAAGAAAAGAGAAAAGAAGCAATGCAGGAATCATAAAAACAGTGTTTTTAAAGATATAATTACTACCTTTAAAGAACTGGATACTATAAAAAGACTGAGATATCTTCAGGACATCTATTGTATAACATTGGTGACTATAGTTAGTATGTTGTATTCTTGAAAAATGCTAAGAGAGTGGATATTAAGTGTTCTCACCACACAAATAATAACCATGTGAGGTAATGTATATATTAATTTAGTCATTCTACAGTGTATATCCACTTCAGAATATGTTGTACACACTGAATACATAGAATATTATCTGTCAATTTAAAAATTAAGAATGCTTAAAAAATAGACTATAGATTAGAAAGTGAGAAGACTAGAAAATAAAAATAATCAGAATAAATTCAGGGGTGGCTGGGTACAGTGGCTCACGCCTGTAATCTCAGCACTTTGGGAGGCCGAGGCTGATCGCTTGAGCCCAGGAGTTCAAGATTAGCTTGGGCAACATGGTGATACCCTGTCTTTACAAAAAATACAAAAAAATTAGCTGGGCTTGGCGTTGCATGCCTGTAGTCCCAGCTACTTAGGAGGCCGAGGTGGGAGATCATCTGAGCCTGGGAAGTCGAAGCTGCAGTGAGCCGTGATTGCACCACTGCACTCCAGCCTGGGTGACAGAGTGGGACCCTGTCTCAAAAATAAACACATAAATAAATAAAAATTAAAATAAATTCAGTGGAAAAGTTAGAAGATAAATTTGAGACCATTTCCCAGAAAAGTAGTATAAAAATGAACAACAAAAAAGAAAATAGCAAAGTGAGTGCAATTCATGCAGGAAATGTAATATCCAACTAATAGATGTTCCAGAAAAAGGAAATACATGGAGAAGAAGAAATTAATAAATAATTTTAAAAATTGCCCCAGAAATGCAGTACTGTGTATGTATTTCCAGATTAAAAGGATCTTTTCGTTGGGCATGGTGGCTCACGCCTGTAATCCTAGCACTTTGGGAGGCTGAGGCAAGAGGATCCCTTGAACTCAGGAGTTTGAGACCAGCCTGGGCAACAAAGTGAGATCCTATCTCTACAATAAAATTTAAAAATCAGCTGGGTGTAGTGGTGTGTGCCTGTAGTCGCAGCTACTCAGACGGCTGAGGTGAAAGGGTCCTTTGAGCCTGGGAGTTCAAAGGTGCAGAGAGCCGTGAATACAACACTGCACTCTAGCCTGGGCGACAAGCGAGATTCTGTCTCAAAAGAAAAAGGAAAATAAAAGGATCTTTTGAGTCATCAGCACTGAGAAACATTATCATGAAATTTCAGAACATTTAGAATTAGAGCTTGGGTTAAGCATGGAGTAGAGTGAAGGATCAAAACGGATCATGTAGACAAAAATTGGGAGTCAGAGATACTGCCCCTCAGCAGCAACTTCTAGCTCATTTGGAAGCTAAAAGATAATGGAATGTTCAGTGGAAGGTGAGGGACAATGGCACATGAGAGAAAGTGATTTTCAACCTGAAGTTTTATGCCCAGCCTAATTATTAATCAAGTGCAAAGGCACCACTGATATATTTTGAACTTAGAGTCTCAAAATTCATATCCCATACTCCCTCTCTCAGAAAGCTGTGGGAGGACATGTACTGTATTATAATCCATGAATAAGCCAGAAAGGAATTCATAGTGTCAGAAAACAGGACAGCCAACACAGCAAAGTAAAAGGAATTCCAGGATAATTGCAAATGTCTCAGGATGATACCTTATATCTGACCTAGAAAACAACCAGTCCAGAATGGAGTATGAGGACAGAAAATTGATATAGAACTCTTGAAGGGGGAAAACTAAACTGATATATGTTGTGTTCGAGCATATTGGAAGCAGATATGTAACAGAGGGAGTTTAAAGATGAATTAGTAATAGAAGATTAAGTGCATTAAAAAATGAGGCAATTACAGTTCTAGGACAAGCAAAAAATTTGTGAGAGGAAAATATAATAGTTCACTACTTGGCTTAGCTGTGAACAATATTTATGTAATTATAACCCTCTAAACATTGATGTAACAAAAATTTGTGATAAAACTCTATTGGAAAAAACTATAGTTCAGGAGGGCGTGCGTGTTTGGTGATGCTGTAATCATTAATAGTGTGTAGTATGTCTTGCATTGTTTTAAGCAACACACACAATTGATCCTCATGATAATCTTATGAGGTATGTGCTATTATCTTCCCTTTTTTATAGGTGAAGGAATTGAGGCATAGAAAGGCTAAATAAGAGTTATTTCCTCATCTTCAACAGTAAGAAATGAATGGATAACATCTGAAATTGATGAAAGCACTGTAAACATTTTTTGTTTTAGAAGTAAAGAGAAGAAATAGCTAGGATGTATGAATCAAGGGTAAGGAAGGGTGAGACTGGAATGTTATTTTTTATTAACCTTGTAATATGAGTATTATTTTAGTACAAATAAAGATTTAATTTTACAACATTTTTCCTCCAAAACCAAATAATACATTAAATGATGTTACCTGAGTAATAGGATATACATATATTTCCATATGCGATAGGTAGATTTAGAGGTATGTGAGTATTTACGTATATTGGCTATACCAATATGCTTTATTTATACCGGTGCCAAAACCAACAAATCTCCTTAGCATTTAGGCAAGAAATTTAGAGTCAGATGGACTGAACTGTATATTATAGTAATTTTCCTAATTATTCACTACCTGTAATTATTCTTACCTGTAAGAAGATTATATGGCTGCACTTACTGTCATGTGAGTTGCAGTGCCTTCCTATAAGAGAAGAATTCTTCCTGGCCCCACAGACTTCCACCTTAGTCAGGGGATTTGCTTGGCCAGTGGAATGTGAGCTGAATGTGACCTTCCTCCCATGACCCAATACTTTTCATTTTCTTACCTTTCCTATTCAGTGAATTGCTAAAGTACTGAAGTCAGGGTTTAGAGTTCTTCACCTTCACACTAATCTCACATTTTCAGTTACCAATACTTCTGGATGATACCTGCTAAATATCTTTTGAATATGAGTACTCTTCCCAGTTCACGCTTCTAATTACCTGGTCTAACCTATTGTCTACTCATCTGGTTGGCAAACTATTGCTTATGTGCAAATCTAGCTGAAACACAGCCAGGTTTAGTGCTTTACATATTTATATTCAATGTCTGTGTCTGCTTTAGTGCTACAGTGGCTGAGTGGTTGTGACAGAGATTGTATAGTCCAGCAGTCCCCAACCTTTTTGGCACCAGAGACCAGTTTCATGGAAGACAGTTTTTCCATGGACTGGTGTGGGGGGATGGTTTTACAATGATTCAAGCACATTACAATTATTGTACACTTTATTTCTATTATTACCTTATAATATATAATGAAATAATTGTACAGCTCACCATAAGGTAGAATCAGTGGGAGCCCTTAGCTTGTTTTTCTGCAACTAGACAGTCCCATCTGGGGGTGATGGGAGACAGTGACAGATCATCAGGCATTAGATTCTCATAAGGAGCATGCAACCTAGATCCCTCGAATGTGCAGGTCACAGTGGGGTTTGCACTCCTGTGAGAATCTAATGCCGCCACTCATCTGACAGGAGGTAGGGCTGAGGTGGTAATTTGAGCAGTGGGGAGTGGATGTAAATACAGATAAAGCTTCCCTTGTTCTCTCACCTGCCCCTCACCTCCTGCTGTGCAACCTGGTTCCTAACAGGCCACGTACCACTATTCCATGCCCTGGGGGTTGGAGACCCCTGATATAGTCCATAAAGCCTAAAATGCCATCTGGCTCTTTATAGAAAAATTTTGTCCACTCCTGATTAGATTACTGGGGTAGGTTTTTTAACTTTCTAACTGCTTTCTCTTGCTTCCTATCTCTCTTTACCCTCCATCTGTTCTTTATAGCAGAGCCAGGTTGTTGTTTTTTGGTTTCTGTTTTAACACAAATTTGATTATTTTTCTCATACTTAAAACTGTTTCCTGACTTCCTAGTACCCTTACAATAAAATCATACTCCTAGCATGGTTATAGTTTTCACATTATGGCTTCTTCTCATCTCACAAGTTTACCTCTCTCACCCATGTCTTGACCTCTTTTCACTTCCATTCTGTGCTTTAGGCCTTCTCAAACTTACTTTAGTTTTTACCATGCTATCTCTTATTCCTGGGTCCTCTCATGCTTTTCTTTCTTTCTTGCCCTGCCCTGCCCTGCCCTGCCCTGCCTTGCCCTCTCCTGCCCTGCCCTCCCTTCCCCTCCCCTCCCCAACTCCCCTCCCCTTCCCTTCCATTCCCTTCTTTCGAGACAGAGTCTTGCTCTGTCACCCAGGCTAGAGTGCAGTGGCTTGATCTTGTCTCCCTGCAGCTTCCACCTCCCTGATTCAAGGAATTCTCCTGCCTCAGCCTCCTGAGTAGCTGGGACTACAGGCTCATAGCAGCTACTCCCGGCTAATTTTTGGCATTTTAGTATAAGAGACAGGGTTTTACCATATTGCCCAGGCTGGTCGCCCTGAGGTCAGGGAATCTGCCTGCCTCAGCCTCCCAAAGTGCTGGGATTGCAGGCATGATCATATGTGTTTCTTGATTCCTCATTTTGCTATATCACATGTGCAACTTTACAAGTTCTTATACATTCTTCAGGTATCAGGTTAGATACTATTTTTCTTTGTGGAAATCTTTCTTGGACTTCTTAAATGTGAATAAGGTGTCCTTTATGGATGTTCCTGTAGTGCTATACTTGCCTTGTAATTGTTTTGTTGTTCACCATATGCCCCAAATCAGGGGTAACTTCCCTCTCTGCACCAGACTGTATAAATAGTTCAATTCTTTTGATTGTAATAAAATAGAAAATTTCAGCACCCTAGGAAATAGAGATTTCTCACAGGGTTTCACTTGTTTTTTATTCCTTGTTTAATACAAAGTCCAATTATATTGCATCAATACCTCCAGTGTTTTTGTTCCTCTTCCAAAAAGTGGGGACTTCATTTGTCAAGTGGTTCTGAGCTTGTGATGATGTTGCACAGTTATGTTGGGGGCAGACAGTAGAGAGGGCTGCGTACAGCCTACAGCTGGGGATCTGCAGAGAATTTCCAGACCACTACTCTGGCAACTAGTGATTATGCTGATTCTGTCCTACAATCTTTTCCTGGGCTGCTGAGGTAGAGGTTGTGGCCAGTAAGGAAATCCACTCATAATGCCCATTGAACCTCTCAAAGTTAAGCAGTCTTGTTTGATTTAAACAAAACCTCTCTCTACTTTGATTAGGGATGCATTTTGTGTCATATAGCGAAAGGCAGGATAGTGTAGTGGTTAGAGCACAGACTTTGGAATGAGAATGAAAGGGTTGGAATCTCTGCCTTGGTTGCCTTATCCGTAAAGTGAGGATAATAAAGGTACCAATCTCATAGGACATTTGTGAGGATTAAATGAGTCAAGTTAACTTAAGTACAGTCATGTGCCACATAATGATGTTTCTGTCATCAATGGACCTCATATACGACAATGGTCCCATAAGATTATAATGGAGCTGAAAAATTCCTATTGCCTAGTGATTTTGTAGCCATCCTAAAGTCATAGCACGACACATTACTCATGTGTTTGGAGTGATGCTGGAGTAAACAAACCAAATGCACTGTCAGTCATAAAAAGTATAGCATACAGTTATGTACGGTATCTAACACTTGATAATGATAATAAATGACTATATTACTGGTTTATATATTTACTATACTATACTTTGAATTGTTTAATTTTAGAGTGGACTCCTTCTATTTATTAAAAAAAAATCAGTTAACTGTAAAACAGTCTCAGGTAGGTCCTTCAGGAGGTATTCCAGAAGAAGGCATTGTGATCATAGGAGATGACAGCTCCCTGTGTGTTATTGCCCCTGAAGACCCTACAGTAGGACAAGATATGGAGGTGGGAGACAATGATATTGATGATCCTGACCCTATGTAGGCCTTGGCTGTGTGTGTCTTAGTTTTTATTTAAAAAGTAAGAAAAAAAAAAGCTTATGAAGATATAAAGAAAATGTGTGTTTTTAAACTGTTATTACAAAAGAGTAAAAAAGTTAAAAAAATTATAAAGCTTATAAAGTAAAAACATTACAGTAAGCTAAGGTTAAGTTATCATAGAACAGACTGGGTGAGGTGGCTCATGCCTGTAATTCTAGCACTTTGAGAGGACACAGCAGGAGGATCACTTGAGACCAGGAGTTTGAGACCAGCCTGGGTGACAAAGCAAGACCCCTTCTCTACAAAAACAACAACAACAACAACAACAAAAAACTCCTTGGGAGGCTGAGGTAGGAGGATTGCTTGAGCCCAGGAGGATGAGATTGTGGTGAGCTGTGATCGTGCCATTGCACTATATCATGGGCAACAGAGCAAGACTCTGTCCCAGAGAAAAAAAAGTTATTATTGTAGAAAGGAAGGTTTTAAAAAATGTGTAGCCTATGTTTATGGTGTTTATAAAGTCTACAATAGTGTACTACAGCAGTGTCCTAGGCTTTCACTTTCATTTACCACTCACTCACTGACTCACTCAGAGCAACTCCCAATCCTGAGAGCACTATTCATGATAAGTGCCCTATACAGGTGTACCATTTTTTATCTTTTTTTTTTCTTTATTGAGACAGAGTTTCACTCTTGTCGCCTAGGCTGGAGTGCAATGGCGCGATCTTGGCTCACTGCAACCTCAGCCTCCCGGGCTCAAGTGATCCTGCCTCAGCCTCCTGAGTAGCTGGGATTACAGGTGCCCACCACCACGCCTGGCTAATTTTGTATTTTTAGTAGAGACGGGGGTTTCACCATGTTGGCCAGGGTGGTCTTAAACTCCTGACCTCAGGTGATCCTCCTGCCTTGGCCTTCTAAAGTGCTGGGATTACAAGTGTGAGCCACCGCGCCCAGCCCCATTTTTTATACCATATTTTTACTGTACCTTTTTTAGGTTTAGACACAAATACCACTGGGTTTAAAATTGCCTAAATATTCTGCATAGTAATATGCTGGGCAGATTTGTAGCCTCGGAGCAATAGGCTGCCATATAGCCTAGGTGTGTAGTAAGCTTTACCATCAAGATTTGTGTGACTACGCTGTATGATGTTCAGGCAACAGTGAAATCACTTAAAGATGAATTTCTTAGAATGTATCCCTGACATTAAGTGATGCATGACTATATGTAAAAGTGCTTAGGATAGTGCCTGCCATGTACTTCCTCTTGTTACACATACATGCACGGTGGAAGATAAAGCAGAAGGATTCTAAAGTATGGAATGTGTTTTTTACTCTCCCTCAGTGCAAAATATACAACAGTATATTGTGACTTTTGTAATCTCCCATAAGATCAGTAGTCATAAGTTTATTAATGATTTCTGTCCCTTTAGGAAATAAAAAAATGGGGAGATTCAGAGGGTATTTTCCTGAGAAACCCTTGTACATTTGGCATTATTGTTTGTCTTCCCTTCTATACTGTACATTCTTTGAAGATAGAGCCGTGTTTTGACTTATTATTTTATACCTAGCTCAAGCAGATTATCTGACATATAGAAGATACTTGTCGAATATTTGTTGACTGAGTGAATAAATGTGTTTCTATTGCTAAGGGAGCTTTGGATAATTTTACCTCTAGTTAATGCTAATTCTAACTCTGTAACATTGTTGGAGAAAAGTCTAGAAAGCAAAGAAAGTAGAAAAATTATTTTGGCTCTAAAGTGATGGGGAATAGCACTGGTACAAATGTCCAGAAAGCTTAGCACTGGGACAAATGTCCAAAAAGGTAAAAAGTAATATTTTTACCTTTAAATTTTTAATTTCTGATTTTGAATATAGTACACAAGATAATTGTTATTCTCATGAAAATTATGCATATTTCAAAAATTAGTGTACATGTTTCTTCAAAGAGTTTTTTCCTTGAGTTGCCTCATTTTCAAATTTTGATTCCTTCTTTAATTTTATTACATTTAAGGTTTTAGAACATTTTTCTGTAAAATCTACAGCTTATGGTGAGTTGAATAGAAATATATAAGATTCACAAGAGAAACTGACTGCATCTGTTTAAGCAAAGCTAAAGATCAATACTGGTTCAATGTCTGTAATAGGTAAACAGCAAATTACGGTAACCTTTAATTTTGGCATTAATTTTAGTGATTGAATATCTAATTTTTAAGACATAATTAAGAATTAGCATGTGCAAATTATTTTATTTTTATTTTTTAAATTAAGGGACAGGGTCTTGCTCTGTCACCCAGATTAGAGTGTAGTGGTGTGATCTCAGCTCACTGCAACCTCCATGTTCCCAGTTCAAGTGCTTCTCCTGCCTCAGCCTCCTGAGTAGCTGGGATTACAGGTGCCCGCCACCATGCCCAGCTACTTTTTGTGTTTTTAGTAGAGATAGAGTTTCAGCATGTTGGCCAGGCTGGTCTCAAACTCTTGACCTCAAGTATCCTCCCACCTTGGCCCCTCCCAAAGTGCTGGGATTATAGGGGTGAGCCACTGCACCTGGCCACTATTTCTCACCATATACAAAAATCAAGTCAAAATGGATTAATGATTTAAATGTAAGACCTGAAACTGCTAGAAGAAAACATAGGGGAAATGCTTAAGAACATTGGTCTGGGTAAAGATTTTATGGAGAAGACCTCAGAAGCACAGGTAACAAACAAAAATAGATAAATAGGATTGTATCAAACTAGAAAGCTTCTGCACAGCAAAGGAAACAATCAAGATTGAAGAGACAACCTACAGAATGAGAGAAAACATTTGCAAACTTTTCATCTGAAAAGGGATTAATATATATAAGGAACTCAAATAACTCAATAGCAAAAATCCAAATACTTCAATTTTAAAATGGGTGAATGAGCTGAATAGACATCTCTCAAAAGAAGACAATACAGATGGCAAACAGGTATATGAAAAAATGCTTGATACCACCAATCATCAGGGAAATGCAAATCAAAACCGCAATGAGATACCACGTCAACCTAATTAGAATGGCTATTATCAAAAAGACAAAAAAAAATGCTGGCAAGGATGCAGAGAAAGGGGAATTCTTATACACTGGTGGTATGAATGTAAATTAGTACAGCCATTATGAAAAACAGTCTCGTGGTTCCTCAAAAAACTAGAAATAGAACTACCATATGATCCAGCAGTCTCAGTATATATCCAAAGGAAGGAAAATCTGTATGTCGAAGGGATATCTGCATTCCTATGTTTATTGCAGCACTGTTCACAATAGTCATGACATGGAATTCAGTGTACGTGTCCATCAACAGGTGAATGGATTAAGAAAATATGGTATATATACACAGTGGAATACTATTTAGCTGTAAGAAAGAATGAAGTTGTGTCATTCATGGCAACAAGAATGGAAATGGAGAACGTTATGCAAAGTGAAATAAGCCAGGCACAGAACGATAAATACTTTCTGTTCTCACACATACATGGAAGCTAAAAAGTTGATCTCATAGAAGTAGAGAGTAGAATAGTAGTTATTAGAGGTGGGGAAGTATAAGAGGGAGGCAATGACAGATAGCCAACGGTTGGTTAACAAATACAAAAGTACAGCTAGATAGGAATAAGGTTTAGTGTTCTGTAGCACTGTAAGGTGGCTATAATTAACAATTTATTATATTTTTTCAGATACCTAGCAGGGTGGATTTTGAATGAACCCAACACAAAGAAATGATAAATGTTCAAGGTGATAGATATAGTTTGATCATTACACATTGTATGCATGTATTGAAATATCACATTCTACGCCATAAATATGCACAATTATAACGTGTCAATTAAAAATAGTAGAAGCAAAAAAAAGATGGAAGTTATTTGTTTTTGAGGAGTGAAATTCAGAGGAGAGGAGAGATGGCTTAGGGGACTGTTGTTTTTCACGTATTGATCTGTTGGCACTGTTCGAATATTTTAAAAAGTGATAAAGTATATTGATGCATTAGTGGAGAGGATTAAAAACTAAAACAAAATATGTATTAATGGCAAGTTCCTTTAAGGAGCTTTAGGATTAAAGTGTCCCCAGTAAAAGGGAATCAGATATAGAGAAAAAGAAATGTAAGTTTATTTTTTGTATTTAAAAGGGCTTTTCTGGCTGGGCGCAGAGGCTAACACCTATAATTCCAGACTTTTGGGAGGCCGAGGTGGGTAGATCACCTGAGGTCAGGAGTTTGAGACCAGCCTGGCCAACATGGTGAAACCCCATCTCTACTAAAAATACAAAAAATTAGCCGGGCTTAATGGTGGGCACCTGCAATTCCAGCTACTCAGGAGGCTGAGGCAGGAGAATCACTTGAACCTGGGAGGCAGAGGTTGCAGTGAGCCGAGATCACGCCATTGCACTCCAGCCTGGGCTACAAGAGCGAAACTGTGTCTCAAAAATAAATAAATAAATAAAAGGGCTTTTCTTTATTTCTGATTTTATTTTTGTTTTGTTTTATCCTAGGGTTTGAAAAACAAACCGAAAAAGATGGGCCACATAAAGCCAGACTTGATTGACGTTGACTTAATCAGAGGTTAGTCTTAAAATTGTTTTTTATGTACATTATTATATTATTTCACAGGGATGCTTAATTTTCAATATCTTCTCTATATGATGGTATACTTTAATTTCTAAATGTAACACTTTACTCTCATCATTCAGGCTTTAGCACTTTTTCCACCTCTTAGTACTGTGTGACTCTATAAATTACATGCATACATGTAAAAGAGGGATGAACGTAGAGACTTGCTGTTGTGTAATTAAGATAAATATGTTGTTTAACATTCAAGTAAGCCTGACTTATTTTGAGCTTCTGTCCTAGTGATTGAGGCAAGAAGTTATTACATTTAACAAACATCTAAGAGGGTTTTTTTTTTTAACTGAACAGGTTTTGTGCTGATTTTTGCACTCACCTATTTTTAATGTAGTGCTACAGGTGGCCTTCAATACAGTGTATATAAATGTTTGATGTTTTGTTTTATTGTATGTTTAAAGGGTCAACATTTGCCAAAGCAAAACCTGAAATTCCATGGACATCTCTGACTCGGAAGGGGCTTGTTCGAGTTGTATTTTTTCCATTGTTCAGCAATTGGTGGATTCAGGTTACCTCTTTAAGAATCTTTGTTTGGCTGTTACTACTTTATTTCATGCAAGGTAATTGGAGAAATTGGAATAAGCAATGACAGTTTCTTTTTGCTGCTTTTGCTATTAAATAATGAAGACCTACTGATTTTACATTTACCCTTTCATTTGACAGTTTAAAGTACACAGAATGAAGAGACATATGCCATTTGGGGTTCATATTAAAATTATCTGCTATGAGAGAGCAAACATACTTGTGTAACTCTTTCTCCTCACTTGAGTTTCTTTCTACCTGTCTCACTGGCCAGGCCTTCTCAGTCTTTTCTTGTGTCTGACCTTTGAGCCTTTGAAATTGGGTATGTGTGTTTTTTGTTTTTGTTTTTGAGACGGGGTCTCTCTCTGTCACCCAGGCTGGAGTGCAGTGGCATGATCACAGCTCACTGCAGCCTTGACCTCCCAGACGCAAGCAATCCTTCCACCTCAGCCACCCAAGTAGCTGGCACTACAGGTGTATGCCACTGTGCCTGGCTAATTTTTGTATTTTTTTGTAGAGACAAGATGTTGTCATGCTGCCCAGGCTGGTCTTGAATTCTTAGGCCCAAAAGTGTTGGGATTACAGATGTGAGCCACCACGTTTAGCCTGAATATTGGATTACCTAAAGTTTGCACCCTAGGTTCTATTCTCTAAGTAGTCTCATTAAGGCCTATTGCTTTAAATACAATTGATATACAGGTGATTCCCAAATCTATATCTTCAGGCCAGATCTCTCCGCTGCACTTCAGACTTATAAATCTAATTGCCTGCTTTGACATTTCCATATGGAGATTTAATTGGTATCTTGAAGTTAATTATATAAAAAATGGAACTCTTCACTTGTGTGTGTGTGCGCTGCACACATGTGCCTGTGTGTGTAAACTTGTTCTTCTTTTTGTCTCCAGTTCATTAAATGATACTATCAATCACCCAGTATTCAGGTGAAAAATTAAATCTTCCTACTCTACCCTACCATCAACTCTCACATGTAATATGTCACCAAGTCTGTGAGTTCTTCCTCCAAATTTTTCACTATATTTATCTCAGTCTCTACTGCCATGATCATTGTCCACAGCACCAGCATTTCTTTGCTTAGACCACTGGAATAACATCTACTCTGAGCCTTCTTTCTACCAATCATTCTTTCCACAGCAATTAGCAAAATCTTTTAAAAACAGAAGCCATATAATGTCATTTTCCTGCTTAAAACCCTGTAGTGACTTCTGTTGACCTTAGAATAAAAATCCAAAGTTCTTACCATGGCCTATAATGCCCTACAGGACCTGGTGCCTGCTCTTCTCTCAGACATCATCTCCTATTTCTTACCACTCTGCTCGTGCTGGCTGTAGACATAATATCCTTTTTTTGTTCTTCACACGGAGCTGTTTTGTTTTGTTTGAAGCATTCGGAGTTTGGCTCTTTTTTCCCAGGCTGGAGTGCAGTGGTGCAATCTCAGCTCACTGCAACCTCTGCCTCCTAGGCTTAAGTGATTCTCGTGCCTCAACCTCCCGAGTAGCTGGGATACAGGTGTGCGCCACCACGTCCAGCTAATTTTTTGTATTTTTAGTAGACATGGGGTTTCACCATGTTGTCTAGGCTGGTCTCGAACTCCTGACCTCCGGTGATCCACCCGCCTCAGCCTCCCAAAGTGCTGGGATTACAGGTGTGAGCCACTGTGCCCGGCTGTTTAAAGCATTCTTAAGGCTTTTCAAATGGCTGGCTTTTTTCTCACCTTTAAATCTCAGCTGGGTTGTAACTTTCATAAAGAGGCCATTCCTATCTACGTATCTTTTTTTTTTTTTTTTTGAGATGGAGTCTCGCTCTGTTGCCCAGGCGGGAGTGCAGTGGCGCGATCTTGGCTCACTGCAAGCTCTGCCTCCTGGGTTCACGCCATTCCCTTGCCTCAGCCTCCCGAGTAGCTGGGACTACAGGCACCCGCCACCACGCCCAGCTAATTTTTTGTATTTTTAGTAGAGACGGGGTTTCACCGTGTTAGCCAGGATGGTCTCGATCTCCTGACCTTGCTATCCGCCCGCCTCGGTCTCCCAAAGTGCTGGGATTACAGGTGTGAGCCACTGCGCCTGGCCTCCTATTTATATTTCTAAGTAGTCCTAATACCCTCTAGTCACTATCATAAGAATCAATTTTAATTTCTGGGTTACACATCGCTACCTGATGTTTTCTAACTGTGTGCAGGGACCCAATATATTCTCTTTACGACTGTATCCCCATTGTCTACCAAGGAAGTAGACAGTATATACTATGGTTACATCTCTGCAAAAAGATATGAATTAGAACAAAGAGTGGGAGAAAGTTGGGTTAAGGTGAAAGAATTATGGGTTCTTCTATTTGTGTCAGTTAAAAATTTTTTTAAGATATAGAGTGAAAAATATATGTATAAATTTACAAATCTATAGGTTTAATTTTTTTAAAGTTGTGAAAGTGTCATTTATTAGAATATCTGTAATGGAAATGTTCCGCGTCTGTGCTGCCCAGTATAGTAGCTACTTAGCCATATGTGGCTATTGAGTATTCAAAATGTAGTTAGTGTCAGTAAGAGACTGAATTTTAAATTTTATTTGATTTAAATTAAGTCTTCATAATGATCATTTTAATGGCTGCATAATAATTCATCATATGGGCATACCATCATTTAAAACTATCATTTTAATGTCTGTACAGTCTATCATATGTAGAGTCATATGTAGAGTCTATCATATGGATTTATCATAAACATCTTTGTATAGCTGCCTTTTTTTTTTTTTTTTTTTTTTTTTTTTTTGAGACAGAGTCTCATTCTGTTGTCCAGGCTAGAGTATAGTGGTGTGGTCTTGGCTCACTGCAACCTCTGCCTCCCAGGTTCAAGTGATTCTCTTGCCTCAGCCTCCGAAGTAACTGGGACTACAGAGACACACTACCATGCCTGGCTAATTTTTGTATTTTTAGTAGAGACAGGGTTTCACTGTGTTGTCTAGGCTGGTCTTGAACTCCTGACCCCAGGTGATCCTCCTGCTTCAGCCTCCCAGAGTTCTGGGATTACAGGTGTGAGCCACCACACCTGGCCTATATAGCTTTTAATAGTCCATTATGTAAGAGTACTGTAATTTACGTAACCTTTCTGTATGAATCTGTTCAGGCTGCTATAAGAAAAATACCATAGACTGGGTGTTTTATCAACAACACAAATTTATTTTTGACAGTTTTGGAGGCTGTGAAGTCCAGGATCAAGGTGCCAGAAGATGTGGTATCTGGTGAGGGCCTGCTTTCTGATTCATAGGTGTCAGTCTTCTTGCTGTGTCCTCACATGGTGGAAGGGGCAAGGGAGCTCTTAGGAGTCATTTTATAAGGCCACATCTATAAGGGCACTCATCCCCAAACTATAACCAACTGGTTATATGTGACTGGGGACCTCTCTAACATGCTTTCTCACTTTTTACAATGTGGATAGGCTAAGAACTTTTCAAATCTTTAAGTTATGCTTCCTTTTTGCTTAACAATTCTGTCTTTTAAGTCATTTCTCTCTTCTCACATTTTACTATAAGCACATAGGAAGAGCCAAGCTGCACCTTTAATACTTTGCTTAGAAATAGCTCCAGCTAAATATGCAATTTCATCACTTGCGAGTTTCACTTTCCACAGAATCCTAGACCACAAATACAGTTCAACAAGTTCTTTACCACTCTGTAACAAGGATTGTTTTTCCTTCAGTTTCTAATAACATATTATTTCTCATTTCTATCTGAGACCTCATCAGAATGGACTTTACCTCATATTTTACCAATAGTCTGTTCATGGTTACTTAGGTATTCTTTAAGAAGATTGAGGCTTTTTCTCTAGCTCCCCTCTTTTCTTTCTTTGTTTTTGTTTGTTTGTTTTATTTTGTTTTTCAAGACAGAGTCTTGCTCTGTTGCCCAGGCTGAAGTACAGTGGCGTGATCTTGGCTCACTGCAACCTCCGCCTCCCAGGTTCAAGTGATTCTCCTGCCTTAGCCTCCTGAGTAGCGGGGATTACAGGCACCTGCCACCATGCCTGACTAATTTTTGTGTTTTTAGTAGAGATAGGGTTTCATCATGTTGACCAGGCTGGTCTCAAACTCCTGACCTCAGGTGATCCACCCGCCTTGGCCTCCCAAAGTGCTGGGATTACAGGTGTGAACCACTACACCCGGCCTCCTCTTTTCTTTCTGATTCCTCACCAGAATCTCTTTTAAAAATGTTTAAGGCAATCTAGGCTTTTTCTACTATGTACTTCAAGTATTCGTCTAGTCTCCACCCATTACCTATTTATAAAGCTGCTTCCACATTTTTAGGTATTTGTTATAGTAGGACCCCCCATTCTCAGTACCAATTTCTGTCTTATGCCACTTGGGCTGATACAACAAAAATATCATGGCCTAGGTGCTTTATAAATAACAAAAAGTTATTTCTCACAGTTCTGAAAAGTTCAGATCAGAGCACTAGCAGATTCAGTGTCTGGTGAGGGTCTGCTTCTCTCTGGGTCCTCATGTTGCTGAAGGGCCACAGGAGCTCTCTGGAATCTCGTTAATAAGGTTACTAATCTCATTCATGAGAGCTCTGCCCTCATGACCTAATCAGCTACCAAAGGCCCCATCTCCTAATACGATCACATTAAGGATTAAGATTTCAATATGAGTTTTGTTGGGGACATATGTTATAGCATCTTCCCATATTGTGGGCATTTAGGTGGTTTCTATGTGTTTTTTATTAATAATGCCAGCAGGAACAAAGTTTTCCTTATTTTATATTATTTATTTAGGATTTGTTCTTTGAAATAGAATTAACAGATCAAAGAATGTGGACATTTAAGGCTTTTAGTACATATAATGAAATTGCTGATGGCACAGTTGTTTTGGAAAGCAATAGATGAGAGTACCTGTTTTACCATGGTCTTACCAGCATTATTATAATTTTAAAAATTGTTATCTAGGTGGGGGGCAGTGGCTCAAGCCTGTAATTCCAAAACTTTGAGAAGCTGAGGTGGGAAGACTTGAGGCCAGGAGTTTGAGACCAGCCTGGGAAACATAGCGAGATCCCATCTCTACAAAAAAAAAAAAAAAAAAAAAAAAATTAGCCAGGCGTGGTGCAAGCCTGTAGTTTCAACTACCTATGAGGCTGAGGTGGGAGGATCACTTGAGCCCAGGAGTTCGAAGTTACAGTGAGCAATGATTCATCACTGCACTCTAGCCTGGCTGACAGAGTAAGACCCTGACTGCATCTCTGCCCGCCCCCTCAACAAAAGATTGTTACCTAATTTGACGTGCAAAAAATATTTAGCTTGTTGAATATGAATTTCCTTGGTCACTTGTAAGGGTAAAATTAAGTATTTTTTCCACACATTTATTATTAAATTATTTATTCCTTCCTTGTTGATAGATACTGCATCCTATATAGATAAAATTTCCATATATGCCATGGTCTGTTTCTGGACTGCATATTCTGTACCATCAGTTTTGGTTATTCTCATATCTATGCCATATATTAAATTTTTGTATTTGCCATGGTATGTTTCTGGACTACATACTCTGTACCATTAATTTCTGGTTATTCTCATATCTATGCCACACTGCTTTCATTACTACACAGCTGTTTAATATGGATTAACATTGAGCAGGAAAATTGTTTTTTTTCTTTTGAGATGGAGTCTCACTCTGTTGCCCAGACTGGAGTGCAATGGTGTGATCTCGGCTCACTGCAACCTCTGCCTCCTGGGTTCAAGCAATTCTCCTACCTCAGCCTCCCAAGTAGCTGGGATTACAGGCGTATGCCACTACGCCCAACAAATCTTAGTATTTTTAGTAGAGATGGGGTTTCCCCATGTTGACCATGCTGGTCTTGAACTCCTGACCTCGTGATCCACCTGCCTCGGCCTCCCAAAGTGCTGGGATTACAGGCCTGAGCCACCGCGCCTGGCCAAGTATTTCTTCATTATTCTGCTTTCCCACATTTTCTCTCATGCTTTCTTGTTTATCCTTTCCAAAATAGGTTAGCATTATTTTATCGTGATTAAAACCAAAAGACCCCCCAAAACCAACAATACAGGAATTTGGATTGGAATTCTCTGATTATCCCCTTTCCCCAGCACACATACACAAATGTAGATGTATACATATATTTTTGGAGGATGGACAGAAAATTTGACTTCTTTACAACATTCTCTTTGCTATACAGAAATATGATATTGCTCTCCTTTTACTCAGGACTTCCTTTTTTTTTTTTTTTTTTTTTAAAATTGAGACGGCGTCTTGCTCTGTTGCCCAGGCTGGAGTGCAGTGGCTTGATCTCGGCTCACTGCAACCTCTGCCACCCGGGTTCAAGTGATTCTCATGCCTCAGCCTCCTGAGTAGCTGGGACTACAGGTACCCGCTACCATGCCTGGCAAATTTTTTTGTATTTTTAGTAGAGACGGGGGTTTTGCCACGTTGGCCAGGCTGGTCTCGAACTCCTGACCTCAGGTGACCCTTCCGCCTCGGCCTCCCAAAGTGCTGGGATTACAGGTGTGAGCCACAGCGCCTGGCCTTAATCAGGACTTCTGTTTATCCCTCAGTAAACCTTTGCAGGATTTTTTTCTTTCTTTCTTTCTTTCTTTTTTTTAAAATAGAGACGGGGTCTCACTCTTACTCCCAGGCTGGAGTGCAGTGGCGTGATGGTATTTCACTACAGCCTTGAGCCCAGGCAATCCTCCTGCCTCAGCCTGTTGAGTAGCTGGGACTATAGGTGTGTGCCACCATGCTCAGCTGGTGTTTTTTATTTTTTATTTTTTAGAGATGGGCTCTCGCTATATTGCCCAGGCTGGTCTTTGAACTCCTGGCGTCAAGTGATCAAATGATCTTCCTGCCTCAACCTCCCAAAGTGTTTGAGTTACACGTGTGAGCCACCACACCCAGCCCTGGATTTTTTTCTTATAAGGCCTGCTTAGATCTTGTTAAATTCAATTTTTTTTATTGTGGTAACATATACACAACATGAAATTCACCATCTTAACCATTTCTCAGTGTAGAGTTCAGTGGCATTAAGTATACTGATACTGGAATACAACCATTACCCACTGTTTATTTCCAAAATTTTTTCATCTTCCCAAACTGAAACTCCATACCCATTAAACTCCCTATTTCCCCTACCCATCGTCCCTGGCAACCACCATTCTACCTTGCCTCTATGATTTTGACTACTCTGGGAACATCATATAAGCAGAATTATATAATATTTGTCCTTTTGCAATTGGCTTATTTCACTTAGCATAACATCGTCAAGGTTACCCATGTAGAATGTTTCAGAATTCTTCCTTTTTAAAGCTGAATTGTATTCCATTGTATGTAGATACCATGTTTAGTTTGTACATTCATCTTCTGAGAGATACTTAGAGATTTCCACCTGAAATTAAAATATTTTGTCTTTGTTGCTGCTGCTGAAAATACATGACTTTTTAAGTCTATTTTTACAAGTTTTAAGTGGTTTTTGCTGTCACATTTGAAAGCTATTGGTTTATAATTAAAATTGTTATAACCAGCCGCTTTATTAAACTCTTTGTCATCAATTCTAATTGTTTTTCAGTGCTTGTATTAGATTTTATAATGATACAACCATATGGTTGGCAAATAATGACAATTTGGTTTTCTCCTTTCACATACATTTCATTTACTTTCACCCAATCAGTCAACATTTCAGAGTAACGTTAAATGATAACAGTGAGTGGTCATCCTTGTTTTGTTCCTGATTCAGAATATCTTCACTAACATATAATATGTATTGATTTTACTTATATATTCTTTAGCATGTTAAGGAAATATTTTTATTCTTAATAGTTTAGAAAATATGGGCATTTGAGATGAATTACAAATCAAGAACAAATGTATGTATGTGTTTTTTTTTAATACAATGCTTTTTTTTTTTACTGTTACCTGGAGTTGGGCCAGACTTCACAGGTTTAGGGCACAATCCTCTACAAGACTGCTCTCCCTTCAGATATCAGCCTCCAGTTTGGGGGTCCCCAGGATCACTCTCACTTCTGACCAGGTAGCTATAGTTTTGGGTCCCCCAGGCATTCCCTCAGGTTTGATGATTGGATGGAATGACTCTCAGAACTTCAGAAAGTGCTAAACTTACAATTATAGTTGCATTATAGCAACAGAATATAAATGAGAGGAGAGGTATAGGAGTGTTTGGGATGGTTCCAAACAGGATGCTTCCGTTGTCCTCAGGTAGCAATATGCAAAATATTGCCACCCAGGGAAGCTCCCCGAAGCTTTGGTATGTAGAGTTTTTATTGAGACTTTATTATTTAGGCCTGATTGATGGAATCATTGACATGTGGTTGAATGCAGTCTCCATCACCCTTCAGTCCTCAGAGGTCTCCTAATATGGCTCAAAGACCCAAGCCTTTAATCACGTAGTTGGTCTTTTTGGTGTGACCAGCAGCCATCCTTAGGTACCTTGTTAGCATAAACTATCAGGCCTGGCACAAGGGGCCCACAATGAATAGCAAAGGTACTTCTGTCACTTAGGAAATTCAAGGGTTTAGAGGTCACTTCCCAGGAACTGGGATCAAATGCCAATCAAATTCTTTTTTTTTTTAACTTTTTAATTTTTGTGGGTATATAGTAGGTATATATATTTATAAGGTAGATGAGATACTTTGATACAGGCATGCAATGCATAATACATCATGGCAAGTAGGGTATTCATCTTCTCAAGCATTTATCCTTTGTGTTACAAACAATCCAGTTATACTCTTTTAGTTCATTTTAAATGTACAATTAAATTATTGACTATAGGTCAGCCTGTTGTGCTATCAAATACTAGGTATTTTTCGTTCTGTCCCATGAACCATCCCCACATCCCCTACTCCACCCCCACTACCCTTCTCAGCCTCAGAGCCTTCTACTCTCTGTCTCCTTGAGTTCAGTCATTTTAATTTTTAGCTCCCACAAATAAGTGAGAACATGTGAAGTTTGTCTTTCTGTGCTTGGTTTATATCACTTAACATAATGTCCTCTAGTTCCATCCATGTTGTTGCAAATGACAGAATCTTATTCTTTTTTATGGCTGGATAGTACTCCATTGTGTATATGTACCACATTTTCTTTATCCGTTCATCTGCTGATGGACACTTAGGTTGCTTCCAAATCTTGGCTGTTGTGAACAGTGCTACAACAAATGTGGGAGTGACTCTTTGATATACTGATTTCCTTTCTTTCTTTTGTTCTTTTTGTTTGTTTTGAGACAGAGTCTCATTCTGTCACCCAGGGACTGGAGTGCAGTGGCATAATCTCAGCTCACTGCAACCCTTTGCCTCCTGGGTACAAGTGATTCTCCTGCCTCAGCCTCCCAAGTAGCTGGGATTACAGGTGCCTGCCACCATGCCTGGCAAATTTTTATATTTTTAGTAGAGACAGGGTTTCACCATGTTGCCCAGGCTGGTCTTGAACTTCTCACCTCAAGTGATCTGCTCACTTTGGCCTCTCAAAGTGCTGGGATTACAGGCATGAGCCACAGTGCCCAACCACCATTTTCCTTTCTTTTGGGCATATACCCAGCAGTGAGATTGCTGGATCATATGGTAGTTCTATTTTTCTTTATTTGAGGAACCTCCAAGCTGTTCTTCATAGTGGTTGTACTACTTTATATTTCCACCAACAGTGTACGGGGGTTCCCTTTTCTCCATATCCTCTCCAGCATTTATTATTGCCTATCTTTTGGATAAAAGCCATTTTAACGGGAGTGAGATGATATCTCATTGTGGTTTTGATTTGCATTTCTGTGATCAATGATATGAGCACCTTTTCATATGCCTGTTTGCCATTTGTATGTCTTCTTTTAAGAAATGTCTATTCAGATCTTTTGCCTGTTTTAAAATCAGATTATTAGGTTATTTCCTATAGAGTTGTTTGAGCTCCTTATATATTCTGGTTGTTAATCCCTTGTCAGATGGATAATTTGCAAAGACTTTCTCTCATTCTGTGAGTTGTCTCTTCTCTTGGTTGATTGTTTCCTTTGCTGTGTAGAAGCTTCCCTCGGCCCGGCCCTCCGCCCCGCCATCCCTGAGACGGAGTCTTGCTCTGTCACCCAGGCTGGAGTGCAGTGTTGTGATCTTGGTTTATCTTGATGTGACCCCATTTGTCCATTTCCGCTTCACCAACCAATTTTTTTTTCTTTTTTGAGACCAGGTCTCACTCTGTTGCCCAGTCTGGAGTGCAGTGGTGTGATCTTGGCTCACTACAGCCTCGACTTCTGGGCTCAAGTGATCCTCCCACCTCAGCCTCCTGAGTAGGCTTGGAGTGGGACCACAGGCGCGTGCCACCATGTTTGGCTAATTTTTTTGGAGTATTGTGGAGATGGGGTTTTGCCGTGTTGCCCAGGCTGGTCTTGAATTTCTGGGCTTAAGTGATCTACCCACCAGACCTCAAAAAGTGCTGGGATTACAGGTGTGAGCCACCATGCCCAGCCGCCAACCAAATTCTTTATTACATAACTGTCAATTGAGATGATTTGTATAGATGTGATCAAAATTACATTGTATGAAATTATTACATTAATTCACTTGAGTCAACAAATACTTAAGCTTATTGTGTCTGTGCCAAATATTCTTCTAAACGCTGAGATAAATTTTCTACTTTTAAATGTCAAATTCACTTTGGTAGTATTTCAATCATTTATCCAACAAATATTGAGTGTCTATTCTGTGCTCCAGGTACTGGTTTCCAGCAAATATTGAGTGTCTATTCTGTGCTCCAGGTACTAGTTTTAGATATAGCGGTGAACAAATCAGACAAAACTCCTTGTCTTCATGGTGCTTACTTTTTAGTGGCAAATTTATATTTACATTCTCAAGTCAACAAGATCTATAGTTTATTGTCTGGGTACTTTCATTATTGTGTTTGAGTATTGGGATTTTATTAGGGCATGGAATAGGTAACTTTCTTTTTCTCCGCACAGGAATAGTTTGTATAGCACAAGAATTACTATTTATGTGAAAATCTGAAATATGTTAAAATATGGAGATACTTTTTGATATTTTTCCATTTCATTTACTTCTTTAAACATTTTATATATATGCTTTGATTTGCATTTCATATATATATATATATACACATATATGTATTTCTTCTTCATTATATATGAAATGGAAAGGCAACATAGCATAGTAGTTAAGAGTGAGGACTCTGGAGCCTGACTACCTGGGTTCAATCCCCATCTTTGCTGTTTGCTTTCTGTGTAGCCTTGGAAAATACTCTTCCTTTGAGCAACACAGCACTTCAAAATGTGTTTTATATACAGCATCTAGTTGTTTTTGTGGTGGAAACCCTTTTGAAATATCTAAATTATCATGCTGCTAGAAAGGTAAATCCTTTTAACACAGTATTCTTCACTTGCCGAGGGATCTAGGGCTTCAGTTTTTCACTTGGCTAATGTGCATCTGGATGGGCATTGTAGGAAACTATTTATTTGTGTACTTTTTTAAATGATGGATTTTTATAGAAACAATTTGTATAGTTTTTAGAATTAATTTTAAAGAAGAGCTCTAATGTTTTACATCTTAAAACCTCTTCTTTTCAGTTATAGCAATTGTCTTATATTTGATGATGCCTATTGTGAACATAAGTGAAGTACTTGGACCCTTGTGCCTTATGCTACTCATGGGAACTGTCCACTGTCAAATTGTGTCTACTCAGATAACAAGACCATCAGGAAACAATGGAAATCGAAGAAGAAGGTAAGATGAGAAATTACACTGTAGTTGTATATTTTCTGGGAGAGTTATTGTAGAGATTTATAAAACCTTTGATTAATTTAAAATCTCCCTCTTTTGTGTTTTTCATTATTTTTTGGCTTAGAAAATGAATGCATTACTTTGCACTTTTCTCCTTGATGCTGAGAAAACCTTGTTACAAACTTTTAGTTCCAGTTTGGGATTTTTGTCATTCAGTACAGTTGTTTAAAAGGAAAATTTCTATACTATATTATTCTTTATAAAATTTATCATATATTGGCTTCAAAGAAAACATTCTCTTTGAAATTCAGTCTTAATCAAAATTTGGTGAAAATTCACTGTAAACAAGGATCTTGGTACATTTGGTTAGCGCTACCAAAATTTTACCTTTTTTCAAAGATGTGTAATAAGAATTGATTTCTAAGTGGTCTAAACTTTTTTTTTTTCTTTTTGAGACAGAGTTTCGCTCTTGTTGCCCAGGCTGGAGTGCAATGGCGCAATCTCGGCTCACTGCAACCGATACCTCCTGAGTTCAAGCGATTCTCCTGCCTCAGCCTCTCAAGTAGCTGGGATTACCTGCGTATGCCACCACACCCAGCTAATTTTTTTTTTTGAATTTAGTAGAGATGGGATTTCACCATGTTAATCAGGCTGATCTAGAACTCCTGACCTCAGGTGATCCACCCGCCTCGGTCTCCCAAAGGACTGGGATTACAGGCGTGAGCCACTGCACCCAGCCGTCTAAACTTTTAATAAGGATTTATTTGGCTTTTCTTTACATATTGAATTCATGTTATATTTTAATCGATTATATGGTATATGTGAGTTTTGGAACTGTTGAAATGTTCTTAGGTATATGCAGTGTTATTTTCCAAAAGTTATGTTATCTTCCCTCAGAATATCTGTAGATTTTTGCCTGCGTAAGCAATTACTAAATAAGAATTTTCCATTAGGTGCAATGAATTTCAACATATTCTTATTTTTGAATGTTATTTTAAAAACTTTTTAAAAAAGATTTCTTGTAAATTCAGTTAAATTAATGGAATGTTTTCTAAGGAAATAAAATGCTATGCTATGTCTTATTGATATCTATAGTATATATCTTTTGTCTAGGATATCAATAAAAAGTGATCAGTTGCTACTATTCTATGTTACCCTTATAAAATGTGCCATAAGAGGTAGATTCCTAACATCCATATTTAAAGAAATTGCTCCTTCTGCTAGTGGTGTTGAATGTGCCTGAACAGACTCTTGGTCATACAAGTAGAAATTTTTTTTTTTAGTAGATTCTGAATAGCGGTTCTATTTCTTTAATGACTGAACAAAATGGTAGCATAGGACTTTGGTTTGGAATCTGGTTTTGCCCTCAAATCAGAAAGTTCTTGCATAGTTTATCCGCAGAATATGAAGTTAAACTATACTTGATTTAAGGTAGTAATTTGTCAGTATAATTTTCTGTAGGGATATTTTTGGCAGAAATAGAAAGGGTCTTGAATAATCTGAAGTTATTGAAATTTTTTTTTGTAGAAAATTACGAAAAACTGTAAATGGTGATGGGAGCCGAGAAAATGGAAATAACTCCTCTGATAAAGTCAGAGGAATAGAAACTTTGGAATCTGTACCCATTATTGGTGGTTTTTGGGAGACTATCTTTGGCAACAGGTGGGAGTCTTTTTTACTTGATTTTGTATTCACGTAGTGTTTACAGAATGTATAGTATCATCAGGCCATAGGAGTAAGTAGTATAGACTTATCTTGGTGTGATTTTTAAGGGTTATCAGAGGGCTTGCTTACTCAAAATGTTGTCTTCACTGTCTGTTTTGTTACCTGTGAATGCAGTAATCTATCATGGAAGTATTCTGTTTTTTTTTTTTTTTTTTGAAATGGAGTCTCATTCTCTCACCCAGGCTGGAGTGCAATGGCACGATCTTGGCTCACTGCAACCTCTGCCTCTTGAGTTCAAGCGATTCTCCTGCCTCAGCCTTCTGAGAATAGCTGGGATGACAGGTGCCCGCCGCCACACCCAGCTAATTTTTGTATTTTATTAGAGACAGGGTGTAACCATGTTGCCCAGGCTGATATCGAATTCCTGACCTCAGGCCTCAGGCATGAGCCATCACACCTGGCCTGATTTCCTTTCTTTTGGTTATATACCTAGCAGTGGGGTTGCTGGATCATATGGTAGTTCTATTTTTCTTTATTTGAAGAACCTCCAAGCTGTTCTTCATAGTGGTTGTACTACTTTACATTTCCACCAACAGTGTACGGGGGTTCCCTTTTCTCCATATCCTCTCCAGCATTTGTTATCGTCTGTCTTTTGCCTAAAAGCCATTTTAACTGGAGTGAGATGATATCTCACTGTGGTTTTGATTTGCATTTCTGTGATCAATGATATGAGTACCTTTTCACATACCTGTTTACCATTTATATGTCTTCTTTTGAGAAATGTCTATTCAGATCTTTTGCCCATTTTAAAATCAGATTATTAGATTTTTTCTATAGAGTTGTTTGAACTCCTTATATATTCTGGTTATTAATCCCTTGTCAGATGGATAATTTAAGACTTTCTCTCATTCTGTGAGTTGTATTTTCACTTGGTTGATTGTTTCCTTTGCTATATAGATGCTTTTTAACTTGATGTGATCTCATTTGTCCATTTTGCTTTGGTTGCCTGTGCTTGTGGAGTATTACTTAAGAAATCTTTGCCCAGACCAACATCTGGAGAGTTTCCCTAATGTTTTCTTTTAGTCATTTCATAGTTTGGGGTCCTAGGTTTAGTTCTTTAATTAACTTTTATTTGATTTTTGCATATGGTGAGAGATAAGGGTCTAGTTTCATTCTTCTGCATGTGAATATTCAGTTTTTCCAGCATCATTTATTGAAGAGACTGTCCTTTCTCTAATGTATGTTCTTGGCATCTTTGTCAAAACTGAGTTCACTGTTGGCCGGGCACAGTGGCTCATGCCTGTAATCCCAGCACTTTGGGAGGCTGAGGCGGGGGGATCATTTGAGGTCAGGAGTTCAAGACCAGCCTGGCCAACATGGCCAAACCTTGTCTCTACTAAAAATACAAGAATTATCCGGGCGTGGTGGTGGGCACCTGTAATCCCAGCTGCTCGGGAGGTGGAAGCAGGAGAATTGCTTGAACCTGGGAGGCAGAGGTTGCAGCGAGTCAGGATCTCACCACTTTACTCCAGCCTAGGTGACAGAGTGTGACC
Source organism: Homo sapiens (assembly GCF_000001405.40). Taxonomy (NCBI): domain Eukaryota; kingdom Metazoa; phylum Chordata; class Mammalia; order Primates; family Hominidae; genus Homo; species Homo sapiens. Next base: position 113,723,202 of record NC_000001.11, on the reverse strand, counting down.
CTGTCTCAAAAAAAAAAAAAAAAAATGAGTTCACTGTAGATGTATGGATCTATTTCCGGATTCTCAATTCTGTTCCATTGGCCGATGTGTTTTTATGCCACTACCATGCTCCTTTGGTTACTATAGTGCTGTAGTACAATTTGAAGTCAGGTAATGTGATTCCTTCAGTTTTGTTGTTTTTACTTACGATAGCTTTGGTTATTTTGGGTCTTTTGTGATTCCATATAATTTTTATTTTTATTTATTTATTTATTTATTTATTTATTTATTTATTTATTTATTTGAGATGGAGTCTTCCTCTGTCATCCAGGCTGGAGTGCAATGGCGCGATCTCGGCTCACTGCAACCTCTGCCTCCCAGGTTCAAGCAATTCTGCCTCAGCCTCCCGAGTAGCTGGGATTACAGGCGCCTGCCACCACGCCTGGCTAATTTTTTTTTTTTTTTGTATTTTTAGTAGAGATGGGGTTTCACCATGTTGGCCAGGCTGGTCTCAAACTCCTGACCTCAGGTGATCTGCCCACCTTGGCCTTCCAAAGTGCTGGGATTACAGGTGTGAGCCACCATGCCTGGCCAATTCCATGTAAATTTTAGGATTGTTTTTTCTATTTTTGTGAAGAATGTCATTGTTATTTTTATAGGGATTGCATTGAATCTGTAGATTGCTTTGGTTAATATGGATATTTTTAACAATAGTCATTCTTCCAGTTCATAAACTATGGAATATCTTTCCATATTTTTTGCATTCTCTTCAATTTCTTTTTTTTGAGACAGAGTCTCGCTCTATCGCCAAAGCTAGAGTGCAGTGGCATGATCTCGGCTCACTGCAAGCTCCACCTCCTGGGTTCATGCCATTCTCCTGCCTCAGCCTCCAGAGGAGCTGGGACTACAGGCACCCGCCACCGTGCCCGGCTAATTTTTTGTATTTTTAGTAGAGATGGGGTTTCACCATGGTCTCGATCTCCTGACCTCGTGATCCGCCCGTCTTGGTTTCCCAAAGTGGTGGGATTACAGGCGTGACCCACTGCGCCCGGCTGCGTTCTCTTCAATTTCTTACATCTATGTTTTATAGTTTTCATTATAGAGATCTTTCACTTCTTTGGTTAATTGCTAGGTGTTTAATTTTATTTGAAACTATTAGAAATCGTGTAACTTTCTTGATTTCTTTTTTAGATTGTTTGCTGTTGGCATATAGAAATGCTATTGATTTTTGGCTGGGCGCAGTGGCTCACGCCTGTAATCCCAGCACTTTGGGAGGCCAAGGCGGGCGGATCACGAGGTCAGGAGGTTGAGACCATCCTGGTTAACATGGTGAAACCCTGTCTCTACTAAAAATACAAAAAAAAAAATTAGCCGGGCGTGGTGGCGGGCACCTGTAGTCCCAGCTACTTGGGAGGCTGAGACAGCAGAATGGCATGAATCCGGGAGGTGGAGCTTGCAGTGAGCCAAGATCACACCACTGCACTCCAGCCTGGGCGACAGAGCAAGACTCTGTCTCAAAAAAAAGAAATGCTATTGATTTTTATGTCAATTTTGTATCCTGCAACTTTAATGAATTTGTTTATCAGTTCTGATAGTTTTTTGGTGGAATCTGTAGGTTTTTCCAAATATAAGATCTTATTATCTGTAAACAAAGGTAATTTGAATTCTTCTTTTCCAATTTGTAGGCCTTTCATTTCTGTCTCTTGTCTGATTGCTCTAGCTAGGACTTCTAGTACTATGTTGAATAACAGTGATGAAAGTGGGCATCTTTGTCATTTTCCAGATCTTAGAGGAAAGGCTTTCAGTTTTTCCTCATTCAGTATGATACCAGCTGTGGGTCTGTTATGTGACTTGACTTTTATTGTTTTGAGGTATGTTCCTTCTATACCCTGATTTTTGAGAATTCTTATCATGCAGGGATATTGAATGTTATCAAATGCTTTTTCATCATCATTTGAAATGATTATATGGTTTTTTTCCTTCATTCTTTTGGTATGATGTGTCACGTTAATTGATTTGTATGTATGTTGAACCATCCTTGCATCCCTGGTATAACCCTACTTGGTCGTGATGAATGATCTTTTTATTTATTTATTTTATCTTATTGTTACTAATATTTGAGACAGAGCCTCAGTCTGTTGCCCAGGCTTGAGTGCAGTGGCATGATCTTGGCTCACTGCAAACTCTGCTTCCCAGTTCAAGTGATTCTTGTGTGTGAGTCCCCCATGTAGCTGGGACCACAGGCATGTGCCACCACATCCCTCCCTCCCTAATTTTTTGTATTTTTTTGTAGAGGTGCACAGAAGTCAAGTATTGAGATTTGAGAACCTCTGCCTAGATTTCACAGGTTGTATGGAAATGCTTGGATGTCCAGGCAGATGTTTGCTGCCGGGGCAGGGCACTCATGGTGAACCTTTGCTAGGGCAGTGTGGAAGGGAAATGTGGGGTGGGCACCCGCACATAGAGTTCTCACTGGGGCACTTCCTAGTGGAGCTGTGAGAAGAGGGCCACTGTCCTCAAGACCCCAGAATGGTAGATCCACCAATAGCTTGCATTGTGCACCTGGAAAAGCCGTAGACACTCAACACCAGCCCATGAAAGCAGCCAGGAGGGAGGCTGTACCCTCCCGGTGATACTTGATATCATTTTAATTTTCTGGAATGTTTTAAGACTTGTTTTTTGGCTATAATATGGTATATCCCTGAAAATGATTCATGCACTGAGGAGAAAAATGTGTATTCTATAGCCAGTAGGTAAAATGTTTAGTAAATGTCTGTCAGGTCTGTTTGGTCTGTAGTGTAGATTAAGTCCAATTTTTTTTGTTGGTTTTTCTATTTGGATGATCTGTCTAATGCTGAAAATGAGGTTGAAGTCTCCAGCTATTATTGTATTGGAGTCTGTCTCTCTCTTTAACTCTAATAATATTTGCTTTATGTATCTGGGTGCTTCAGTGTTGGGTGCATATATATTTACAATTGTTTGTCCTCTTGCTGCATTGACCCCTTTATCATTATATAATGACCTTTAACTCTTTTTATAGTTAAAGTCTATTTTGACCAATATAAGTATAGCTACTTGATATGGTTTGGCTGTGTCCCCACCCAAATATCAACTTGAATTGTATCTCCCAGAATTCCCACGTATTGCAGGAGGGAGCCAGGGGGAGGTAATTGAATCATGGGGCTGGTCTTTCCTGTGCTAGTCTCGTGATAGTGAATAAGTCTCACAAGATCTGATGGGTTTATCAGGAGTTTCTGCTTTTGCTTCTTCTTTCTCTTGCCGCCACCATCTAAGAAGTGCCTTTCACCTCCTGCTGTGATTCTGAAGCCTCCCCAGCCTTGTGGAACTGTAAGTCCAATTAAACCTCTTCTTCTTCTCAGTCTCAGGTATGTCTTTATCAACAGCATGAAAATGAACTAATACAGTAAATTGGTACCAGTAGAGTGGGGTGTTGCTGAAAAGATACCTGAAAATATGGAAACAACTTTGGAACTGGGTAACAGGCAGAGGTTGGAACAGTTTGGAGCGCTCAGAAGAAGACAGGAAAATGTGGGAAGTTTGGAACCTCCTAGAGATTTGTTGAATGGCTTTGACAGCAATGCTGATAGTGATATGAACAATAAGGTCTAGGCTGAGGTGGTAACAGATGGAGATGAGGAACTTGTTGGGAACTGAAGCAAAGGTGACTCTTGTTATGTTTTAGCAAAGAGACTGGTGGCATTTTGCCCCTCCCTTAGAGATTTGTGGAACTTTGAACTTAAGAGAGATGATTTAGGGTATCTGGCGGAAAAAATTTCTAAGTAGCAAAGCATTAAAGAGGTGATTTGGGTGTGGTTAAAGGCAATCAGTTTTATAAGGGAAGCAGAGCATAAAAGTTTGGAAAATTTGTGCCCTGACTATGCGATAGAAAAGAAAAACCCAGGCCAGGCGTGGTGGCTCACGCCTGTAATCCCAGCACTTTGGGAGGCTGAGGTGGGTGGATCACCTGAGGTCAGTAGTTTAAGACCAATCTGGCCAACATGGTGAAACCCCATCTCTACTAAAAAAATACAAAAATTAACCAGGCATGATGGTGGGTACTTGTAATCCCAGCTACCTGGGAGGCTGAGGCAGGGGAATTGCTTGAACCCAAGAGGTGGCATTTGCAGTGAGCTGAGATCACGCCACTGCACTCCAGCCTGGGTGACAGAACGAGACTCTGTCTCAAAAGAAAAAAAAAAAGAAGAAAAGAAAAACCCATTTTCTGGGGAGAAATTCAAACTGGCTGCAGAAATTTGCATAAGTAGCAAGGAGCCTAACATTAATACCCAAGCAATGGGGAAAATGTTTCCAGGACATGTCAGACACTTTCATGGCAGCCCCTCCCTTCACAGGCCTGGAGGCCTAGGAGGAAAAAGTGGTTTCGTGGGCCGGACCCAGGGTCCCCATGCTGTGTGCAGCCTTGGGACTTGGTGTCCCATGTCCCAGTTGCTCCAGCCATGGCTGAAAGGGGCCAATGTACAGCTCAGGCTGTGGCTTCAGAGGGTGGACGCTCCAAACCTTGGCAGCTTCTACGTGGTATCGAGCCTGCAGGTGCACAGAAGTCAAGAATTGAGGTTTGGGAACCTCTGCCTAGATTTCAGAAGATGGATGCCCAGGCAATAGTTTTGCTGCAGGGGCAGGGCACTCATGGAGAACCTCTGTGAGGGTAGTGTGGAAGGGAAAAGGTGGGGTCGGAGCCCCCACACAGCGTCCCTACTGGGGCACCACCTAGTGGAGCTGTGAGAAGGCCACCATCCTCCAGACCCCAGAATGGTAGATCCACCAACAGCTTGCACTGTGCTCCTGGCAAAGCCTCAGACACTCAACACCAGCCTGTGAAAGCAGCCAGGAGGGAGGCTTTACCCTGCAAAGCCATAAGGACAGAGCTGCCCAAGACCATGTGAACCCACCTTTTGCATCAGCGTGACCTGGATGTGTGAGACCTGGAGTCAAAGGAGATCATTTTGGAGCTTTAAAATTTGACTCCCCCACTGGATTTCAGACTTGCAAGGGCCCTGTAACCCCTTTGTTTTGGCCAATTTCTCCCATTTTGAACGTGTGTATTTACCCAATACTTGTATCCTCATTGTATCTAGAAAGTAACTAGCTTGCTTTTGATTTTACAGGCTCATAGGTGGAAGGGACTTGCCTTGTTTCAGATGAGATTTTGGATGCTGGACTTTTGGGTTAATGTTGAAATAAGACTTTGGGGGAGTATTGGGAAGGCATGATTGGTTTTGAAATGTGAGGACATGAGGTTTGTAGAGGCAAGGAGCAGAATGATATGGTTTGGCTGTGTCCCCACCCAAATCTCAACTTGAATTGTATCTCCCAGAATTCCAGTGGGTTGTGGGAGGGGCCCAGGGGGAGGTAATTGAATCATGGGGGCTGGTCTTTCCCATGCTATTCTCGTGATAGTGAATAAGTCTCACGAGATCTGATGGGTTTATCAGGGGTTTCCGCTTTTGCTTCTTCCTCATTTTCTCTTGCCCGCCACCATGTAAGAAGTGCCTTTTACCTCCCGCCATGATTCTCAGGGGCCTCCCCAGCCATGTGGAACTGTAAGTCCAGTTAAATCTCTTTATCTTCCCAATCTCGGGTATGTTTTCATCAGCAGCATGAAAATGAACTAATACACTACTCCTGCTAATTTTTAGTTTCTATTGGGATGGAATATCTTTTTCCATCCCCTTATTTTCAGCCTGTGTGTATCTTTTATAAAGTTTGTTTCTTGTAGGTAACAGATCATGGATTTTGTTTTTTTAATGCATTAAGCCACTCTATGTCTTTTGATTAGAAAGTTTAGTTCATTTACATTCCATGCCATTATTGATAAGTAAGGACTTACTCCTGCCACTTTGTTAGTTGTTTTCTGGTTCATTTGTGATCTCTTCTTTCTTTCCTTCCTATCTTCCTCTTAGTGAAGGTGATTTTCTCTAGGGGTATTTTAAAATTTATTTCTTTTTATTTTTTATGCATCTTTTATTATTTTTTTAATTTGGGGGTTACATTGAGGCTTGCAAATAATATTTTATAACCTATTTTTTTAAACTGGTAACACTGATTGCATAAACAAGCAAACAAACTCATAAACCAGCAAAGAGAAAAGTAATAAAAACTGTACACTTTCACTCTGTCCCCTTGCTTTTTAACTTTTTGTTGTTTGTATTTATATCTTATTATACTGTCTATGTCTTGAAATGTTGTATTCTTTTAAGTTGGTTCATCTTTTAGTCTTCCTATTGAAGATATGAGTCGTTTACACATAACAATTACAGGGTTATAATATTCTGTCTTTTTTGTGTATTTACTATTACTAATGAGTTTTGTACCTTCAGATGATTGCTTATTGCTCATTAATGTCATTTCTTTCAATTTGAAGAACTCTCTTTTGCATTTCTTGTAGGCAGGTCTGTTGTTGATGAAATCCTTCAGCTTTTGTTTTTTTCTGGGGATGTCTTTATTTTTACTTCTTGTTTGAAGTTTATTTTTGTTGGGTATAGTATTGTAGGACAAAAAGGTTTTTCATTTAGCAGTTTAAATATGTCAGACCGGCTGGACATAGTGGCTCAGGCCTATAATCCCAGCACTTTGGGAGGTCAAGATGGGAGGATTGCTTGAGGCCAGAAGTTCAAGACCAACCTGGGCAACATTAGGGAGACCCAGTCTCTACAAAAATAAAAATAAAAAATCAGCTGGATGTGGTGACCTGTGCCTGTGGTTCCAGCTATGCTGGAGGTTGAGACAAGAAGATCGCCTGAGCCCAGGACGTTGAGGCAGTAGTGAGCTGTAATTGTGACAGTGAACTCCAGCCTGGGCAACTGAGATCCCCATCTCAAAAAAAAAAAAAAAAAAAAAAAGGGAAAAATAAGTAAGTAAATAAATATGTCATACCACTCTCTCCTAGCCTGTAAAGTTTGCACTGAGAAGTCTGCTGCCAGAAATATTGGAGTATCTTTGTATGCTATTTGTTTCCTTTCTCTTGCTGCTTTTAGGATCCTTTCTTTATCTTTGATCTTTGAGGGTTTGATTGTTAAATGCCTTGAGGTAATCTTCTTTGTGTTAAATCTGTTTGGTATTGTATGACCTTCTTGTACTTGAATATTGGTATCTTACTCTAGATTTGGGAAGTTTCCTGTTATTATCCCTTTGAATAAACTTTATACTCCTGTCTCTCTCTCTACCGCCTCTTTAAGGTCAGTAACTCTTAGATTTGCTGTTTTGAGGCTATTTTCCAGATCTTTTAGGTGTGTTTCATTCTTTTTTATTCTTTTTCTTTTGTCTCCTCTGTGTCTTTTTAAATATACTGTCTTGAAGCTCACTAATTCTTTCTTCTGCTTGATCAATTCTGCTGTTAAGAGACTCTGATGCATTTCTTCAGTATGTCAGTTGCATTTTTCAGCTCCAGAATTTGTTTGATTTTTTTTTTTTAGTTATTTCACTCTCTCTGTTAAATTTATCTGATAGGATTCTGAATTCCTTCTGTGTATTCTTGAATTTGTTTGAGTTTCCTCAAAATAGCTTTTTTTTTTTTTTTTTTTTTTTTTTTTTTTTGAGACAGGGTTTCACTGTCATTGCTCAGGTTGAAGTGCAATGGTACAATCTCGGCTCACTGCAAACTCCACCTCCTAGGCTCAAGTGATCCTCCTGCCTCAGCCTTCCAAGTAGCTGGGACTACAGGCACATGCCATTGCACCCAGCTAATTTTTGTAAAGACGAGGTTTTGCCATGTTGCCCAGGCTGGTTTTGAACTCCTTAGCTCAACTGATCCACCTGTCCCTTGGCCTCCCAAACTGCTGGGATTACAGGCATAAGCCACTGTGCCTGGCTAAAAATAGCTATTTTGAATTTTCTGTCTCTAAGGTTGTATATTTCTGTCTCTCTGGAATTGGTCACTGGTATCTTATTAGATATTGGTGAGGTCATGTTTTCTTCGATGGTCTTGATGCTTGTGGATGTTCATTAGTGTCTGTGCATTGAATGGTTAGATGTTTATTGTAGTCTTCACAGTCTGGGCTTCTTTGTACCTGTCCTTCTTGGGAAGGCTTTCCAAGTATTTGAGGGGAATTGGGCATTGTGATCTAAGTCTTTGGTCACTGCAGCTGTATCTGCATTAGGGGGCACCCTAAGCCCAGTAATGTTGTGGCTCCTGCAGACTTGTAGAGGTTACTGCCTTGGTGGTCTTGGGTCAGATCTGGGAGAATTCTCTGGATTACCAGGGAGAGACTCTTGTTCTCTTCCCTAACTTTCTCCCAAACAAATGGAGTCTCTTTCTCTCTGTGCTGAGCTGCTTGGAGCCAGGAGGAGTGACACAGCACCCCTGTGGCCATTAATACTGGGACTGGCCTGGGTCAGGTCTGAAGCCAGCACAGCACTGGGTCTTGCCCAAGGTCCACATGGTGACCACTTGCCTGTCTACCACCTATGTTTACTCAAAGCCCAAGGGCACTACAATCAGCAGGTGGCAAATCCAGCCAGGCTTATGTCCTTCCTTTTAGGGCAGCCAGTTACCCTAGCTCTGGGCAGATCCAGAGACGCTATCAGGGCCTGGCGTTGAGAACCTTAGGAATCTTCCTGTCATTCTATTCTACAGCAGCTGAGCTCACACCCAAACCAAAAGACAAACTCCTTCTCATTCTTCTCTCCCGTTTCCTCAAGCAGAGGAATCTCTCCCCATGGCCACCGCTGCCCCAGGCCTGCAGCAAGTACTGCAAGGCTGTTGCTGATATTCACTCAAGGTCCAAGGGCTCTTTGGTCAGCTTGTGGTCAATGCTGATAGGCCTGGGTATCTCCCTTCAGGGCAACGGGCTCCCCTCTGGCCCAGAGTGCGTCCAGAAATACCATCCAGGAGCCAAGGCCTAGAATCAGGGACCTCAAGAGCACACTTGGTGTTCTACCCCACTGTGGTTGAGCTTGTACCCTGCCTGTAAGACAGAGTCCCCTTTACTCTTCCCTCTCTTTTCCTCAAGCAGAAAGAGTCTCTCCCTGTAGCCACCACAGCTGGGAATATACTGGGTCCCTCCTGAGGCCAGCATGGCTCTGAGTCTCACCCAATGCCCACAGTGAGTACTGCCTGGCTACCACTGTTGATTATACAGAGCCCAAGGGCTCTTTGGTCAGCAGGTGATGACTCCTGCCAGGACTGGATCCTTCCCTTCAAATGTGCTGGTTGCATTTTGGTCCAAGGTGTGTCTAGAAATGTCATCCATAAGCTAGGTCCTGGAATGGGGGCCTCAGGACTCTGGTCCCTTGTTCTACTCTGGCTGAGCTGGTATCCAAGTTGCAAGACAAAGTCCTTTTTACTCTTCTGTCTCTTCCTGGGCTGTGAACAACACTGCCTGGCTTTGCAGTAAGGGTGGCAAAAATGCACTCCCTGGCCACCCAGCTGGTGTCTCAATAGGTCATGTGCACCTAAGTCTACTGGGCTAGTGGAGTGGCAATAACAGACGATATAAGGTAGGAGTTGCATTGTGTCTGAGAAGATGTGGAGAGGACTGTGAACCTACTTTTGTGCAACACTGAAAAGTATATGCTTCCTTTCAGTTAATTGACATGAGTCTTTGAAGAATAGACTCACATTCTGAGTCTGTGAGTGAGTATTTTGTCATTCTACACCCTTACTTAGCAAGCTAAAGTCCTGAAAAATATGATTCCTGCATTTTCTTGATTTCCAGAATAATATAGCGTATTCCTTAAAAGAAAGTGGTTTCATGAAAGGTGTTACTTTCAAAAAATTAATCTTCTTTTCCTTTTTTAAAAAATAGGATTAAAAGAGTAAAATTAATATCTAACAAAGGGACTGAAACTGACAATGACCCAAGTTGTGTCCATCCTATCATTAAGAGGAGACAATGTCGACCAGAGATTAGAATGTGGCAAACAAGAGAGAAAGCAAAATTTTCAGATGGAGAAAAGTGCCGTAGGGTAAGATTTAGATGGATTTAACAAGGGGTTTTTTTCCCCATGTAACATTTTCCTATTAAGATTCTGTTAGAGATATAAAATAGGTACTAGTAGGTTTATAAATTTGTCCTAACAAGTAAAACCACAGGATATGAAAAGAAGATACCACATGAAGACTGGAACTTAGTCTTAAAATTTATAGTACTGGACTTGTTATTAATTTTGCGAGTTCTGTAATCCTAGCACTTTGGGAGGCCGAGACAGGCGGATCACGAGGTCAGGAGATCGAGATCATCTTGGCTAACACGGTGAAACCCCGTTTCTACTAAAAATACAAAAAATTAGCCGGGCGTGTTGGCGGGCGCCTGTAGTCCCAGCTACTTGGGAGGCTGAGGCAGGAGAATGGCATGGCATGAACCTGGGAGGTGGAGCTTGCAGTGAGCCGAGATCGCGCCACTGCACTCCAACCTGGGAGACACAGCGAGACTCCGTCTCAAAAAAAAAAAAAAAAAAAATTTTGTGAGTTATCCAGCCTTAGCAGTAGGCTGGTAGATTTAATAAACAGATTAGTGAAGAGGGTGCTGGGTCATATTCCAGAGAAGCAGTGATAGTATAGTAAGAGTTTGGGAAATTATTTTGTAGGTTTAAGTAGACATGGTCTGCTCTATGTCTAAAACTAGCTACACACTTTTATAGTCTTAAACTGTTTTCTTATTGGTTAGATTGTGGCATTTAGTCTAAGAATTATTGAGCCGTTACTATAACCAGGCATTGTTCTGAGTACTTTACGTATACTAACTTATCTCATTTATTTTCAACAAACCTGTGAAATAGATGCTTTTATTATAATTTCTTTTTAGATGAGGGAACTCAGCTCCAAACAGATTTAGTAAATTGCTCAAGGTTATGTATCTAGTAAGTAGAAGAGCTGTGATTCAGGCTTAGAGTTTGACTTGAGTCTTGGTTTTTGAATACTACATAACACTGCCTCTTCATTTAGGATATTTAGTTTCAACTAAATATTTTTCTTAATTGAGATTAAGTAATATATGGATTTGTTCAGTTTTGGGTTAGTTTACTTTTGCTGCTTGGTAGTTTTTGTATGATTTTTTTTTGTTTTTACACATGCAGCTTATTAGAATATTTTGGGCTGTCCCCTGTGAAGGTATTGCTGTTCTCTTTGTAGGAGGCTTTTAGGCGTTTGGGTAATGGGGTGTCTGATGACCTGTCAAGTGAAGAAGATGGTGAAGCACGGACACAGATGATATTATTGCGTAGGAGTGTGGAAGGGGCCTCAAGTGACAATGGTTGTGAAGTTAAGAATAGAAAATCAATACTTTCAAGGCACCTAAACTCTCAGGTAATTTCTATTTTAGTTTATGAAAGTATAGGACTGAATCATTGAAGTTAGTAACAAAGCATTTAACATATTTTCCTATTGCTTGTTGGTTTGATTTTTGGCAGGTAAAGAAAACCACTACAAGGTGGTGTCATATTGTGCGGGATTCAGATAGTCTGGCTGAATCAGAATTTGAATCAGCAGCCTTCAGCCAGGTAAAGTATCCCTTTGAGAAATCAAGGTATATTTTTGAGGGTAATAACTTTATCCATTCCTTTTTTTATTGGTTGCCCTAAAGTAGCATTTACATTAATATTTGCCAGCCCTTCCCTGTCTCCAATTACCCATCTCCTTATCTAGCAGCTTTTAATGACTACACACCTAGAAAGAATATTTTCCTACATTGACCCTAAGCTTAAAAGTATCACAGATGATGCCCAGCAGGAGGTTACTTAATCCCTAAATAATGAGATTATTAAATATTCACTTGGCATATGAAGTTTATTTTTAAACATCATAAATTGGATTGATGCTGATGAAGACAGATTTTTGAGAAAGGAGTTCTGAAAGATGGGAGTAGTAAATCTCATCATGAGAGCTAAAGGGCATATTATATTATTTGGAAAATTGTAACTCAGAGGTGAGCAGAGTAGATGGTGGTGGTGTGGTTTTTTCTTTTATTTTGATTAATAAGGCAATTGTGGTCATGGAATAACTTTCATATTTATGTTGGTACTTTTCTTTGACTGATTATCCTTTAACGTTTTGGAGCTGAATCCTGTTCACGAGTAGGTCTGTAGTCAAGTTCACAATATTTAGAGTTGGGGTCACTTTGTGTGTGTCAAAAAGCTCAGCTAAGCCAATTGAGTGGGTCATCTTGGTGTGCTTACAGGAATCACTCCCCTCCCAGAACACCTTAGTTGATCAGTTCCATAACATGGCAGTAGCTTCTTAGAGGGAGTACTGCTTGCTAGAGACATCAGAGTTTAACATTTAAATATTAAAATCTATTATTGGCTGGACATGGTGGCTCATGCCTGTAATCTCAGCACTTTGAGAGGTTGAGGTTGTTGGATAGCTTGAGACCAGGAGTCGGAGACCAGCCTGGGCAACAAAATGAGACCACATCTTTACAAAAAAAAAAAAAAAATATATATATATATATATATCCGGGTGTGATGGTATGCACCTGTAGTGCCAGCTACTCAGGAGGCTGAGGCAGGAGGATCATTTGAGCCCGAGTTTGAGGTTGCAGTGGGCTATGATCATGCCACTGCACTCCAGCCTGGGTGACAGAGCGCGACCCTGTATCAAAAAATAAAAAAGCATTATTGTTACGTGAAGCCCTGTGAAAAAATGAATTCATGGTGATTGACTTCTGAAGGCTTTCAAGCCATTGCTGTAGATAAGTTGTTTTAATTTTATTTCACATGTAATTATTTTTAAAGATGAATAACATTTTTTGCTTTTTGTTTTCCTTTAAAGGGCTCTAGATCGGGTGTGAGTGGTGGCTCTCGAAGCCTCAACATGTCAAGAAGAGACTCAGAAAGCACCCGCCATGACTCGGAGACTGAGGACATGTTATGGGACGACCTGCTACATGGCCCAGAGTGCCGGTCATCTGTCACCAGTGACAGTGAGGGGGCCCATGTGAATACCCTTCACTCAGGGACCAAACGTGACCCCAAAGAGGATGTTTTTCAGCAGGTCTGTGCAGACATGATAAGAATAGCTAGTATTTATTGTGTTCTTACTGTGTGTCAGGCACTCTGTCATCTCATTTAACTTTACAATCATCCTGTAGGGTAGATACTATTATTATCCCCAGTTTAGAGGTGAGGAAACTGAGCATAGTCTATAAGTGAAGATGTTGGGATTAGAACTCAGGGAGAAGTAATCTAGAGTTGCCCTAACCTAAATTTTTCTGTATATTACTTTTTCTTATTATTTTCCTTAGAATGGTCCTTTATGTGTATTTTATATTTTATATGAGTAGAGTTTGCATATAGAGAATATACCTTATATTTTCATGAACATCACAGTGTTACATATGAATTACTAGGAAATGGTATTGCTTGCTTTTTGAACAATGCATAAAATAAATAATGCTTTTAATTTCAGGTTTTATATTAATATCATAAAGTCAGATAGCCATTAGAAGGTATTTCAACCTTCCAACCAATGTAGAGATTCATTCTACATCTGTGTAAATTTTTTACCATCTGTTATGTGGTGATAATAGTTCTTACTTCTTAGGAATAGTGTGAAATAGCTAATGAGATAATATAAAGTACATAGCATAATACCTGGCAAGAGTAAATACCCAATAAATGTTAGCATTATTATTTATATCTCCATCAGATGATCAATTGGCCTCTTAAATACTTCTGGAGCTGGAATGCTTGTTATTTAATGATACAGCTTATTCCACTTCTGGATAGATTGAATGATGAAGAAATAGTTCACTTATCAACCTTTCAGTTGCTTAATGTCAATGATTGTTATGATTCTTAGGTTTTTGTTCTTTAGGCTAAATATTTCCACATTGTCTTGCAAATAGTGGATGATGGATATATATTTGTTTAATTGTCAAATATTCTTGATTCAAAAATACCATTGATTTAGGTTATACATTTTCATTTAAAAAATCGCTTCATTAAATGTATATAATTTTTAAAAAATGAACAAGAAACAGTGTAAATTTTCTCATTAAAGTTTTCTTTTTTGGGACAGAGCTCACTCTGTTGCCCAGGCTGGAGTGCAGTGGTGCAATCATGACTCACGGCAGCCTTAACCTCTCCAGCTCAAGTGATCCTCCCACCTCAGCCTCCTGATTAGCCACCATGCTTGGCTAATTTTTAAATTTTTTGTAGAGACAGGGTCGCACTATGTTGCTTAGGCTGGTCTTAACTCCTGGGTTCAAACAGTCCTCCCACCTTAGCCTCCCAAAGTGTTGGGATTACAGGGGTGAGTCACCATACCTGGCTCTCATTAAAATTTTATGCTACTTTTTCTGATTTTGCAGTGAGGCTAAATATTTTTTGCATTCAGTCTGAAGATTCATCTAAATTACATTAGTTTTCAGTAGTTATGCATAGTATCACGATGATGTTGATCTCCGTAGCACTCCCCTCCTTTGAGATTTGCAGTATAATTTTAAGACATATATAAGAATAATTGAGTGTGGTAAACTCACCATGTCAAATGCAATAAATCATTTTCCAATCCTGTTCACGTAGCCTATTCTTTTATTCCCTGTATTTCTTAATACCACACTACCCACCCAAGTCAAAAAGCTTGAAGTCATTCTTGACCCCATTTTTTTTTTTAGATGGAGTCTTACTCTGTCACCCAGGCTGGAGTACACTGGCACAATTTTAGCTCATTGCAACCTCCGCCTTCCAGGCTCAAGTGATTCTCCTGCCTCAGCCTCCTGAGTAGCTAGGATTACAGGTGCCTGCCGCCTGCCACCACACCTGGCTAATTTTTGTATTTTTAGTAGAGATGGGGTTTCGCTGTGTTGGCCAGGCTGGTCTCGAACTCCTGACCTCAAGTGATCCACTCACCTCGGCCTCCGAAAGTACTGGGACTACAGGCGTGAGCCACCGCGCCCAGCTGGCCCCATTCTTTCCACCCTTAGTCGCTTATGTTCTTTTGATTCAGCTGTCTAAATACCTGCATCTCTCTGTTTCTGGTCACCCTGCTTGGTGCAGGCCATCATTTTATCTCAACTGGATCATTACAGTAGCTTCTGTAGGGTTGCCTCTGTTCCTTTCATTTTCCTTGCTACAGCCAGAGTGATAATTCTAAAATACAAATCTGATAATGCCACTTCCTTTAAAATCCTTTTTTCTTCTTTCTGGATTGCTTGCTTCTGTTCCTTTATTTGTTCTAATACAGTCTCATCTCTGACCATTCCCTCCCTCCTCCTCACATGGTGAACTTCGACTCAACTAACCTTCTTTGTTTCTGATGTGTACCAGGCCTCATGTGCCTCTGGGCCCTTATGCATACAGGTTTCTTTGCCTGGGACATAATTTTCTCTAATGCCAATTCTTTTGGTTCATTCCTTTTTATTTCCAGGCAGGTCTTGGCTTGAGTGATGCTTCCTTCAGGAAGCCTTTCTTATATACTCCTAAAGCACTCTTGCCTTTCCTTACCATGCTGTATAGTAACTTCCTTCAGAAGTCTATAAGCTCCTTGATAGCAAGGACATCTATCTTGTTCTCCATTTTATCCACATGCATGATACATAGTAGGTGCTTAATATGAATTGTATAAGTCAGTGAATCAATCAAGTCAGTGATTCAAATCAATAAATACTTGTTGGCATTATGCTAAGCATGGTGGTAGAAGAGAAAAAATATGCCAGATGGTCCTTTTCTAGAAGATTATCTTTTAGTTTGGGAACAAGATAATTATATAGGAAACAAATAGAGGACAACATAAAAGCACCATATAATAAGATGTTAATTTGTCTGATACAGACTGTAGAAGTTTTTCATTTCAGAGAAGGGCAAAGTTAGTAAGACTGAGGCTGTCAGAGAGGACCATGTTGGTGAAATGGGACTTGAGCTAGTATTTAAAGAATAAGACATGATATGGCAGAGGAGGAGAGGGAGCTGTTTTCATTGTGACTGTCTCCACTTGAGCTTTTCTAAGCCTCACTAATTTTGTGTCCTGGTTAGACCAGAAACAGACTTAACTCCTCAGTCATTCATGTGATTTATAAGGCCTTTTAGTATCTCTCTTCCTTTACTTCCTATTACTCCCAGTGTAATCTCGTAGCTCTAGAAATTCTTTCTTAATAGCCCATGACTACACTAAGCTTATCCTCACTTCCATACCTTTAGAGAGGGAAGCAACCTTGGAGATCATGGACTATCTCTCCTCATAACAGAAGACATTTAGTCTCTCTCTAGATGAGAGAATGGCTTAGTAAGGAAAAATGGACCTAGCGAGCCATGGTGGTATGTGCCTATGGTCCTTGCTACACAGAAGGCTGTATAGAGGGAGGCAGATGGGAGGATTGCTTGGGCCCAGGAGTTTGAGACCAGCCTGGGCAACATAGTGATACCCTGTCTCAAAAAAAAAAAAAAAAAAAAAAAAGAAAGAAAGAAAGGACCAGCATTATAGAGGTGGTTATTAGAGTGTTGGCAAATGAATGGAGCCTGGGAAAGAAAAACTAATGGAGGCAAGAGGGCATGGATAGAAACAATTTTATATTTTTCTTCTCAGAATCATTTATTCTGGCTTCAGAATTCAAGTCCTTCCTCTGATCGAGTTAGTGCAATAATCTGGGAGGGGAATGAGTGCAAAAAGATGGATATGTCTGTGTTGGAAATAAGTGGCATCATCATGAGCAGGGTAAGACTGAATATGTTTTCAGATTTTTCAAAAAATATACGAAGTGATCAGGAGCTATTTTATAAGAATCTCTTAGTGATTAAAACAGTATGACTCTGCTTTTGAAGCACATATATATCATATTATATATAATAACATTATTAACATATATATGTAATTTTGTAGTCAGAGTCTTTACATGGTAGTATATACATTATTTGTTATACCTGGTCTCTATTAACATAATCAACTGTTCAGGTATGCTCTACAGATATTCCTTATCTCATTGAATCCCAATTTTTAATAAGATTTGAAAGTCATAAATCTGTATGTCATTTGTATTTATACTTTTAGAATGTGTTTTTAATAGTCTAAATAGTGTTTGATAAATACTGCTTTGTAACTCCATTTAGCTAACACAATAATGGTGGAAATTTTAAATTAATTCACAGGTCAATGCCTATCAGCAAGGAGTAGGTTATCAGATGCTGGGAAATGTTGTCACTATTGGATTAGCATTTTTTCCATTCTTACATCGACTTTTCCGTGAGAAGAGCCTTGACCAACTAAAGTCCATTTCAGCTGAGGAGATCTTGACTCTCTTTTGTGGGGCACCACCTGTTACACCTATTATTGTTTTGTCGATAATTAATTTTTTTGAAAGATTGTGTCTTACTTGGATGTTTTTTTTCATGATGTGTGTGGCAGAGAGAACATATAAACAGGTCAGTGGAGAAATAAGGAAAATTTTTTACCTGTTTTTGTATATGATATTCCATTGAGTTGCTTTTGTTCTCTTGATTTGGTCTCTCTTCAAGTTGATGTGGGCAATAAAGGATTGATAAGTGGACTTTTGATATTTGTGGATTTATTGTTTGTGTTATTGACTATTTACATATTACACGTTGTAATCTGAAATTTTGCCAGGCCTCATGTGTAGAATAAGTGGCTTAGCCAGTGAGTGAGCCTAGCCGACTGCTTAGCATCTGCACCTCAGTGTCCCTTTTTTGTTTTTTATCCATAGAATAAAATAATTATCTACATGTGATAATGTTTTTGTGAAAAATGGCCAAGTGAGAAATAAATTTATTGAAATTTGATAAAAATTATGGATGGAGGGTTTAAAATATTGGTGATATGCAGAAGAAGTGTGATTTATTTTATTTTATTTTTTGAGACCGGGTGTTGTTCTATTGCCCAGGTTGGAGTGTAGTGGTGTGATCACGGCTCACTCCAGCCTTGACCTCCTGAGGATCAAGCAGTCCTTCCAGCTCAGCCTCCCCAGTAGCTGGGACTACAGGCCTGCGCCACCACACCCGACTAATTTTTTGTATTTTTGTAGAGGTGAGGTCTTACTTTGTTGCCCAGTCTTGTCTCGAACTCCAGGGCTCAAGTTATCCGCCCGTCTTTCCTCCCAAAGTGCTGGGATTACAGGGCGTGAGCCACCATGCCCAGCCCCAGAAATGTGATTTTGAATGGAAATTTAATTTGAGAATAAGCCAGAATCATGTATAAACATTTGAGTTTGTGAAGTAGTGGATCCATAAATGCCAACCATTCTTTGGGGGTCTCCAAAGAATATTCCTTGCAAATGTTGAGTGTACCACATTGTGAAGAAGTATGTTACTATGTAATGTGCTTTGGAAACAACAGGGTAACGAGCTATTAATGAAAATTTTCACTGCCCATCTTACTGAACACTGATTAGAACTTCATTCTTTTTAATATTTTTGTATTCTGGGAATATCGTTGGCAATTATATGAATACACAGACACATACATACATTTCACTGTGATTTTTTTTAAATCTCTTCTAGAGATTTTTATTTGCAAAACTCTTCAGCCATATTACTTCTGCCAGGAAAGCTAGGAAATATGAAATACCTCATTTCAGACTTAAGAAGGTGGAGAATATTAAAATATGGTTATCACTGCGTTCCTATCTAAAGGTGAGTTTTATTTGATTAACAATAGAGTATGTGCAAGAATATGCTCACTGAAGCTCCTGGCAGCAGTTACTCAGTAGACAGTGTAGTTCTGGGTGTCAGGCAGATTATAGCAGCAGCTGACAGACTTGCTGGACAGCAAGTTGGATGTCATCTCTCTGCAAAGCTGGTAGGGGTAGGTAAAGAAGAGCTTAGAAAGGGAAAAGAAAATCTAAATTTCCTAGGGGCAAAGTGACAATTAAATAGTTTATATTTTTCTGGCTTTTTTGGGAAATACTCCAGCCGAAAGTATGTCAATGAATCAGTCACCCTTAATTTGGAAATGCATGGATTTCAGTACTTAAAGTTGATGACGTCCAAAATATGTTAAAATCCTATCTCAGAAACTTCTTATAAACATTATTTTCACACGAATGTAGTACAATTCAGAGTGTTAATAATGTGAGGGCGGTTGCTGTCTGCCAGTAACTAAAACATTAACACATGTGTCTCACTCCACAGAGACGGGGGCCACAGCGTTCAGTTGATGTGGTTGTATCCTCGGTTTTCCTACTGACACTTTCGATTGCTTTCATTTGTTGTGCTCAGGTAAAAGTTTCACATCTGCTTTAAGGAAAAATGAAAATTCTATTATAGAGTTCACTTTCTGTTTTAGACTTAGGTCACTGTCCTTAAGTATGTATTTTTAATGCATCTACATTTTTTACTATTTTGGATGTTTGGTAATTTTTCTAACTTTTCAAAATGGGAATACAAGTAATTCTGAAGTCCTTTCAAACTGTAAGATCGCTCTAATTTTAGTTGGTAATTATTAATTGATAATAAAACTATCATATGGTTGCAAAATAACTGATTTTCTGACTACATTATTCCTTCTGTATTTATTAGTTATCACTCCAAGGTAGATCTTTCATTTCTTTCCCTCTTATTTATTCATTCATTTATTTATTATACTGTGGAATCATGTATTCTCATTTTTATACAGTGGGTTAAAATCTGTTACTATAGGCTGGGCATAGCAGCTTAACACCTGTAATCCCAGCACTTTGGGAGGCTAATGTGGGAGGATTGTGTGAGGCCAGGAGTTGAAGACCAACCTGGGCAACATAATGAGGACCCATCTCCATGAAAAAAAAAGAAAAAAACAACAAAAAAAACCTGTTACTATATTTGCTTTGCTGCCTACATTGTCCTAAATTTGGCCAGTGGGAGCCCCTAGAAACCCCCTCCTGTACCCTTTTGACAGGGTCTGCTTTTTGTAAAGCACTTCCGTGCTTTCTGCATTAAAAGAAGTTACAGGTTTATCTTATATTTTTTGAATTTTATTGAATTTTAATGTAATTCTACTGTGGTCAAAGCATACTCTGAATATTTTCAGTCCTTTGAAATATGTAGAGGTTTACTTTGTTATCCAGCATACATTCAGTTTTATTAAATTTTCCATTAGCACATTGACAAGATTTGTATTCTGTCATTGTTGAGAGCAGTGTCCTTTATGTGTCAAATTACCTACATCCTTACTGAATTTTTTGGTCTGCTTATTCTGTCAGCCATTGGTGGAGGTGTGTTTAAGTCTGATTGTGGATTTGTCTGTGTTTCCTCTTCTGTCAGTTTTTGCTTTATGTGTAACTGGGTACATCCAGATTTAGCTTTGTTATCCATCTTTTTGGGCAGTTGACTTTTATGTCCTTTATAGTGATTTATTTATTTTTTCTGAATCCAGGATCCAATTCAGAATTACATATTGCATGTAATTGTCATGTCTCTTTAGTCTCCTTTAATCTGGAAAAATGTCAGGCTTTGCCTTTCATGACCCTACAAAATGTCTCTATTTGTAATGTTTCTTATTGATTTGATGTTAATTTCATTGCACCAGCTGTCTTGATTCATTTCTACATGTTATATCTTTGTCTACCTGTTTTTATTCTTTTGTTCTCATATTTTAGGTGTGTCTCTCATAATCAGCATTTCCTCTTATGGTTGCTTGGTGTTTGTTCATTCGTTCTTCTTCTTCCTTTTTTTTCTGGTAGCCGGGACTACAAGCACATGCCACCTAGCCTGGCTAATTTTTAAATTTTTCATAGAAGTGGAGTCTGGCTTTGTTCCCCAGGCTGGCCTCGAACTCCTGGCTTCAAGGGATCCTCCTGCTTCGGCCTCCAAGAGTGCTGGGATTACAGGCATGAGACACTGTGCCCAGTTGGTTGCTTTTTTTTTTAATCCATCCTCACAGTCTTAGATTTTGGAGTGTCTGGCCCATTTAAACTTAATGTTATTACTGTAACCACAAATATATTTGGTTCTTACTTTTTCTACCTGCTAATTTTCCTTTTTCATTCCTCTTGTCATCTTTTTATTAACCAAATATTTTTAAATATTCCACCTAATCCTATTAACTTGTTATATGTTCTTTTGTTGTAAGTAGTAAAGAGATTACAACATGCATGCTTAATTTTTTATAGTCTAATAAACTGATTAATTTATCACTCTCTTGATAATGCTAGGCCCTTAGAACAGTTTATCCCATTTACCTCTTCACCTTTTGTATTATTGTCCTTCACCTTAATTTTACATATATTTTAAAACCGCAAGATGTAATTATTATTGTTTTGTGTAATTAATCATATTTACTCACATATTTACCTTTTCCATTGCTTTTTATTTCCTGAATTTCTGTGTTTCTCTCTGGGATTATTTTCCTTCTACCTGAGTAACTCCTTTAGTATTTATTTTAGTGCCAGTCTGCTGGTGATGAATTCCCTCAGTTTTTGCTTGTTTGAAAATATATTTTATCACTTTCACTTCTGAATGATTTTTTTTTTTTTTTTTTTTTTTTTTTTTTTTTACCAGGAATTGAATTCCAGGTTGCCAGTTATTTCCTTTCAGCACTTTTAGGATTCTATTGCTTTCTGATTTCCACATTTTATCTTGAGAAGTCTGCTGCTAGGGTGCCATGACAAGCCAAAGCTAATATGAGTCAAACTCAGTGGGGAGGCAGAAAACAAAGGTCTTGTAAGGCAATGGAGCTGGCTAAGAGGAGTGGAGATGGGAGCCTACGTAGCCCTGGGGGAAGCGAGATGGAGAGGGCAGCTGCTTGGTGACTTCCTGTTTTTCACCAGGTTTCTGTGAGCATTATCTGTATGTTTTTCAGTAAATTCCATCTTACTTTGGGCTTGAGTAAATTTCTTTACTTTTAAATCAACAAATTTAAAAACAAAAACAAAAACCTTTTACCGGAAAATTTGACACATAATAGGCACTCAATAAATGGTAGTTGCTGCTGCTATTGTTATTTGGAGCCTAAAACAGAATAAAGAACTGATCCTTAGGATTTTCTAGTCATACCAGTGGAATGAGCCACATGTTTTAGGGAGCTCACTTGACATAAAGCAAAGTTATTACTTTGAATAATGGTTGCCATATAGTTGTGAGTGGACACACTGATAGTTAAAGTAGCTGCAAATGCATTTGTCTTATTTTATTTGTGGTATTTTCCTTCTTTGTTACTTCTAGACCCTTGCTAAAGGAGAAAATCTAGAAAACTTAGAGAAATATATAGTGATTAAATAAATAGGTAATAGTTAATGAGTATTAAAGCTCTTCTGCTTTCAGTATTAAAATATTGGATTTTTGGAAATGTTCTTAAATTGACAGAGTAAAAGAGTAATTACATGATTTTAAGGTAAATGAAAAACTTAACTTTTTTTTGATCCTTTGTATAGGTTCTCCAAGGACATAAAACTTTCCTGAATGATGCTTATAACTGGGAGTTTTTGATCTGGGAAACAGCTTTACTACTTTTTTTATTGCGTCTGGCCTC
Source organism: Homo sapiens (assembly GCF_000001405.40). NCBI lineage: Eukaryota > Metazoa > Chordata > Mammalia > Primates > Hominidae > Homo > Homo sapiens. Next base: position 113,700,851 of record NC_000001.11, on the reverse strand, counting down.
ACTGGGGTCTGAAACCAATAAGAAATACAGCAATGTTTCAATATTACTTACAGAACAGGTATTGATCAGTCCTGTCAATTGGGTTTAGTGGTTAGGGGTAGCGTAATACGCTGTAAGGTTCCTGCAGAGGATTCAGGGTTTAATCACTGTCTAGCTGTCACTTTCTAGCTACAGGACCTCACAAGTCAGTTTGCTGCTCTGTAGTTGCTTATCCCTAATAAAATGGATGTAATATCTCCTCCTGCTCTGTGAGAATTAAGATCTAATGGATTGAAAAGACTTTGTATACTATGGAGAGATTTTTATTGGTGGTAATGGAGCATGCTTTTAATCTCATATTCTATGTCAAGTATTAGATCTTTAGAGTACTTGTCATTTAGCATGTATAATAAGCTTCTTGAATTCTTCTGTATTAGACATAGAATACATTATTCAGTGTTTGGAAGATACTTGGTTTTCAGTATGTGAATAGACACTAAGATTGAGAAATATCTCTTGTAAATACAGAGTAGTATAAAGTTTTTTTAATTTTGTTTTTAATTTCAAGTTTTTCCATAAACTTTGAATAAAAACATTTATCATTCGTTTCTGTTTTTTTTTTGTCTTAGAATCGTAATGGAGAATTCTTCCTACAAGGCAAAATATAAGGAATTAGTAAAGTAAAAGGAGCTATCTTCTTCTGTTCCATAAATGTTTAATGAGGATGTTAGATTATCTAGGGGGATAGTGAGATGAATAAGATAGAGGTTTTGAACTCAAGGTGCTTACGTGCTAATTATGTTATGTTGCAAGTAATATTAAAATTTTTCATTGTTTTGATATTTAAATTGCTTCATCATTAATTTTTCATCACTAAATAGTTTTTCTTTGCCAGAGGGAGACTGATCAGGAATGGGGGCTAGAGCACATGACATATGTTCTCTGTAGCGATAGCTATTGGAATTTCAAAATTTATTTTACTTGAAAACATGACCTTTGAAATATGCCAGATTTTATGCAGTATATATATTTTTTTCCAAGAAATTTACCTTAATTTCTATTCCTTCCCTTAGATTAATTTATATCTTAAGATGGAAAAAAAGCCAAATAAGAAAGAACAGCTTACTCTAGTAAACAATGTATTAAAGCTGTCCACCAAGTTGTTGAAAGTAAGTCATAGGCTATGATACACTTTTACTATCATTTGAGTTAAATCAGTCTTTTCTCTAAGAAAACATTAAATGGCAGATGATACCTTGGGTTGGGAGGGGTCCTGGAAGTGGACTCTTCCACAGTGGCATCAGGGGTAGGGGTCACAGTGGTGGTTAGGACCAGAGCTGAGGTCACAGAGCTCCTGGAGGCAAGATTAAGGACAAAGAGTGGCTCCCCATCACCAAGTTGGGCCATCTGGTCAAGGACATGAAGATCAAGTCCCTGGAGGAGATCTGCCTCTTCTCTGTGCATCAAGGACCAGGTTCAAGGCATTTGTCACCATTGAGGACTACAACGGCTATGTTGGTCTGGGTGTTAGTGCTCCAAGGAGGTAGCCAGCACCATCCATGGGGCTATAATCATGGTCAAGCTCTTTATCCTCCCTGTGTGAGGAGACTACTGGGGGAACAAGATTAGCAAGCCTCACACTCACACTACCTACCCTTGCAAGGTGACTGGCAGCCTGCATCTCTGTGCTGGTGGCCTCATCCCTGCCTCCAGGGGCGTTGGTACTGTCTTGGCCCCTGTGCCCAGGAACCTGCTGCTGATGGTGGTTACCCACCACTGCTGCACTTTGACTGGGGACTGCGCTGCTACCCTGGCCAATTTTGCCAAGGGCACCTTTGATGCCATCTCCAAGACCTACAGCTATTTCACCCCCAACCTCTGGTAAGAGACATGTTCACCAAGTCTCCCTATCAGGAATTTAGTGACCATGGCCTAAAGACCCATACCAGACTCTCCATGTAGAGGACCCAAGCTCTAGCTATGGCCACCATGTGGTGGTTTTATACCAGAAAAATAAAGTGAGTTAACCTGTTTTAAATACATTAATTAATGTTTTACTTCTCAGAACCCAGTAAGAGATAGATGCTAGGCTGTGTAGATTCAAAATGCTGACCTGATGGTTTTGGGTTAATAACTACTGTGAAAAAATTTCCAATTTTGTTACCCAGGTTCTGATGATTGCTGATGTCTGTCATATTTTATATATGTGTGTATGTGTGTGTGTGTGTGTGTGTGTGTGTGTGTGTGTGTGTATATATATATATAAAACTACAAATGACATATTGCTCAAATCCACCTAAAAAAATCTTAGTTAGTAGAAAAGTAGGTGAGAACACGTTATGGATTTTTTGAAGGTAGCTCTTTGAATATTAAGGAAAGACAGCCTTAAGCATTCATCTATACCCAAGACAAAACACAGCAAGAAGTCACTGAGTAGCTATGAGAAAACATGTATCTCATTTCAATTCTTTGATGTTTTTTGTAGGAGCTGGACACACCATTTAGACTCTATGGACTGACAATGAATCCCTTAATCTACAATATCACAAGAGTAGTTATCCTTTCTGCTGTCTCAGGTGTTATAAGTGATCTTCTAGGATTTAATATAAGAGTAAGTATCACCACCACTCTGTAGCATCCTAGTCTTAAAAATTACTATGTACAGAAATCTGTGTTCTTCACACGTGTGTGTGTGTGTGTGTGTGTGTGTGTGTGTGTGTTTCTAGCATGCAAATAACTCTTGAGGTAAAGAAATAGGCATTTTGATTGGTGGTCCACAGGCTTTTCAGCTTCAGTTTTCTCATTTTACACAAATATAACAGACAGTGCTCTTGAATGGAACAAAAAAAATCAAGTTTGAATTTCATATCAGTTTAATAGCCTGAGCTGGGTAATGGTCTTACTCTGATCCTGGGGAATGTACAGATGTAGAATGAATGAAAACCAGTACATGAACTGCATTGTATTATTTTTGATCCTGGAAGTTTTAAATGTTTTTTCTCTATGATGTTCTATGGTTGCTATTGCCAGACTTGATACATTTTCTTCTTTTATAAAGGATTCTTAGTTTATAGTCATGTAAGTGTACCTATAAATCCCACCTGGTTTTCCTAGAACTAACTTATTTTGGTGATTTTGTTCTCTTAGCTGTGGAAAATTAAATCATAAGCTGAGTAAATGCCTGGACTCTCCCCTGGCTGGTATCAAAACTTACCTATCAAGGAAAGTGATGACTGCAGAAACCAGTGAGATACCCACCTGCTTGTTCACATGCACAGGTGCTCTCAGCTCTGCCAAAGCGAATGAATGGTGTTTCCGGAGGAGCAAGTCCTTTTCCAACTGGGTGTGCATGCTAAAAACCTGTATTTTCATGCTTTTCAAACAACATGAATAGTCAGCTGACTAAAGACTGTGTGTGTTGTGGTAACACAAAGACAATTTTGTAAGTTTGCGCTTCAGTACTGTGACAGTTATGTTTACTGGACATAGTCTTTTGGGCAACTATGATAGATGCCCAAAGCATGAAGCAAATATCTTTTATTGGAAATATGCAAATTCAATACTTTTCCATTATAGTCTATAGAACTGGAGATTTCATTTCTCTATCAAAGAGAGATCAAGCGAACTATTTTAGGTTAAATCCGAATAAAAGAACTTTACTGGAGACTTTCAGTTTCTAGGTTTTCTTTGTTGTTGAAGGAAGAAAATTAACTTTTAAACTGTGAGTTTCTGTTAAACTGTGGAGAAATGTTTTGTTCGTTTACGATTTTGGGTTAATAACTGTATAGTTGTTGGCAAACGATGCATGCATACAATATGCCATGTAATTCAGCATGAAAAATTTAAGTATATGCCTACTCATCCATTTCCATCATACAACATGGTTTCCACGTTCTATGTGGAAGCCATGGAAGCATTGTTTCCATATAGATCATCTGAGTTGTGGTTCCTAACACAGTGCTATGTGTCCTATCACAAGCATCATTGATAGTTTATCAGTTGTGCAACTTAATGTATTAAACCCTCCGTACATTTTCAGGTCCTCAGTGTCTATAATCGGCCATGCCATGCCTCTGATGATACAGGTTCTGTAATGCAGCATCCTGTTATACACATGCATATACATATGTTAATGAAAGCTCTAATAGTCTACTTATAATTCTTGCTCATTAAGTTACCTGCTTTGAAGAATCTCTCTTTTTTTTTTTTTTTTTTTTTTTTTTGAGGCAGAGTCTCACTTTGTTGCCCAGGCTAGAGTGCAGTGGCACCATCTTGGCTCACTGCAACCTCTGCCTCCTGGGTTCAAGTGATTCTCCTGCCTCAGCCTCCCGAGTAGCTGGGATTACAGGTGCCCGCCACCACACCTGGCTAATTTGCAAGAATCTCTTTGAGGCAAATTGAAAGCTTGAACATTTTAATGATAAGGTTTTGTGAAGTTTTAAATAAACATAATTTAGAAACTTGGTTATTACATGTAAAGCATGTATTCATTTAAAATCAGAGGATCAGTTGCACATTTTCTAATAAGCAGGAATATTTGTGAGGTTTAGAGGTGGATCTCTGAAGAGTCCAGGGATTGAGGTCAGACCTTTCTGGGTTCAAATCTTTGGCCCTGCCACATATTAGCTCTTTGTATATCAATTTTCTCACTTGTTAACCCATTTATGGGGATAATAACTACAAGTGGGGATAATAACTACATAATAAGGTTGTTAAGATTAAATGAGGTTGTCATGTAAGGTACTTGCACAGTGTAAAGTATTTAGTACTCAGCAAATCTACAATAAATGTGTTACTACTATTTAAAGTCCTTAAAAAAAATCTCACTGATAATTCCTAACTGTGAAGATAGAAACATGGAAAGCAAGGTTGCTGAACTAGAAGTTGATTACCAAAAATATGCAGCCTTTTATACATGAGTTATAATTTTTTAAATGGCAAAACTCCATTATAGTGATAAACCTTTAGAAGGCAGTGTTCTGTAGAAGCACTTCAGCATCTCAACAGATGGTTCATAGAAACCATGCTTTTACTGTTTCCATAGGGAACAGTAGCAGTGATCTCAAATCCAAAATTGAGCTCACTGCAGATTTCAAATGAAAACTGATGCCTTCATCTTTTTCTTCTACAAAAATGCTGTTCTATTTTTATGTACAACTTTTACACAGTTAATTCTTAGTTTAAAAGCAGTGTTTAGAGTATATTAATTCAATTGTGTGGATTGCTTCAGTTGTGGTTTTGATGGTGTATATTGGTTTAAATTATTTTTCAGGTGGGTAAAATTATGTGTAAGTATAGTTAATCATATCAGAAACTTAGGAATGATTCTTGACTCATTTTTCTTCCTCATACCTCACATCCAATCAATCACTGAGTCTTTGAATAATTATCTTCTAGATATCTTTCTCATCAGTCCACTCTTCTTCCTCCCCACTGCCACTGCTCTTATTTAAGTCAGCATCCTTTGTTTTTTGAGCAAGTTTCTGCTATCTCTGCTCTTATGTATGCTTGATTCCTCTTTCCCCCACACCTAACCCACTCATCTCAAAAATGTAATATGTCTTTTCTGAAATGTAAGTCTCATCATTTAGAATCCATCAGTGGCTTACTAGCACTTTGAAGATAAAAATCCAAAATCCTTTTAGCAAGGTGTGTAGGCCTACCCTATTGAGAAAGATTTTAAATCTTTATGTTTGAAAGATACTTTTGCTGGGTATAAAATTCTAGGTTTAAAGATGTGGTTGTGCTGTTACCTCCTGGGTTGTTGCATTGTTTCTGACAAGAAGTCTACAGTCACTCTAATCTTTGCTCCTCTGTATGTTAAGTGTCTTTTTTCTTTCTTTTTTTTTTTAAAAACTCTGGCTACTTTTAAGATTTTTCTTTTTACCATTGAATTTGTGCAATTCAATTATAGGGTACATTGGTTTAGCTTTCTTCATGTGTTCTGTGCTTGGGGTTTGTTGAACTTACTGGATCTGTGGGTTTGTAATCATATTTTTTATATGTAGTTTTCTATTTTCACATACAGTTTGGAAAAATTTTTGCTATTCCTTAAAATAAATTTTCTATAGTCTACTCTTACTTCTTCCTTCTGGGACTCAAATTTACATGTATATTAGACTGCTTGAAGTTGTTCCTCAACTCATTGATGCTTTATATGTTTTTCCAACCTTTTCTTTGTTTTAATTTTGGATGGTTTCTTTTGCTGTGCCTTCAAGTTTGCTTTTTTTGCACTAATTTGCTATTGATCCCATCCTATACATTTTTCATCTCTAGAAGTTTGATTTTGGTCTTTTTTATATCTTCCATGTCTATCTTTAACATGAGTATTCTTTTCTCTACCTCATTTAACATAATACATTTATAATAGGAATAGTATATAAAGATATTAAAACAGTTATTGGGGTCATTTTCCCCCCTCATTTTGGGTCATTGTACTGCTGTTTTGCATGCCTGGTAATTTTTTATTGGCTATGAATTTTATGCTGTTGGTTTTTGTGTGTATGTGTGTATTCTTGGTAGTCTTTTAAATATTCTTGAGAGCTTTGTTTTGGAACACTGTAAAGTTATTGGAAACAGTCTGATTATTTCAAGGCTTGCTTTTAAGCTTTGCTAGGTGGGCAAGAGCAGCCTTTAGTTTTTCTCTATTTACTGAAGCAATATCCTTCTGAGTACTCTACCTGATGCTCTGTTCATTATGAGGTTTTTTCTTTGGCTGTAGTAGCATGAACTATTCCCAGACTTGTGTGAACTTTGGAATTTTTCTGCCTGCTTCTTGGAGGTTCTTAACCTGTTCTTGGGTATTCCCTCACATGCTTGTGCTGATCAATATTCAGCCAAAGACTTGAAAGGAGCCCTCTGCATGTCTCTGGAGCCCCTCCCTTTCTGTGCAGCTGCATTCTCTCTGGTACTCCTACCTAAAATTCTAGACCCCAGGCCTTCCCCAAATTCTCAATTCTGTCTCCTCAACTCAGCAAGACTGCTTGGTTCTTTTTGGATTCTCCCTTCTTGCACCACAGCCTAGAAACTGCCTCCTTGTAAAACTGCCTGTATGCAATAATCTTGGAGCAATCATGGGACTCACCTTGTTTAATTCTACTGTCCTGTGCTGCCTGGTGTCTATATCTAAAATCCATTTTTTTTCATATTTTTAAAATTGTTTTTCAGTTGTTTGTAAGTTGAAGAGTAAAACAACTCTTCCTTACCTTAGTAAATGAGTTTCTCCAATTGCTCAGGCTGAAAGCTCCATATCTAATCTACTACCATGTCATGCCAGTTCTACATTTCCACAGCTACTAGGTTAAACCTCCTTCACTCTCACTTGGACTACTGTGTGACCCACTGGTCTGTTTCCATTCTTGTCTCCTACAGTTGGTTTTTCATAGCCACATGAATGAGCCTCAAAATTTGGAAACTAACATTGTTCCTACTTAAACCTTTCCTAGCTTTCTCTTTGGTGGCTTCCAAGGCCCTTCATTATCATGCTTACCTTGCCTTCCAGCTTCACCTCCTTTACTTTACAGCCTCACTCCTTTACCTCACTACCACACTGACCTCCCTCTGCTCTTCTATTATTCCAGGTTCTTTCTCATATCAGGCTTGTGCAAGCTTGTTTCATCTGCCTGGAATATATTTTCTTAGGTTCATCTCTGGCTGGCTGCTGCTTATCTCTCAGCTGTCAGCTGTCAGTTCCTTAGAGGGCCTTCTCTGATGACCCTAGTTAAAGTAGTTACCCATTTTATCCATTATCAGTTATATCGCCTTATTGATTTCCTTCATGGCACTTACCACAATTTTATCGTGTTTATTTTTTGACTGTCTGTCGTTTCCTTTCCCGCTACAGTGTAAGTCCCTTGAAGGCAGAGACTTCTTCTTGTCCCCAGAACATATAATAGGTGTTCAATAAAAATGTGTTGAATGAAGAATAGACCTCAAGTAATTTACCATTTGTGTAGTTTTTTTTTCTGTTAGGATAGAAGGGTCATACATTTGATTCTTGAGCAATGCAGGGGTTAGGGGCACTATCCTCCTTTCCTGTAAAAAATTCATGTGTAACTCTGATGCCCCCAAAACTTAATAGCTTACAGTTGACTGGGAGTCTTGCCAGTAACACAAACAATCAACACATTTTGTATGTTATTTGTATTATATACTGTATTCTTAAAGTGAGCTAGACAAAAGACAAATGTTATAAAGAAAATCCTAAGAAAGAGAAAGCATATTTTCCATTCATTAAGGAGAAGTGGATCATCATAAAAGTCTTCCTCTTTGTCATCTTCACATTGAGTAGACTGAGGAGGAAGAGGAGCGGTTGGTCTTGCTGAGTCAGGGGTGGCACAGGTGGAAGGGGAAGCACAAGAGGCAGTCACACTTGATCTAACTTTACAGAAATACATTGTAATTGGACTTTTTGCTTTTTTCATTTCTCTAAAAATGTTTCTATATGGTACCAATCGTTCTTCTACTGTTTGCTTTAGTTTCAGTGTCCATATCATAGAAGAGTCCATGTTGTAAAAGAAGTCAAAAGCAGCCTTGAATAATTGGAACCCTTCTGCCAGATTGTCTTACATCATCTTGTTCTTTGGCATTGCTTCTAAGTTTTCTTCCTCATCATCTTGCACTGATTTGGAAGCACTCGTCTCCATCAACAAGTCATCTGTTAATTCCTATGGTGTGGGGTTTATTAGCTCCTGAATTTCTCTTGAAACCCTTCACACCCCACTTTTTTTGCCACATCCACAATCTCTTTCATGATTTCCTTGATTGACTCTTTTGTAAATCCTATGAAGTTATGCACAACATCTGCACAGGTTTCTCCAGCCAGAATTTATTGTTTTGGGCTTGTTGGCTTTCACAGCTTTTTCTGTAACAATGATGGCATTTTCAGTGGCATGGCATAATCATTCCTTCCAGACTTTCATAATGTTCTCTCTTGGGGTTCTCTTTCACAGTATTGACAGTCCTTTCCAGAGTACTGTGTGTAATGGATCTAAAAAGTCCTTATGACCCCCTTATTCCTGAATTAAAGATGTTGTGTTTGGGAGCACAGAGACCACTTCATCGCTTTGGTGTTGAATTTATGGGGTTTTAGGTGGCCAGGGGCATTGTCCAGTATCAAAAGAACTTTCAAAGGTAGTGTCTTACTAGCAAGGTACTTCCTGACTTTAGGGACAAAGCATTGACAGAACCAATCCAGAAAAAGGGTTCTCATTGTCTAGGACTTCTTGGTATACAACCAAAAGACTGTCAGCTGGTGTTTTTTTTTCTTCTTCTTCTTCAAGGCTTGGGGGTTAGCAGGTTTACAGATATGTGTAGTCCTGATCGTAAACACAACTGCATTTGCACAGTATTAGCTTATCCTTTCCTGCCTAAATCATGGTGCTTGCTTCTCTTTCTAATAAATTTCCTTTGTGGCATTATTTCCCAGAATAGGCACTTTCTTCTGCATTAAAAACCTGTTAAGGCAGATATCTTTTCTTCTCAGTTATCTTCTGAATGGCATCTGTGAACTCGTCTGCTGCTTCTTCATCAGCAAATCTACTTTCCTTTTGCTTTGTCATATAACTTTGCTTTTTCTTGAATCACATTGGAATCTATAGATATGCCTTAGAGCACTCCCATACCCACATGAAGCTGCATTTTAAATGCAAGTTAAAAGCTATTTCACAAAAAGTGCAAGGTTTTCATGCCTGGTGGCATAACTGCAGCAAAAGCTTCATGAGTTTTTCTTTTCTTTCCTCCCTCCCTCCCTCCCTCCCTCCCTCCCTCCCTCCCTCCCTTCCTTCCGTCCTTCTTTCTTCTCTTTCCTTCTTTCTTTTACAATGGTCCTTATGCTGGACTCATTTATCTTGAAATGGTGGGCAACCACAGACCCCAATCTATGGTATCAAGCAACTCAACTTTTTCTTGTAATGTCATGACTCTTCTGTGCTTCTTGGGAGCACTTCTATGACTGGTGGTGCTTCATATGGGTCCTGCAGTTTTTATGTCCTCAAGGTTTACAGTATTGCACTAACCATGAAAAATATGCAAGAACCGCAAGGGATCACTTTTTACTGTGATCCACGGTTTATGGAGAGATGAACTGCTCACACAGAGATGATTAGCATCACATGGTGTTTTAAACAGATCTTTTGACACTTGAGTTCACCACAATAGCAACAGGAGGTAACTACAAAATAATTATAGTAGCTCAGTATGTACTACAGTTAATTTTATGCAGTTATGATTTAATACTGTATCTTTGTTTACATTTCTCTCAACCGTGAATGGTGCCATGTACAGTTTGTTTGTATGTTTTTATAAATTTTAACTTTTTATAATAGATTTGTGTGTATTTTATAGTAAATGATAAAATAGGCTAGTATCTATATAACTTTTTAATTTTTCTATATTTCTAGGCTACATGGTTTGTTTTTTCAAATTGCCACAAATCTCAAAAAAATTTTCCAATATACTTACAGAAAAAGGCCTGTATATAAGTGGACCCACACCATTCAAACCCATGTTGTTCAAGGATCAACTGTAATTTCATGGTTCTCCCACCTTCAGTGCCTCATTTATCCCTGTATAATAATTTCTAGGAACTTGGGCTTTTGTTTTGATTTCAAAAAAGGAATGAGATTTTGGTGATAATTACTTGTTACTGAGAAATTAAACCAAGATGTAAAAACAATTAGATTAGGCCATTCATACATTTAGTTGGAATAGTAATAACCATAGAAGGGTAAGAAAAATACCTGTTGACTTAATTTTATAATCTGCAGTTATATTGGGAAAAATTATCTCTCCTAAAGTTGCTGTGGGTGTATAATATACCACAGGGGTCCCCAGCCACCCACACCCACGCTGAACAGCAGGAGGTGAGCTGCAGGTGAGAGTGAAGCTTCATCTGTATTTACAGCTGCTCACACTGCTTGCATTACTGCCTGAGCTCCACCTCTGTCAGGTCACCTCTGTCAGGTCAGCAGCAGCATTGGATTCTTAGAGGAGCGTGAACCCTGTTGTGGACTGTGCATGCGAGGATCTAGGTCGTGTGCTCCTTATGAGAATCTAATGCCTGATGATCTGTCACTGTCTCCCGTCACTTCCAGATGGGACGTCTAGTTGCAAGAAAACAAGCTTGGGGCTCCCACTGATTCTACATTATGGTGAGTTGTATAATTATTTCATTATATATTACAATGAAATAATAAAGTGCACAGTAAATGTAATGCACTTGAATCATCCTGAAACCACCCCCTCCCTGCATCCCTTCTCCCTGCCCCCAGGTCCGTGGAAAAATTGCCTTCCATGAAATCAGTCTCTGGTGCCAAAAAGGTTGGGGACTGCTGATCTACAGACTTTCTAAATATGTACAATATGGCCCATGTATAATATAAACACTTTGAGAAGTTGAATAACCAAATACTTGCCTCATTGGAGTATGGTTCTGACTTTCAGAGACAGGTAGAAAAATTCTAAATACCAGGATGTCTCACAAAGTATAGTTTGTTTTTATTTTAGGTTCATTTTATTTAGAGGCAAGTGGACCTATGCAGTTTAAAAATAATCTTTCAAATTAATGAAATTTATGTGTGAAAACTTTTAGATCTACACACTCATAATAGGCTAGATGAGTCTCTCTTCCAAATACAGTGTGTCACTTGGGAGTTAATTCATTAAACCTAATCTATTCATGTACTGGCTAGTTTAGTAATCCTTTGCTCCCTGCTGTTATTGGGGCCCATGTTGAATAGTGAAGTGTGAGTTTCACAAATGTGCAATAATTCTATACCTTTCCTGCAGCATATCCTGAGCCTATAAGGTATAATAGGGTATTACTCTAGTTAATAAATGGTTGTCTTTTATTTTTCTATTTTTTTTTTTTTTAATTTTTTTGAGATGGAGTCTCGCTCTGTCACCCAAGCTGGAGTGCAGTGGTGCGATCTTGGCTCATTGCAACTTCTGCCTCCCAGGTTCAAGTAATTCCCCTGCCTCAGCCTCTTGAGTAGCTGGGACTACAGGCGCGTGCAACCACGCCTGGCTAATTTTTTGTATTTTCAGTAGATACGGGATTTCACTGTGTTAGCCAGGATGGTCTCGATCTCCTGACCTCGTGATCCACCTGCCTCGGCCTCCCAAAGTGTTGGGAATACACGCGTGAGCCACTGTGCCCAGCCGATTATCTTTTATTAAGGACAAAATATGTCTCTTGATTTGTGTATTTGCTAATAGTTAGGCTTGACTTGAATGCAGTATTGCAAAATACCCACAGGATTATTTGTCAAGATATAGGTTTAGGCTAAATTAAAGCTCTTGGCTATGTTTTCCTATTTTAATGTATACATAAGAAAGATTCAGAGTTTTCTATTAAATAGAATTTTTTTTTTTTTTTTTTGAGACAGTTCTTGCTCTGTCGCCAGGCTGGAGTGCAGTGGCATGATCTCAGCTCCCTGCAACCTCCGCCTCCTAGGTTCAAGCGATTCCCCTGCCTCAGCCTCCCAAGTAGCTGAGATTATAGGCATGCGCCACCACACCCAGCTATTTTTTTGTATTTTAGTAGAAATGGGTTTCACCATGTTGGCTAAGATGGTCTTGATCTCCTGACCTCCTGATCCACCTGCCTTGGCCTCCCAAAGTGCTGGAATTACAGGCGTGAGTCACCGCGCCCAGCCAGAATTCTAACTCCTTATAAGCCTTCATACTCCCTTATTATACTACTTAAAAAAAAATTTTTTTTTTTTTGGCTGGGCACAGTGGCTCACACCTGTAACCCCTGCACTTTGGGAAGCTGAGGTGGGCAGATCACCTGAGATCAGGGGTTTGAGACCAGCCTGGCCAACATGGTGAAACCCCATCTCTACCAAGAAGTACAAAAATTAGCTGGGTGTGGTAGTGTGCGCCTGTAGTCCTAGCTACTGGGGAGGCTGAGGTGGGAGAACTGCTTGAACCCAGGAGGCAGAGGTTGCAGTGAGCCAAGATCGTGCCACTGCACTCCAGCCTGGGTGGCAGAGTGAGACCCCATCTCAAGGGGAAAAAAAAGAAAAAGATTTATTTTTGAGATGGGGGTCTCACTGTGTCATCCAGGCTGGACTCAAACTCCTGGGCACAAGTGATCCTCCCAGCTCAGCCTCCTGAGTAGTTTGGACTACAGGTGTCTACTACCATGCCTGGCTTTATAATTCTTAAGGCTACTTGCCTAGCAATGTTGAAAAAATATCCAACTTAGTTGATATATTAAGTTAATTCAGCTAGCTAAAAGCAAAGATTATAGATTCCATGTAATAATGACATGCTTTAAACAAGTCATATTCCCGATAAACTCTAATAGAACCAGAAAAGAGCCACCCGAATAAATAAATGTTATTGTTTCAAAGCACAAATAGTTTTTAGGCCTTGGAGCATGCCATGATGATGTAAAAACTTGCTCTGATGTATTCCTCATACCAGACTGAAATGTCACATTTTGTAACAAGTTTATTTATATCAATGTTCCTTAGCTCCACTGTGGACTAAGCTTCAACTTAAATACAGCTTTCTGGAAGTCATTAGTGAGACTGTTTGTTTTATACAGTTTAATCTGAATACTCCTTGCCTTATAAATCCTTACTCTTTGAATGGTGGACATATTAAACATAAAATAATTCTTTGTCTACATGTTTAAAAGCATTTGGTTTTACTTCTACATGATTACATTTATTTCTCTTTTAAATCTTGCTATTAAAAAGGGAAGTAACAAGGTATTCTCATGTAGAATAAAAAGCCAAGTGCCTTTCTGGATCCAAGACTTCTGAAATAAGAGTTGTTCCTGTTCAAAAGCTGCCTGGTCCAAGACTGATGTAACTAAAGACAATATCATAGGATCTTAGCCTTCTAATCTCACTAGGGAGACAATGTAATAATATCTCAAAGCTTTTCTCCCTGTTGTGACCAGTAAGAAAATATGTTCACTAAAACAACAAAACGATTTTACTGCCTGTTTGTTTCTGCAGCCTCTGCTATGGCACATCTTCACTGTGGGGTCTGGGAACTAACTAGAAGTTTGGGTATACTTTTTTTTTTTTTTTGAGATGGAGTCTCATCATCTGTCAGCCAGACTGGAGTGCAGTGGTGTGATGTCAGCTCACTGCAACCTCCGCCTCCCGGGTTCAAGCGATTCTCCTGTCTCAGCCTCCTGAGTAGCTGGGATTACAGGCACCTGCCGCCATGCCTGGCTAATTTTTGTATTTTTAGTAGAGACAGACAGGGTTTCACCATGTTGGCCAGGCTGGTCTCGAACTTCTGACCTCAAATGATCTGCCTGCATTGGCCTCCCAAAGTGTTGGGATTACAGGCATGAGCCACTGTGCCCGACCGTGGGTTTATTTTTAGTATGCGTTCTTGCAATGGTAAGTGGGAATTTATATTTCACCTTAAAAGAGTATAAAATTAACCGTGGTCTTGAAGTAGGTTTTAGGCACTTTTCATACCGAGTTAAGTCAAAACATTCTAAAAGTAAGTATAAAACTAAATAAATAAATGATCTTTAAAGATAATGTGAATCATTAGTCTGATGAAATGGGATTTTGTGACCTTGTAGTAACTGGACTGATATTACTATATCCATTATAAATGTCTAGTAGCTGAATTTCCAATGAGAAACTCCTCTTCTCTCCCCAACAGTGTTAAGAAAGGATTTTCAGTAGCAAATTATTTATCCAAAGCTATTTTCTTTACAATGAAAGATGAAAAATGGTTATAATGATATTCAACTCTAAAGAATTTCAAACTCTATTTATAAATAAATAAAAGTATACCTATAGAGGTAAAATCATTATTATAAGACTCTTCCTGATTTTAGGACTTTGAAAGTTTGTTACTTGGAGGGACAAAATCTATTTGAGGACTCAGACTATGATGGGACCTAGCTCCACCATTAGAAAGCAACATTAAACCAATGTGACAGTAAAAGAAATGCAGGCCATAAACTGTTTTTTTTAAATATCTATATAAAAAATAATGAGCAATTTACAGATCTTTCTCTAATCAGAACCTCAAGTGTATATATAAAGGTACTGTACAATATATAAACATTTACAACCAGTACATCCACATTTTGCTCAGCATTCCAAGGCCACATTGCTAAGTCAGTATATAATCAGTACAGAGTTTACTTAGGAAGAACCACATAGGACAACATATGACATCAAAGTTATGTCACAGTTAACAAAAATAGGATTCGTTATCACTAATTGTGGACTACAGGGAAAATAATAAATAATTTCTGTGGTACTAAATTCTTAGTATTTATCAAGCCTCCTAATTTTGCTCTATTTGAATAGTTACAATAGGTGGGTAAATATAGTTCTGGATGAAAAGGGGATTTCAAAAATCTCACTCTGGGAAGCATGTCTTATCTACAGGGGCTAATTGAGTTGTTGGGTTAAAGAGTTTCACAGTCAGACTCCCAGAGGGAAGGACCTGGACCTAATGTGCTTCACAACAAGATGAACCCAGGTGACAGAACAAGTGTGTTCACACACTCCATAAAATAGTTTTATTCTCAGAAGGTGCCTTTATTTATATAGATGCTACTGAATGCTGCTTCAGGGAACTGAAAAACCTGGATCTATTTTATGGAAGTTGTTAACAGTCTCCAACTTCTAAGAAACATCTTTAACTAGACTTTTAAAAAGAATTCTGAAAATGTGTACAAGTTAAGCAGATGTTTAGTCTCCCTTTCTTGTTTTTAAATAAGAAAGTTAGTTAATGTAGCTAAAAGTTAAATAAGATCCAGTAAGTACTGTCTACACATTTGTCCTCATTTGCTGGGCATACCCTACACAGGTTGTTTTTAAACACCCAAGCTTGTGCACCTGCTACCAGAAGAGTTGGTACTTGGACTGTGAAACTGGTTTCATGATTAAGTCCCTCACATAATCTATATAATATGTTTACTTTTCAAATATGTATTATGTATTAAAGACTAATGACTTTAGTAGTAGGTACAGCCAAAATATCCAGAAATAGTTGGTGGTTTTTCTTCAAAGAGCAATAAACACTATTTCCACATGCTTCTTTATGGTTTCATAATTAAATAACTGAAATAAAAAGGGTGACCTGAGATGCTGTAAGTATACATCGAGGTTGGATAACACAGCAGGAGATGAACTCTATTGCTTAAAGTACTTTCTTATTTCAAACATTCAATTGTAAGTAATATCTTTAACAGTTATTTGAAACAACTTATCCAGCCAAATTAAAATAAAAAGCCATAAGAAAGCATCAATATTGGACTACATTTTTTTTTTCCTTAAAGTAGTGATGTTTGGGGGTTTTATTTTTAAAGTGGGACATCATCAGTAGCTGTTAGAAGAGACAACGGCCATCTTTAACGATGAGTTAACAGTCTCTTCTTCTGCAAGGACTCACATATTTCTCTCTGTAAACATGCAACATGCTATTGAGATCATCAACTTCCAAGCCAAACCTAACTTTTTCATTACTGTGGAAACAGCTGAACAAAAAGGATAAAAACAGACATGATACAGTAGATAACTTGGCACAAATACAAAGTGAGTTGTGACCACATTGTTAATATCAACATATGTCATTTGTTCAGACACTCATGAAGACGAGCTGGGCAGCCTGAGCAGGGCGGGTCAGATGAGCATGTGGATGCAGCTCCTTCCTGAGAGCGAGGGAGGGCAGCCGGCCAGGGGGACAGTTGGTTCTTAGCAATCCTAAAGGCCCTTCATGCAGCCTAGGTAACTTGAGGCTCACATTAACATGTACTTATCTGTTTCAGAATATCTGAAAAAAAAAAAAAGGCTTTTTCTGGAAAAATGCTGCTGTAAGAAAAGATTACAACTTGTTTTTCTTTGTTTTATACTAAAGGTTACTGCCGTTTCTCAGCCATACCAATAGTGCCTGTGACTTTATTTCCACTTGGAACCTTCCAGGGCCCTGGAGTTATCAGTGTTTTCTTAACTGGAGAACTGCTTTCCGGTTTGAACCTTCCAGTCTCTTTGTTTTTGTCAGCTGCCTCTAGTTCTTTCCCTTTGTGATCTTCTGTTTTGTTTGAAACTACCTTCTCTTCAGGTTCTTGCTTCAGCCTCTTTTCTGATAGCTGGACATTTTCTCCTATTTTATCGTTACTAGAACTTGTTTCTCCTGTGGTTACTTTCTTTCCTTTTTCATTTTCAGATACTTCTTTACTTGTAGTCTTATTAGTCATTTTGGATGGAAGAGATTTCTCAACCATTCTTTTGATTTTTTTCTCTGGAGACCTTGTTCTGCTTTTTTCCAACTGATTCTGCTTTGCATCTTTCCTGATGACGTCTGATTTTTCCTTCCCATCTGGGATCTGCTCAGCATTACTGCCCGTATAGCCTGCTATTCTTCGACTCTTACCCTCTAATAATTTGGCCTCAGCATTTGATGGAGCTTTGCTTCCTTCAATTTTTTGCTGCTTTTTTGGGCTGGCCGACCGACCTCTGCTTTTTCTGCACTGATCTTGTCCAGAGCCTGCCCTGGTGCTGACCTGACAACTTTTATTTTCCCCTTTGCTGGGGCTGAGGGATTGATCTCTGGGTCTTCTTTTGGGGTTATTTTTTAGAGGACTAGGAATCTTATCCAAATGTTCCTCTGAATGTTGACTGGCTGGCTTTTTGGGACTAACCGATCTACCTCTTCGTGTAACACCATTTTCTACTTTTAATAGATTTTTCTTGTTACTGTGCCCATGACTGCTGGGTGGATCCCTCTTACTCACATTTTTCTGGAGAAGAGACTGATGCTTTATCTCAGGCTGATTTTCATTTAAAGTGCTTTTCTTTTCAGGCACAATGTCCTTTAATTCTTCTGCCTTTTCACATATCTGAACTCTCAAAGATTCTTCAATTACTGGCACGTGAGACTCTTCAAATATGGAAGCAAAATGTGAAGATGGGGGTAATGGTGACTGTTCATCATAAATCACATTTGAAGACGAAGGATTATTAATATCCCAATCACCTAAAAAAGTGATTTGAATGGAACATTATTAAATTTTAGAATTACAAATAGGAACAATACGTTTTGAACTTTGACAGCCATTTGAATTGTCGTAACTGCTTAAAAAGCCTGAGTATTTTATACAGTTTGTATATGTTTACAACATATCTCTCTATAAAGGCGGATGTGTACAGACATCTGTTCATACATGAAGGATGGGTTGTTTATATACACAAAATAATATTCATTTTTTCCAATTACATATAATTAGTGAGATAATATATGATCTGTAAATTCTCTATTAGTAAAGCCCAATTAGAACTTACAAGTTATAAAGCTGAACCAAATTACGTGGCCCAAGAAGCTCACTAATTATTATGAATTGATACAGTTTAGGATATGGCAAAATCACTAATTAATAAAGGAAACCAAACTGTGGTAACCAGAATGAGGCTCATGGGCATTTGTAATAATTCTCTTGCATTAAGCTGTCAAATTTAATGTCAAAAGAAGACTGAAAAGTGCAGAAGATAGAAATAGATGTATTTAATAGCATCATTTTTAATTTAAAAGAAAACAAAAGAAGAAAGTGATTTACAAGACATGCAAATTTACCAAGTCTTTTTAAGGAAAGACCAAGAAAAGCCCTGAAAGCCTTAATGTTGCTCGGGTTTCACGTAGGAGCACAGACCGGAAGGAGCCAAACCTGAAGAGGGAAGAGAAAAAGCCTAGGACTATGTGAAAAAAAAAAAAAAAATCAGTGCAGTTAGCAAAGATGTCACTGGGAACATATGATTTACAAGCAGATGGTGGAAGATAATACAGTCAGAGAATCATAAGCTGGAAGGGTACTGTAGGAGGTTATGTCTACACTTATCCCTCAAAAGCGGTGGGGTGGGGTGGGGTAGGGCAGGAGGTGGGGAGCTAGATGAGGCAAGTACTGCGTGGGTGTGGTACTGCCTTTATTTCTAGAATAGTGCACTCAAAAAACAGTGACTTTCAAATACCATGATATTTCAAAACATGCCATGGAAACCCAGGAAGTTTAACATTAATACAGGACAGAAATGGTCTCAGGTCCAACTCCCTGTCTCCAGGTAGGGTGATAGCAACTTGTTTTTGCCGAGTCACCAGAAAAGCCTAAGTTTTCATGCTGCGCATTCATTATAATATAAACTTATCTTGCTTTACAGAAATAAAAATATTGGTTGGTAATGTGTAATTAGCTAAGTAAGAGAAAAAGCTGGGATATTTTGAAGAGATTTAAAACATTTTTTATGGTATTTAAATTGTTTGCCTCTAATACACTTTTTTAATAGGTACATTTCTCTACAAAAACAACTATATGTTTTTTCTGATTAAATTTAAAATACATTCCATTCCAACGAAAGTCCTGCCTAAGTCACTTGTTTTCTAATACTATTTATGATAACTCTGCTATGTAACTAGCTTTTCATGGTTCTAGCATTCACCTCTGAATTAACTAGTAAAATATCTATCCTCTCCAAATATATATTCCTTTTTCTTCTGTCCCCTCCCTAATATACAACTTTTCAGCTACTAGTGGGCTACTTTACTTACCATGGTCAGGTATCAAGCCAGTTCCTGGCCTCAAAAGAAGAAGAACTTTATTTCCACCAGCCTGAATGAGCTCAATTGCTCGAGTATGTGTGATTCCTTGTGTAGGTTCCCCATTGATTTCAACAATCTGGTCACCAACCTAGACAGAGAACATTCACAGGAACAACATGAAACTATGCATCCTTTGTAAATTCTGCTTTTGTCAGCTCTTGAGCCATTCAACCTTGCTAAGTGATTCTTTCGTTTGTAAAATACCTAACGTGTACCCAGTACTGCCATGTGAGAGTTGATGAGAGGACAGATGACAACAAACAACAGGAAGTGGCAATGTTCAGGTTTACTCACAAAAATCCTACACAGGAAAGTTTTATATGGCTACTAACTAAGATCTGGACATCTTGAAATCAAGAATCAAATTCTAGAATCAGATTTGGAATTTTCTAAATTTATAGAAATCAAATTTAGAATGTTAATCAAATTCTAGAATTTGGTTCTTGATTTGAAGATGCCCAGATCTTTAATAGCCATATAAAACTTTCCTGTGTAGGATTTTTTGTTTGTTTGTTTTGTTTTGCTTTTTGAGACGGAGTCTTGCTCTGTCGCCCAGGCTGGAGTGCAGTGGCGAGACCTCGGCTCACTGCAAGCTCCGCCTCCTGGGTTCACGCCATTCTACTACCTCAGCCTCCCGAGTAGTTGGGACTACAGGCGCCCGCCACCACGCCCGGCTAATTTTTTGTATTTTTAGTAGAGATGGGGTTTCACCGTGTTAGCCAGGATGGTCTCGATCTCCTGACCTCGTGATCCGCCCGCCTCAGCCTCCTAAAGTGCTGGGATTACAGGCGTGAGCCACCGCGCCCGGCCCTGTGTAGGATTTTCATAAGTAAACCTGGGCACTTGCTGTGTAGGGTTTTTATGCGTGAGTAAACCTGGACATTGTCTCTTCCTGTTGCTGCCATCTGTCCTCTTATCAACTCTCGCAGGAGAGCACTGGGTACATGTTAGACATTTTACAAACAACAATCCAAATGATACTACAGAGCTATGTCCGAATGTGAAGGGTACTTTCAAACTTGAGCTGAATTTTAAATATATCTCCTAAAACCTGGGCAGAGGGCTCTTATCTTTGAAGCCTTTCCTGGCCTCCAGGGAGAACTGCTCATTCCTTTGAACTGCTGCTATGTCCTGTACATACATGAGGTATTTGAATAAATGACATCTTTATAGATTAAAATTCTTAAAAACTTAAACTTGGAGAATAGATTAATATGAACACTTATTTAAAACCAGTAACTGGCATAAACTTAGTGATGTTAGTGTAAAATCATTTCTCAGGGCCAGGGATGGTGGCTCACACCTGTAATCCCAGCTCTCTGGGAGGCTGAGGCTGGTGGATCACCTGAGGTCGGGAGTTCGAGACCAGCCTGACCAACATGGAGAAACCCGGTCTCTACTAAAAATACAAAATTGGCCAGGTGTGGTGGCGCATGCCTGTAATCCCAGCTACTTGGGAGGCTGAGGCAAGAGAATTACTTGAACCTGGGAGGTGGAGGTTGCAATGAGCCGAGATTGCACCACTGCACTCCAGTCTGGGCAGCGAGCGAAACTCCGTCTCAAAAAAAAAAAAAAATCATTTTTCAGGAAAATAAACATAAAACTAGGGATCAGAATAAGATATACCTTAGTACCATTGTGATTTACTAGAAATGTCTGAGTTATTTTAAAAGAAAAAGGGAAAATATGTAAAAGTCAAGTATAACTTTGGAACAGACCTAATTAAACATAATGATGGTACTGATTTTAAATCTATTTCAAGCAAACACATGTTGATGAATGCTGCATTGGATAAAGAAAATGTGGTATATACACACCATAGAATACTATGCAGCCATAAAAAGAGCGAAATCATGTCCCCTTACAGCAACATGGATGGAGCTGGAGGCCATCATTATCCTAAGCAAACTAACGCAGAAACAGAAAACCAAATACCTCATGTTCTCAATTGTAATTGGGAGCTAAACACTGAGTACACATGGACACAAAGATGAGAACAACAGACACGGGAATACAAGATGGGGGGAGGGAAGGAGAGGGTCAAGGGCTAAAAAACTGCCTATTGGGTACTATGCCCACTACCTGGGAGATGGGAACTCATTCATATTCTAAGCCTCAGAATCATGCAATATACCTGTGTAACAAACCTGTACATGTGCCGCACTGAACTTATTAAAAAAAAGTTGAAAAAATATATTTCAAGGTGACATGTAAAATGAAGGATACTGGCTTCAAAACAGAAAAATTAGACAATGGCATATTACTGAAATTCCAAAAAGCAAATACTCAAATATTTGTAAGAGCTTACTAAAACAATCCAGAAGTTCCTTTGAGTTGAAGCTAGCTGCAAGGTGACTAAAGAATAGAAATAATAATAAGCCAATCCAGAAGTAACAAAACAGAAGGACTCAATATTTAACAAAGGTCAGTGGGCCAACTCTTTCTACAGATACAGCATGGCACAGGCGGTCAGGAGGCTGTGGTTCACATCTTGTGCTCCACCTCTTTCTAGTGTTGTGGTCTCATTTTTTTCATCTGTTAAATGAGGATAATATTAGTACCTATTTCGTGGGATTCTGGGAGGACTTAAGATAAAACATGATTATATACCAAGTGCAAATATTAGTTTTCAAGCTATTTTAAAGTGTATCATTACGAAGATTTAACTGTAGACTGCACTCCATTCTATACAATGCAAAAAAATTCAAGTCAACTATGAAATAGACTAAAGGTCTTATTGCATACTTATTTTAAACAAGGGAGGCTTACTCTTGAACAAATGGACAATATCAGAAACAAGATTGATGGATTTAATATGTAAGATGAAAACACCTTAATAAAACCAAAGTAAGACAGCAGGATGGAGAATAATTTAGAAACCCCTTACTATCCAGAATATATAAGTGAAACAAAAGCCAATACTTAGATTTCCCTTGATAAATGATGGAAGAAGAATCATTTTCATGAGGCAATGTAGGTAAGAAATTAGCACTAGATATATAATCTTGCTGATAAAGAAAATTAAAGTAGATAGTATTTGGACACTGCTTTGGGCATATCTTGTAAAACAGGTTTGAGGTTATAATTTATTTCAATCACATTCTTTAGCTTAAGCTCTCCAACCCAGAACACTTTTTATTCTTTTCCTGCAATAAACTGCAAAAAAAAAAAACAACAAAAACTTGTAATTGAACAGACTTGCCACCAGGTGTCATTTCTGTTTAACTTTAAAACTGAATGAGGGGAAGGAGGGGGAGCCATTGCTTTAAGATTTATGGTAGACAGGCCCTCAGAGTGGGAGAAATTCTGCAGAGACCTACATACACAAAACTACAGATGAAAAAGACTCTTCTGAGAGGGAAATTCAGAGGAGTAAATTCACCCAGTAAACATCCTTTTAACATTTTAAGTCACTTTAAAAATGTGATAAAAAATAATTTGGAGAAAACATCTTTTGATAAATAGAACAAAGATTCAAGTTCAGTTTTGTATTATTGAAAAATAATTATGGGGACAGAGAAGAGAGAGGAAAGAAAAGAGAAAGGAAAAAAAATAGGAGAACCAAAAGAAAAGAAGTAGGAAGAATAGGGAAAAAGAATGTTCCCTTTTTTAAACAAATCACTATTTTTTTATAGGCAGTCTTGTCGTTTTAAAAACAACATCCACTACAAATGTATTAAAATGACAAAATATTTCTACCACATGGCTTATATTATCTCACAACCTGTTAAGAAACTGTCTGCCTATCAATGAAATCCAATCCAAACTGGACTCAAGCCAAGACCTGACATAGCGGAAAGCACATGAACCGATCTTCGAGGACGACGGACTAGGGTCATACCTGGGTCACACTGTGGCCTGCACAGGATGAGTGATCTCTGCAAGTGACTAAGTCTCCTTGAGCCTCAGTTTTAAATCTGTAAGTGGGGATAATGTCACCTATCTCAGAGTTTTTGAGACTAATATAAGTAAAAACGCATGTTGTGTAGGAAAATACATGTTGCCTCAAAGACAGCAAACACTTAATATTTTCTAAATCTGATTATGTTCTACGTTAAATATTTAAGTTTGACACTATTCCCTAATATGAACCTTTTCCATTCAGCTATTTCTCAGTTCCTTATCCCAGAACACTTTTTTTCTCTCTCCTCTCTAAATCTTAACCAGACCGAAAGGAAGAACCTCTCAATGATTCTCAATATCCTTCCATCTATGTTACAAATTAACATTTCTTGTTTTCTTAATGACACTAAGATTGTTGCTAATTACTTCATATATCCCCAGTCCTGTTCACCCAGTAATAAGTCCTGGGAACTGATCTTAAAAATAAAAACACACACACACAATAATTCTCTCAGTATCTAGAATTATTATCCATACATTTTACTCTTTCAACAAATATCTATGGAGCACCTGATATGAATATTCAAGGCACCATATCAGGTGCTGGAGATACGGAATAATAGGTATAGGACACAAAGTACAGCTGTCAACCTAATAAAGGGAGAAGAGGAGAGGCAAGCGGGGGAGGCAGAGAGGGGCACTCAGGTGGCTCCGTGGTGCGAGTGTCAGCTAGAGATAAACTCTTATCATTTGGACAGCGGCCACCAGAGAAAGTTGTCATCAATAACATTTTATTGAGCACTAGTTATATGCAAAGCCCTCATGAGCTGTATCAAGTCAAGATTTTGATAATTTAATAGCCCAAAAAGTGACTTCTCTGAAAAGCTGACATTTTCTTACAGGTTAGAGCACACTGGGGTCTAACAGTTAATTGCTCATTTGCTTTTGTTTTCAGAGTTTATTCTTGAAATAAAAGCTGATTTCATCATTAGATTCTAAAGTTTCTGCTCATTCATAAAGCATGTCATGTTGTCGTTTTTTAACTGAGGATGTTTTGCTGTGTTGCCCAGACTGGTCTTGAACTCCTGGGCTCAAGTAACCCTCCCACCTCAGCCTCCCAAGTAGCTGGGATTACAAGCATGTGCCACCACTCCTGGCTGAGAATGACATGTTTAGAACTAGACTTTGCTTTAAGGCCTGTTTGCCTTTGGTTTACTGAGATTAGTGGATCTGAGGGTTATATTTGGAACCAACATTTAAAACAATTATATCCTAATTTATCATTTAATTGGATTTTTGTGACACTATTTACAATAGAAGCATTGAAACACAGATGTAAAGTAACTGAATAGGTTGTGTGTGTGAGAGAGAGACAGAGAGAGAGAGAGATGAGAGAGAGAGAGAGAAGAGAAGATAGGAGGGGAGGGGAGGGGAAAGGACCAAGAAAACCAGGAATAAATATGCCATCCTCTGTAAACAGTGTCTCAAGATGCTCTTATTAAGACTTTAAGAAGTTTACTTGGACCATGTATATTACATATGGTTCTGCATTTTGCAGATGAGGAAACTCAGGAGAATGTCCTGTCTGATTTCCAAACCCATGTTCTTGTCACGATATGAAATTGTCTCTATAAGAAAGTAGATTCAGCAGTTCTTGACGAGCTGTATTAAGGCCATCGGTCCCTCTTTGTCATAAACACTCTGCAGCTTTGGCTCTGTGGCTCTGCATGCTGCGCCTTCCCATTTTCTTTATTTTATCTAGTCCACTAATTACATGCCTTGCTCAGAGCTCTGCCCTTGGCTAAGTACTCTCTAAATATTCTTCCTTAGTGATCTTATCTACCACAAAGGTTTCAATCATCACTTCTCAGTAATGTCGCAATCTGGGCTTCTACCACTACTAGTAGTAATTGCCTGCTAAACATTTACACCTGCTCTACTAGCTGTTCCCTTCACCTCAACATGACTCCAACTTACTACACCATCAGTCTTTGCCATATCCTTTCTCCCCTTGGCTTCCCTGATGGTTTTCGTAGTACAGATGGGGCAAGGCTTCTGAGTCATCCTTTACTCTTCCTTTTCCTTCATCCCTCATTTAAAGGATACTTGTTGTTCATCTAGTCTGGTCCTTTATTCACTGAAATTTGAACTTATATGCATCTCTTATCTTCCATCCAAAGCGTTACCATTCAAGTTATACTCCCACCACTACCACTGTATGCATAAATTACAGCTACCTGGAGTCCCTTCATCCTTCCTGCACACCACTAACAGATTTTTATCAGCAGATTGCTCTGAGGGGAAACTCCTGGCTAAAAAGCCTCCCATGGCTTCCCACTGCCTAGGACCTTTATGCCTGCGACCCATCGGCTTTTATATTCTCATTTCCTCTATTCATCTACGCATTTTCTAAATAAAATCTAAGTAAACTCAACCATTTGAAGTTCCCTGTACATGACTTATACTTCCTTAGTTTTACGCCATTGCTCATTTATTCAGCCTGGAATGTTTTCTCTCCTTAATTTCTCCCTATTGAAATCCTATGCACCTGTCAATGCCACCTATTCTGTGAAATCTTCTCTATTCATCCCTTTGAACTTGTGCATGTGTCTGGTCATTTTGAGGGAGGATAATATCTTATTTGTTTTGAGTCACTCTCCCAACTCATTCAGTAGCATGCATAAAGCTTTGGGTAATGCAAACACTCAATATGTGTTTATGAAATGACTAATGGGAGTGAAATGAAAAATTCAAAACTGCAATCACCCAGAAGCACCTTTTCTAATAATTACTAGAATATACCATCTAATAATTACCAGGATCATTTGCCTTTCTAATTGAATTACTTAGTTTAAAATTAAAAAAAAAAAGTTCCTTTTCTCTGATGCCTACTGGTGGCAGGGAAAGGAAATCCAAAATTCTTTTGAGTAGTAGGGGGAACGGTGTCTAGAAATTAAAAGTTTTTAATGTATCACCTAACTGAATGCCAGTGAGTTAAGTTTTTTTTTTTTTTAAATTGAAGACAGCAAATGTCTTTTTTTTTTTTTTTTTAAATGGAGTTTTGCTCTTGTTGCCCAGACTAGAGTGCAATGGTGTGATCTCGGCACACTCCGACCTCTGCCTCCCAGGTTCAAGTGATTCTCCTGCCTCAGCCTCCCAAGTAGCTGGGATTACAGGCATGCACCACCAGGCCCGGCTAATTTTTGTATTTTTAGTACAGACGGGGTTTCTCCATGTTGGTCAGGCTGGTCTCGAACTCCCGACCTCAGGCGATCTGCCCACCTCGGCCTCCCAAAGTGCTGGGATTACAGGCGTGAGCCACCGCGCCCAGCAGCAAATGTCTTCTATATAAGATTCCTCTTTAATTAACATCCAGAGAAGAAGGAAAAACTATCTTATGCAGATCTATAAACAATTTGGTCTGCAGTTCCCTATACGAAGTCACAGTGTTTCAGAGTTGAGAACATCTATGATGGAATACTACTGATGTGAATTCTAGGCCTTCAAACAATAAGAAATGTTGAGAGCCACGCTTTTCAGCCTCTAGTTACCTCTCCCGGTAGCTAAGAGTGGGGAAAAAAAATCCTGGGCCTATTGCCTCCTGGAAAAAGTTAAAGATTCTATTTGATCCTCGCTTTCTCAAGACTCTTATTAAGATGAAAAGTGTATTTATTAATTCGTTTACCCTCAGATGTTGACTATGTGAATAAGAAATGAATTTTCTTATTGACCAAGGTCAAGAAGGCAAAAGTGGCATAACTGCAATATGGTTTAGCACACTGAAGAGAAGAAATGAAATCATCAGGGCGTTAGAAAAGCAAAATGACAAGCATTTGCCTTTTTTAGCTACCAGTGATGACAAATCCTGCTTTTTAGATTTAGGAGGTTCCTGCATTCCCTTTAAATCAATTATTAATATCTTTCGAAGTTTCTAGTCTAGAGCCTGAACCTAAGGTTACAGACAGAAACCAACTCACATGAATTCTGCCATCTTTGATGGCAGGACCATCTTCAGCAAGACGAAGGATGAACAGCCCCATGTTGTACTCCTTCCCCCCTCGGAGGCTGAATCCAAAGCCCCGGGGGCCTCTCTCCAGCTCTACTGGATAACAACCAAGGTTCTAGAGAGAAAGAAGTATAAGAAAAGCAAGTTCTCATGGACTGTTTACTTACATTTTGAAGAAAGATTACTTCTATAGCTGGAAGAAATGATTTATACTCTCAATGTGCATTTCTATATTGTAAAGAAGGAATGTAGGTTTTGGTTAAAGGGCTACTTAATTTTTATAAATGCAGCCTAAATTAATCTGAAGGTTACATGTCTTTTCTAGTTGGTCAATGTGCAATGCAACAATCAGAGAACAGAATTTTGGAAAGTGCTTCCTTTAAGTAGCGTTTGACTAATTTTCCTGGAAACAAACAAGTAACAAACAAAAAAACCTGAATTTGATTATCTAAAATACTATTTACTTCTAAGTACTTAACCAAGGGTTCAAAGCTCTCCTGCTGTAGGGGAAACTTTTCTTTCACTCCTAACATTCTCCTATGAATGCCAGCAGAATGCCAAACACATGGCAGGTCTTCGAGAATTATTAGTTTTGGAAACAAATTTATCTGAACTGATTTGCAATAAAAATTCACCAATGCCAGTGGTATGGCAACTCAAAATATCACTCCCCATCTGGGGAAATGTTTGTTTACCTGATTGTGCCGACTGCCTACAACTGAAATTACTGCGGTGTCAGGCTGTGCAAGGTGCTTGTGGTCTGACCAAGAATGTCTGTAAGAAGTGGAGACATCTTTTCCAATTTCACCTTCTAGGGCACTTCTACAAGAGAGAGAAATCAAGTCACTCTCTGAACTGAGAAAATGAAAAACAGTCTAAAGGCAGATTAATTTCTTTTCTTTTAAAAGCTCGACCTTGCCATTTTCCCTCTGACAAACCACTATGAAGACAGACTATATCTAAAATCAGATCAGAGGGGTGCTAGGAGAAACCTGGTCATTAATTCCAACATACTTTGAAGTCTGTCAACATCCACAATTTTTTTAAGGACATCTCAGAGCAGTTTATATCAAAGAAAACTGCAATCAAATAACTACACCAGAGGGCAGTTAAGCTGACCCTGTCACAGTGAAAAATGGCTCTCCTGCAGCACCAATGCCCGTGAAGATGCTGGATTTCTGGAAATCTAGGCTAATATTTTCAATGAAAGAAGACAGAAATACACACAAAACCTGCTCTGCTCAGGTGGTCTGATAAGACAGCAATCCATATGGGTCTGCAGCTTCCCTATGAAAACTATGAGGACCAAGAGTAGCAGAGCCAGATGCTATGTCATTTCTTTCTAATCCTCGCATGTCAGGCAAGATTGGATAATTATGCTGTGCCTGGGATGGAGGCTGGAAGAGGGACGAAGGTACTGAATGGGTGGAGGTGATGGGGACGGTATTTGAGGAACAGGCAAGAGTTGTCATTTTGACCTCAACAGCTGGCATCTGCATTACTGCATGGGGGTGGATGATGGGGAGTGGGGTTATGAACAGCAGAGCAATAAGGAGAGAATAAGAAAAAAACAAAAACAAAAACCTGAAAATAGCCCCACCTGTCCCCAGGTATGTGGTTGGCCTGTGACTGTCCCATGGGCCTGTGCTGCAGGGCTGGGCTTTGCCTGGCTGAGTTTGTTCCTGATGGTGGACCATGATGCTCTGTTCAAATGAGAAAACAATAGAAATAAGAATTTGTACATAAAAATGTGAAGGCCAAGCGGATCTGTGAAGGTGAGACAATAACAGATGGCTATTGCTGTACTGACTTTAGTGGCTTTAGCATGAACAGCACTATTGTCAGCTGTCTGGAACTGGCGCATTAACATCTTTTTCCCTGTGGCTTTTGATTAACGTTTATGTCTCAGGAGAACAGGAATCATATTATGTCCCCATTTTCACCTGTGTTTTAGTCATCCATATAACATAAAATTCAGAAATGAACATAATATTTATCTAGAAGACAGAGCTCCAGGAACTATACTGTTGCCTATTCTATGGGCTTCCAGAGCACACACCTAATAATTGGTAACCCATTCTAGATAACAAAGCCGGGTCTCAGGAATGCTGGAACACGGAGGCCAGTCTGCAAACCACACTCACACCTTTGAACCTGCATCTTCAATATAGGAGCAGTTATTTTGCCTGCCACTGAGAACCAAAGACAAACTTATAGAATCCTGAGTGCTAACAAATATTTATAAATATTCTACTGCTTCCATTTTCTCAGAACACAAATATAGGTGAAAAACATTACATTTGTTTTGTATCATTCCCAACAGCTCTGGACTCCCTGCTGTTCCTCGAAGGTAGCTTTCATAGCTAAGCATAGTGACTGCCTGCACCTAGAACTAGATGGCAAGGAGGCGACAATTAAACAAGATGCCTAAGGCTGGCAGACTCATATTTTTGAAGTTGAAACTTTTGAACATTTTATTATGTTTAAATATAAAAGCATAGGATATTTAAAGTATCAGAGGGAGCACAGCTTAATGATTAAGACCATGAACTCTGAGCAAGATGGACAGGGTTTAAGCCTGATTGCATCATTTACTAGCTGTGTGTTCTTGAGAAAATCTGTTATGTTCTCTGTGCTTTGAATTGTCTTGCCTATAAAAGGGGAAATACAGTTATCTCACTGGGTTATAGTATCAAAGGAGCTTATAAATATACATGCTTAGAATAGTGCCTGGCATATAATAGTCACAATATAACAGTTTCTATTATAACTATCATCATTTTCATCATCATCATCATCATCATCAAAATGATATCTCTCACTTGGGGTTGCATTTCTCTTTAAACATATATGCTGAAATCTTTACCTTGCTTTATAAAAATGTTAAATGTAGAGGGTACTTTAAGTTAGAAAAACATGTGGAAGCTGATATAACCTGAATCTTAGAATACAATAGTGAAAATCTCATGTTAAAGATAAGAGATAAT
Organism: Homo sapiens; assembly: GCF_000001405.40. Lineage (NCBI taxonomy): Eukaryota > Metazoa > Chordata > Mammalia > Primates > Hominidae > Homo > Homo sapiens. The sequence goes on along the minus strand of NC_000001.11, from coordinate 113,670,449 downwards.
TAAGAAGCAGTTTCCATTGAGAAAGCTGAAACTTCAGGCTTTACTACAATACATGCATCACTATTTTATTGCTTGGGTTAAGTTGTTACTTTCCAAAGTGCTGTGAGACTAAAAACACAGATAAATTGCTTATTTTTATTGAAAAGTTTCTTGTATCTAGAAGCTAGAGAGTACTCTAAAAACACAGGCCAGAGAGTACAAAGTGGCAGGAGGAAGAAATGGTATATGGCCAAGCCAGGTGGCCCCTGAGGATTTCTACGCCCTCTGGCTGCTGGGCTTGGGTGTGAACATGGATTTAACAATGTGTACTAGACCTGGAGATGCAGAACCAACCTCTGGACCAGAACTTACCCAGAGGGTTGTGTTTCCTCTTTAAGGTCAAGTATTCCAGGAAGGGAGGGTGGGAGTAGAGTGGGCTATGAACTTTTTTTTTTTTTTTTTTTTTTGGAGACCTGGAAATTTGTTGCTCTTTTATATTGCTATCATGAATTTTATTTTTCTTGAGTAACTTTAACAAGCTGCTTATACTGACCTCCTAACTGCTCTCTTTGCCACCTTAGACTCCAGTTTTAACACATAAGTTGAAACATGCCACTGCCTTGTGTAAAAAACCTATGGTGGGCTGGGCGCGGTGGCTCATGCCTGTAATCCCAGCACTTCAGGAAGCCAAGGCAGGCGGATCACCTGAGGTCAGGAGTTCAAGACCAGCCTGGCCAACATGGTGAAACCCCGTCTCTACTAAAAATACAAAAATTAGTTGGGTGTGGTGGCATGTGCCTGTAGTCCCAGCTACTTGGGAGGCTGAGGCAGGAGAATCGTTTGAACCCAGGAGGTGGAGGTTGCAATGAGCCAAGATCATGCCACTGCACTCCAGCCTGGGCGACAGAGCAAGACTCTATCTCAAACTAACAAACAAAAACAACCTATGGTGACGTTTTCTTGCTCATAAGATACTTGTTACCTGGGCACTCCTGGCTTTCCATTTCACCTCATGTTCAAATTGTCACCTCCTCTGTGAAATCCTACCTGGCACCTTAAGCACACTGTGATCACAATGTTCTCACAGCATTTCCCACATTGTGTCAGAGCTGGCAGAACACCTGTCTCTCCTACTAGACTCTGAACTCCTTGATTGCAAGAATCACATCTCAGTTATCTCGATATTCCTGTACTCACTAGAAATTTCCATAAGTTCTTCCACATTTGCTTCCTGGGTATGTCAATTTCAAGTTACCTGTCTCTAAACTTTACTGCCCAGTATAGAGTTCGATTGTCTTCGGTCGCTGTAAATTCATGGTTACTATTAAGGAGATGGAAAATGATGGGGAAAATTCCATTTGCCAATGAGATGACTGGGAGATACTTGTACCTTTGCATGTGGTCAAGAGAGATAATTTATCGGCGTTACTAGCTTGGCTATTGTAATGAGTGTATAACATCAGAGCAGGACAATAGAAGTAATCTGATCAATTTCAAGTTTTCCTCTACCTTCCATTCCAGATGAGACATTTCAGTTCCAGGCAAAATGTACCACAAATTGGTGCTTACTTTTAAAGTTACATGTTTTTGGCCGGGCGCGGTGGCTCACGCCTGTAATCCCAGCACTTTGGGAGGCTGAGGCGGGTGGATCATGAGGTCAGGAGATCGAGACCATCCTGGCTAACAAGGTGAAACCCCGTCTCTACTAAAAATACAAAAAATTAGCCGGGCGCGGTGGCGGGCGCCTGTAGTCCCAGCTACTCGGGAGGCTGAGGCAGGAGAATGGCGTGAACCCGGGAAGCGGAGCTTGCAGTGAGCCGAGATTGCGCCACTGCAGTCCGCAGTCCGGCCTGGGCGACAGAGCGAGACTCCGTCTCAAAAAAAAAAAAAAAAAAAAAAAAGTTACATGTTTTTTGTTGTTTTGTTGTCTTCATCAAATTTAAGTAAAACTTCCTATCACTGGGATTCTTTTCATTTTTAGTCCTTCAACCCGTGCTACATGGCTTCTCCATTTTTTTTCTGTTATAAGCTATTTTACTTCACAAAGTCAAATATTTATTCCATAATGTCAAACAGGCCTATCTTCTCTCTGAATTTTATTTGAAAATTCTTAAAATAGTAAAGCAATGGGTTAAGTATATCTCTCCTTCGATGAGAATTACATTTTTGCTGGGCTTTCTGTCTGTAAGTATAGGTATGCCTTATTTTAGTACACTTCATTTTATTGCATTTTTTATAAATTGAAGGTTTATGGCAACCCTGCATTGGGCGAGTCTATTAGTGCCATTTTTCCAACAGCATGTGCTCACTTTCATGTCTCTGTGTCACATTTTGGTAATTCTTCCAAAATTTCTAACTTTTTCATTATTATTATATCTGTTATGGTGATCTGTGGTCAGTGATCTTTGATATTTATATTCTTGTACCCACTGGAAATTCCCAGGTCTTCCACCTTTGCTTACTGGGTATGTCAATTTCAAGTTACTTGTCTCTAATTGTTTTTGGGTGCCACAAATCACACCCATATAAAATGGCAAACATAATCGATAAATATGTGTGTGCTGGCTCCATCAACTAGCCTTTCCCCATCTTTCTCCCTCTCCTCAGGCCCCTCTATTCCCTGAGATGCACAATATTGATCATGCCAATTAATAACCCTACAATGACCTCTATGTATTCAAGTGAAAGAAAGAGTTGCATATCTCTCACTTTACGTCAAAAGCTAGACTTGATTAAGCTTAGTGAGGAAGGCTTGTTGAGACCTGAGACAGGCTGAAAGCTAGACCTCTTGTACCAGTTAGCCAAGTTGTGAATGCAAAAGAAAAGTTCTTGAAGAAAATTGTAAATATTACTCCAGTGAACAAATGAGTGACAAGAAAATGAAACAGCCTTATTGCTGGATATGGAGAAAGTTTTAGTGGTCTGGATAGAAGATCAAACCAGCCACAGTATTTCCATAAGCCAAAGCCTAATCCAGAGCAAGGCCCTAACTTTCTTCCATTCTGAGAGCTGAGGAAGCTGCAGAAGAAAAGTGTGAAGCTAGAAGAAGCTGGTTCATGAGGTTTAAGGAAAGAAGTCATCTCTATAATATAAAACTGCAAGGTGAAGCAGCAAGTGCTGATACAGAAGCTGCAGCAACTTTTCCAGAAGATTCAACTAATATCATTGGTGAAGGTGGCTACACTAAACAACAGATTTTCAAGGTAGACAAAACAGCCTCTTATTAGAAGAAGATGCCATCTAGGACTTTCATAGCTAGAAAGGAGAAGTCAATGCCTGGCTTCAAAGCTTCAAAGGCAGCTGACTCTCTTGCTAGGGGCTAATGCAGCTGGTAAATTCATGTGCTCATTTACACTCCAAAAATCTTAGGGCCCTTAAGAATTATGCTAAATCTACTCTGCCTATGCTCTAAAAATGGAACAATAAAGCCTGGATGACAGCACATCTGTTTACAGCATGATTTACTGAATAATTTAATCCCACTGTTGAGACCTACTGCTCAGAAAAAAAGATTCCTTTCAAAATATTACTGCTTACTGACAAAGCACCTAGTCACTCAAGAGCTCTGATGGAGAAATACAAGGAGATAAATGTTGTTTTCATGAGTTCCAATACAACATCCATTCTGTAGCCCATGGATCAAGGAGTAATTTTGACTTTCAAGTCTTAGTATTTTAAGAAATATATTTGGTAAGTCTATAGCTGCCACAGATAGTGATTTTTCTACGGGTCTAGGCAAAGCAAACTGAAAACCTGGAAAGGTTTCTAGACGACATTAAGAACATTCGTGATTCATGGGGAAGAGGTCAAAAATATCAACATTAACGGGAATTTGGAATAATTTGATTCTAGTTCCCATGGATGACTTTGAGAGGTTCAAGACTTCAGTGGAGGAAGTAACTGCAGATGTGGTAGAAACAGCAAGGAACAGAATTAGAAGTAGAGCCTGAAGTTGGGACTGAATTGCTGTAATCTCATGACAAAACTTGAACAGGTGAGGATTTGCTTCCTACGGATGAGCAAAGAAGTGGCTTCTTGAGATGGAATCTACTCCTGGTGAAGATGCTGTGAACACTGTTGAAATGACCACAAAGGATTTAGAATAGTACATAACCTTAGTTGATAAAGTAGAGGCAAAGTTTGAGAGGACAAAGTCCAATTTTGAAAGAAGTTTTACTGTGGGTAAAATGCTATCAAACAGCATCACATGCTACAGAGAGATCTTTGGTGAAAGAAAGAGTCAATGTGGCAGACTTTATTGTCTTATTTTAAGAAATTGCTACAGCCACCTCAACCTTCAGTAACTACCACCCAAATCAGTCAGCAACCATCAACATCGAGGCAAGACCCTCCATCAGCATAAAGATTAAGACTTACTAAAGGCCCAGATGATCATTAGCATTTCTTAGCAATAAAGTATACTTTCATTAAGGTATGTATATTGTTTTTTAAGACATACTGCTATTGCACACTTAAGAGACTACAGTATAGTGTAAATATAACTTCTATATGCACTAGAAAACCAAAAAGTTCATGTGATTCACTTTATTGCAATATTCACTACCTAATGGCAGTGGCCTATAACTGAACCTGCAGTATCTCCAAGGTATGCCTATAATAATACACTTAAAAGAAAGTGTATTTTCAAAAGATAAAAACAAAATCCACAGTTAAACTACAGCAATAAACATTATAATCTATTGAGACTCACCTTACCAAGAGTAAATAAGAACCCTATGAGAGAACATACTAGAACTCTAAAACTCTATTAAAGGACATAAAAGATGAGCTGAATAATTGGAAATACAGTCCATGATCTTTGGTGAGATGACTTAATATGTAAAGATATTCTCCACCCCCAAAATATATATACATACACACATATATATTTATATACGCGTATACACAATATATCCCCAAAAAACTGCACTTTGATTTTTTTTGGAGGAGCTTAATAATTTGTTCTAAAATTTTATATAGAAAAGTTCCATGAATATGTAGTCAATTTTGAGAAACAGGGAGACAGATAGGTTTTCCCTAATAAGCAGATATATTAGGATGTATCACAAACTTACAGATAAAAAAATAAAAAATACACACACACACATATCATCAGCCCAAGAACAAATAAACTAATAGAACAGAATAGAGGACTTGGAGACTCATGTTTAAAGGGGAAGTTGATATATAGGAGAGATGGCATCACAAATAAATAAGGCAAAGAAGTGCTGTCTAATAGCTGGTGTTGGGAAATCTGGCTCATCTTAAGAATAAAAAATAAAACTACATCCCTCCTAAAACTACATACAAAGGTAGGCTCCAGATGGATTAAAGACCTAAGTACAAAAATCAAAATTACAAATCTGGTATTAGATCATATAAAAGAAAAATCTCTGTGATGTGGGGAAAAAATGACTTATCTTAAATAAAACCTCAAGAGTTTAAGCTGTAGGTAAAAAGTGACAAATTTGATTACATCTAAATTAAGAATTTCTGTATAATAAAGGGTACCATGGTCAAAGAACATACAGATGGCAGAAAAAGATAGATATTTATAGTCTCTAAAACAAAACTGTACTACTGAAGTCCATATAATTCATGAGTATCCAATAAATATCAACAACACAGAAATCCCACAAGAAAAAAACTCAAGCATATGAAGAGATGCTGAAATTCATGGGCAATCAGAGAAATGCAAATTAAATAATAAGACAACACCTTCATGCTTTAGGCTAGCAAATTCAAAAGCTGATAATACAAAGTACTGGTGGGGAAGTACAGTATCAGAATCCTCAATGTTTTGCTGGTGGGAGTAGATGGATGCAACAATCTGACAATATTAAATCAAATACATGTATACCCTCTGATCAAGTAATTTCACTCCCAGAAATTCTCACACTGTTTTTTTATTTTTTTAAGAGATAAGGTCTTGCTATGTTATCTAGGCTGGCCTAAACTTCTGGGCTGAAGTGATCCTCCTGTGTAGCTGGGACTACAAGCATGTGCCACCAATGCCTGGCTTCTCACACTGTTTTGTAACATAGATATGTGAAGATGTGTATTATAGAATTGTTTGTAATACTGTAGTGTTGTAGGCAATGTGACTGTCTATAGGGAAGTGGACAGGTTATTTGTGGTAAATACTCATGGAAAACGGTCAAGCAGTTAAAAGCAATCAATTATGGTCACCCAGCAATGCAGATAAATCTTAAAAGCATATGATGCTATGATACCAAAGCACAAGCACCGCCCCTGTAAATAGAGGAATTAGATTTCTTCAGCATTAAAACTTTGTGCATCAAAGGATAGTATCAAGAAAGTAAAAAGACAAATGGAGAATGGGAGAAAAATACTTGCAAACCATGTATCTGATAAAGGTCTAGTATTCAGAAAACAATTCAACAATAAAAAAGACAAATAACTGAGTTATAAATGGCAAAGGATTTAAATAGACATTTCTCTATGTAAAGAAGATTTACAAATAGTCAATAAGCACATGAAAAAGATGTTCAACATCATTACTCATCAGCAAAATGCCAATCAAAACCACAATGAAATACCATTTCATACCCACTAGAATGGCTAGAAAACAAACCCCTGAAACAGAAAATAAGTGTTGGCAAGGATATGGGGAAATGGAAGCCTCATACATTGCTGGTGGGAATATAAAAGGGTGCAGCTGCTGTGGAAAACAGTTTTGAAGTTCTTCAAAAAGCTAAACATAGTTACCATGCGACCCAACAATTCCACTCCTAGGTATACGACCAAGAAAAATGAAATCATAAAACAACACAAAAACCTATAAAACAGCATTTGTAGTGGCATTATTCACAGTAGTAGAAACAACTGAAATGTCTATCAAATGATTAATAGGTAAGAAAAATATATGTATGCATAATGAAATATTGTTCATTAGTCATAAAAAGGAATGCAGTACTGATGCATGCTACAACTAGGACGTACCTTGAAAACATTTTGCCAGATGAAAGAAGCCAGACACAAAAGGCCACATATTGTATGATTCTATTTATATGAAATACCCAGCAAATCCACAGAGACAGAAAGTGGATAAGTGGTTGCCTAGGGATGGGGGTTTCGAGAGAATGGGAAGTGATTTCTAATGGGTATGAAGTTTCTTTTTGGAGCAATAAAATGTGGAACTAGTGGTAATGATTGCAAAACCCTGTGAATATACTAAAAACCACTGAAATGCATATATATATATATATATATATTTCTGTTTTTGAGATGGAGTTTCACTCTTGTTGCCCAGGCTGGAGTGCAATGGCGCAATCTCAGCTCACAGCAACCTCTGCCTCCCGGGTTCAAGTGATTCTCCTGCCTCAGCCTCCCGAGTAGCTGGGATTACAGGCACATGCCATCACGCCTGGCTAATTTTGTATTTTTAGTAGAGGTGGGGTTTCTCCATGTTGGTCAGGTTGGTCTTGAACTCCCGACCTCAGTTGATCCGCCTGCCTTGGCCTCCCAAAGTGCTGGGATTACAGGCATGAGCCACGGCGCCAGGCCAAATTGTATATTTTAGAATGATTAATTTTATAGTATATGAAGTCTATCCCAATTAAAAAGAAAAAAAAGACAACAGCTAAATGTCAAGAGGAATACTGGATTGGATCTTAGAACAGTAAAATGGCATTAAAAGAAAACAACAACAACATGGTTCTGAGAAAAACCCAGTGTAAAATCCATAACATTTACGTAACTCAAAAATAAATGCCAACACACAACAAAAAATGTATTTTAAAAGATGTACAAATAAAATGCAGTACATAAAACATACTAGAATGCTTGCCAATGGGAGCAGTGAGAGAAATGAGAATGGAAAATGGAGACAAATGGGAATAAACAGATAAATCAACTGAAAACAAAACAAAACAAAAGTATTGCAACACTACCAGAATCAATTCCAACAGGAGTGCTTGGTAGCCTTTGGTAAGTCATGTTCACTCTTAAAATTAACAAGGCCTGACAAAAAATTTGAAATTAATTTTGAAAAATTATATAATTTAAGTTTTTTTTTACAGTAAGCAGGAACTACCAGATATAGTAAATTTATGTTCCATATTTAAAAACAAGATACCATGGCAGAGGAAGAGGCGGTAGTGTTGTGGGGAATGCCATATGATAGAGAACAGTCTCAAGTCCTGGCTACAGTTTGGAAGTCTTTTATGAAATATGACACTTGCCTTACCATATCCTTGGCAACATAGGCACAAATATTAAACAGCATCTAGCAAAGGGGGAAAAAAGGATGGAGGGACCAAGAGTTGTTCATTTTCTAGGTAACTGTCTTTTACCTGTCAATGGGGAATGGCTGATGGAGAGAAGGGGAGAAGTATCAGATGGGAAGCTCTGCTGCCCTAAGGTATTGATCTGAATGTGTGGTTTCTGAAAATAGCTTTAGAGTTATAAATATTCATTTGACTCATTAATGCAGTTGATAGATTTTATACTGAATTTTATGAGAACCTGGAAGGCTTACAAACTCCATGAATGAGATCTTTATGGACAGAAGGAAGATTTTCTGTTTTTTCCTAAGAAAAATAAGAGATTCTGGATGTTTTCATAGTTTAAAAAAAACCTAGAGCATAATAAAATAGTGTGTGATCAGTGAAATGTGATTTAACATATAAAATGTGACTGTATTTTAAGAGGCTGTGGCTGCATATGAAATATACTTTAAGTATATATCTTCTAGGGAGCTTCCCTCCACCCTTCTCTTTTCTCTGCACACAAACTGACGTTACACAGGAAATCTTAAGTGTCTGTCCACAAGTGTTTGGGCCAGAATGTGAAAGGGAACTTTTATTCTAAGAAAAATTATGAACAATCTTGGATAATCTCTTGGAGAAAATACCATCAACATTAAACAGTAATTTTGGGGGAAAAGTTACTGGAGAAAGAAGTAGTTTTTTTTCCTAACAATCTATCCCAAGGCTACCCAAAGTGTGGTTCATAGACGAGATACATAGATATTGAGAGTAAGCATTTAGAACATTTTTTAACCACAGGCAATTCATCTAACTGCTCTGTGACTCAGTTTCCTCATCTACAAGAATTGGAAAACCATAGTGCCTGCCTAGGATTATTGTATTAGTTAATATATGTCAAGCATTTAGGACAGTGCCTGTCACATAGTACACACTTATTAAATACTATTATTATTTCCTTGGGAAGTGAGATTTAAACAGAGACCTGAATGAGGGAGCCAGTCATGTAGGTAAAATAATGATATTAGATGAGCACCCTAGGGTATTTATGCAGTTTATGTATATTTTCACCTTTAACCCCTGATGATGATACTGAAATAGATATTACTACTCCAGTTCTACAGTTAAAAAAGTGAAGATTAGAAATATTATGTAGTTTTTTTGTCATGTAACTAGCTAATAGGTATCTGTGGCCTTTGTCAAAAGCCTTACTTCTTTTATTGGGTTTAAATAGCCTCTGCTTAGGTAATGGGACAGAAGCCCTCAGAACTAACATCTCCTAACTTTTACTTTGTTCACTCATTCGTTTACTCATTCCTTCATTCAAAAAATATTTGCTGGCCAGGCATGGTGGCTCACGCCTGTAATACTAGCACTGTGGGAGGCTGAGGCAGGAAGATCGCTTGAGCCCAGGAGTTCGAGACCAGACTACGCAACACAGTGAGACCCCTATCTCAAAAAAAAAAAAAAAAAAAATTAAAAATTATGTAGTCCTAGCTACTCAGGACGCTGAGGTCAGAGGATCACTTGAGCCCGGGAGGTTGAGACTGCAGCGAGCCAGGACTGTGCCACTGCACTCCAGCCTGGGCAACAGAGTGAGACCCTGTCTCAAAAAAAAAAAAAAAATGCTGAGCATCTAGTATCATAGTCAACCAATATGTTTTTTGTTTACAAAGAGCAGACCATTTAAATAGGGATATGGTTATGTAAGAATGATGTCCAGTGAAGTGCAGAGATAGGAGGTGCTATGGGAGTTGCGGTTGCGGGGGAAGGCCATGTACATAGAGGCCAGTGAGGCCCAGCTTAGAGAGGGTGTGGAGAGAATACTGAGAAGTACATTTAAAAGGCTGAGAGCAAAATCACAGAACACTTTCTGGGCAGAGAGTGGGGAAGCAGTGGAGCTTCTACAAGGGATTATTTTAGAAAAGAATCAGCAGAGTCTGAGAAGAGTATAGGAACAGAATGGAGAAGGGAAAGAACAAAGGCAGGGATGTCACAGCATCTTGGAATCCTGCCCAGAATTCGACAGGGCCTAAGGGAGCAGTGAAGTCAATTCATGTCCATGCAGAAATAACCCCTATAGCATCTTGAACAGATTTATGTAATACCTTAGAAATAAATGATGAGAGTGGTGTGGTAGGAACAGAAACAAAAGGTAGAACCAGGAAGTATAAAAGACTTGGAAACCAACTAGATTAGAGGGTCATGGGAGAAAATGGAACATGAATACACATTATAGTATGAGGAATTTTAACATCAAAGACTGACCCTTCATAATTCTGTTTTTGGCTTCTCCTTGTTAGTTTTGCAAAATCAGGAAAAATGAGAGCATTACATAGTGGTTATGTTGTAATTCACAAAGAATATGGACTGGCTAAAGATGGTTCCTAATTAGAAATTCTTAATGATCAAAAGGCAGCTTTACAGCAAGGCAAGACATTAAACATGTTTGGGAGACTCCACGGCTGCCAGTATGTGTTTTATGCCCCACTTACTAGCCATTCCCACGCACTCCTTTACCCTGTTTACAAAGCGGCTGCCCAGAACAAAGCCCTGTCCCCAAGGAAAGGCACACTGTGGCATGGGCCTGACATAAAAGACTTGATATCAACAGTGACTTTCTTTGAACTGTTTAAAGGATTTTCTCTCACTTAAGCGAAGACTTAAGACATTATTTTAAGAAAATAAGATCTGAAAAGTACTACCAGTCTCTTTCACTTCTGGGTGCTTGCTTCTCTAGCACATAAATAAACGGTCCACACTCACTAGCTGGATTATTTTTCTTGAGCTGCTGACAACTTTATAATAAGTTGTTTTTTAAGTTCATTAAATTGAAAAGGGGAAGAATAAGACTCCAGCGTGCATACACAGTTATATCCCCGCAGTGATTCTGGCAGTGCTGGAGGAGGCCACTGCCTCACACAGGCTTTGTGCCTCTCAGATCAGCTTGGGGCAGGCGCGTCTACTGGCTCCTTACCTTCTTCAGCAATGACCGTTAGTGTGACGGTGACACCAGCATCTTTGATCAGCTGAACAATGTTATCATGAGACAGTTCAACAATGGACTGCCCATTCACTGCAGAGATATGATCTCCAACTTTCAGTTTTCCACAGCGGTCAGCCGGACTTCCTTCTATGACTCGGCCAATTTTATGAGGAATAACTATGGGAAAAAAAACCCCAGGTTTTTCAATTATTTAAGATTTCTGCTAGTGTTAGATTTATAATCAACGTCATTTAAAATTCAACATAACATCAAAGAAAATTATTTAAAAACATAACAGAAAAGTACCACACGTCATCATCGCATCCAAACGGAACTATTTTCATACTTCTCACTTTTGCCCACATGCATAAATACTCTTTACACAGTTGTAATCATAGCATATAAACCTCTTTGCTATTTTCTACCTACCAGAAACCTTTTTCTAATTTTTACATTCTCATCGTAATTGTTCTGTTTAAGAGCTACTAATCTCACTGATACCACCTGACTGATCAGATGTCTCATTGTTTATTGTTGGCCATTTAAGCTGCAACAAGTTTTTAGCTATTTTAAAAACTGCTACGATAAGATTATCTTTGCTTCTGTTAAAGGGACACTTGCTCCCATAAGGAACCTTGTAAATAAATGCAGGTCAAACTCAGGTTTAGCACTCGGTAGTTATTGGTCAGAAATTCAGGTACAGTGAAATGACTGACAATTAAAATGAATCATACTTAATTCCACATGTAAATTAATTCCTCTTATTTATGCCTTTGGCTCTTTTTAAAATTTGAAAAGCTGAGTGGAATTGGAACATTAAATGTTAACTGTTAAGACTACTTGACTCATGGATCAAATTCTAAACCAAATACACAAAGCTGAGTCTAATACAATTGCAAAGATGCTCTGTGTAGCTCTACTGTATCTCTAGCTTATAATGCTAAGAGCCTTCCTGGACTAACTATTAAGATACTCTGCTATTATTATAGCTTGAAATGAGTTCTCAGATATTCAGGAAATCTTGTCAAACAAAATATTTTCCACCGTGCAACAGGCAGCATTTGTATTAGGAAACAAATGTTCCTTCTATGTTCTCTGAGAATTTCCTAGCCTAGGTCAGTAAACTTTAAACTTATCAGGTATGTGGGCTCCTGCTGACTACTGACTGATTTGAATAGGGATAATTCATATTTTTGAATGGCACTGTGAATGATGTTTAATTTCCATAGTAAAACCTGCTCCTTACTAGTATTTCTGAATCATATCTAGGAGTATGTAAGGGACATTTAAATAGACCTTCATTTGGAGTAGAAAAGTTATTCTTGATGATGATTTATTTCCCTACAGACAGTGCCCTGGCTCTTCTAGGAATACACAGTGGCAGATTTTATCTTAAAATAGAGTAAGTCAATGTTGGAAGGAAGTGCCTTTTAGCTCTGAATTATGTCAAGCACTTATTATTCTATTTTCCTTACAAACAACGTAATTAGAGAAATGCCAGTGCAGAAAGGGCCATGTCATATCAGGCATTATGAGTTGATTCACTAATTCTACAACAGGTGGCACACCAGAAACATACGGCAGGTCATACGGTGGCCCTGTGGTGACCTTCTAAATCAATATCTCAGTTATTCTCCTTACAAAAGATTTACTCAAACATAGTGTTCTTTCTAGATACTCTGAGAAGAAAATCATTCAGTTCCTTGGCTCACTAAAAGGAGTTTGTTCAGACTTGGGAAAGCATTAAATAGAATTAATCTCTGAAATCTTAGTGGTCCCCTTTCTCAGTCTGCGAGCAATGTGGTAAAAAGAATTGGTGCATGGTGGTATACAACTTCCTAAAGGGCTGGTTGTCTGGGTGAGGGAAGGTAAAAGCAGTCAGATTGTTACTGTCTTAGTATTTATAGCAGTGTCACCGGAACAGTTAAAAATAGCAAACAGACCAGTAGAAAGGTAGCTTCTGAACATTTTCTAAACGGACTGGGAAACTGTTCAAGGTAACCCCTTAGAGTTCACATAGCTAGGGAAAAGCCTTCAGTCCTGCCTTGTTTTTGTTGATACACAAAGTCTACAGGCATTTGCCATAAAGCCAACTTATCCATCTTCATTCATCTTTGGCCTAAATCTGTCTCATAGCCTGGCTTGTCTAGATCCTGAGATCACTTTAGTGCTCTTAAAACATTTCTTTTCAGGAAAACAAAGAACAGTAACTGGAAATGTTCCCTTTTCAAAGAAATCCTTTGCAACCAGAACTGAAAACTACATGATAAGAAGGAATAACACTAAAAGCTCTGAAGTACTAGTAAAGCAAAAACTAGCCGAGTCTTCTTAATCTTAAATAGAGGCCTTTTCTAAGTACTCCATTCATTCAGCACTTAGACAAATTGTGAGGATGCTAGACCTGGATCCCTGATCTTTGAAAAAGTCAACAGTAGAGAAACTCAGAATTCCATAACTGGTACCACAGATGCTACTAGGAACTCTTCTTGAGACATACGTCATCAGAAAATACCTGAGATGAGGTCCATAAAGAATGATCTGGCTGGGCACGGTGGCTCATGTCTGTAATCCCAGCACTTTGGGAGGCCAAGGTGGGTGGATTGCCTGAGGTTGGGAGTTTGAGACCAGCCTGGCCAACATGGCAAAACCCCGTCTCTGCTAAAAATACAAAAAAAATTAGCCAGGTGTGTTGGCACATGCCTGTAATCCCAGCTAATCGGGAGGCTGAGGCACGAGAATCACTTGAACCTGGGAGGCAGAGGTTGCAGTGAACCGAGATCACACCACTCCACTCCAGCCTGGGCAACAGAGTAAGACTGTCTCAAAAAAAAAAAAAAGAAAAAGAAAATACTGATCTATTCTGAGACAGGTTTCCTGCCTTTCCACCTGTGCTAACTCCTTTCTGAACCAAACCTTCTCTGTCATACAGTTTGCAGCAAGTGTTCAGTCTCTGTAAGTGAAAACTCCTCATTGGAGCTTTCCCCAGGACCCTTTTTCTGTCTATATGTGAAAAATAAAATTCTAACAAGAATACTCTCAGGCCTCAACATTTTATGAGATTATTAACTAGCATTTCAGTGAAATTATCAATTCTGGTTTTACACCATGACTGAAAATCTCAAGTACTTTACATAAAATTCATCAACAACCTGAGCCTAATTTACCATTCAGCCTGATAATTAATGAGCTGCAAATACTCATCTCCTGCCACATGTTAGCTGCTGCCTCAATCTTACATTTTAATTGGGCTTTCTTTCCTATCTCATTATTAAGTATTGATGAACTTTTAAAAGTTTTTTTTTAAAAGAAAAGTTAAGAGACGGTGACAATTTTCTAAATAATGATGATGATAACAATGGCAGCAGAAGTTACAACAAGCAACAGCAGCTAACATTTACTGAAGGCCTTGGCTAAGGGCTTCACATACCCTGTCTCCTTTAATCCTCACATTCATGAGACAGGGAGTGTCTCTATCATCCTCATTTTGTGGAAGAAACTGGAGCTCTTGGAGGGAAAGTAATTTGCCCAAGATCAGACAGCTATTAAAAGACATAAGCAGGACTTGAATCCAAGTTTGTTGGATTACAAAACACAACACTTAATGACACTATCTTAAAGAGATGAAGTATCTCCATAGGTAAAACCATCACAATAGTAAAAAATGATTGAAACAAGGAAATATAAAACTACTTAAAGATTTTTAAATTTTTAAAAATTTACCAATATATACAAATAAAAATACTTAATATATTAAAATTTAATATAACATAAATGTTAAATATAAATAAATGTAAAAATATGCTTAAATATATTTAAGCAATGAAACTTATTTTACTGAATTCCTCTATATAGCTTAGTTTTATAGTGAACACTAGACTTTCCCCAAATTTCTGTAGTGCTAGAAAGGGAATATCTTCAATATAGAAAGTGGTTAGCATCTATCTACTAGAGTAATACTTTCACTGTTTTAGTTAATCTGAATGCCTGGTGTTATTGTATGTTACGAGAATGACAATATCATTATCCTAAATGGTTATCTGTTTTTGGAAATACTGATTCCAATGATACAACATGAAAACCACCTAAAAGCTGCTTTCCTTTCATTTTTCTGACACACGCCATATTATCATCCTCACAGCATCAGTGACAGTTCCAGTTCCAAGTGTTTCCATGGCAACTGCTTTGGGAAAATGGAAACTAGCATCAGTGAGCAGTGACCTAATACTATAGCAATAACTCATCCATGTCATGGACTCTTTTTCCCTTATACATTTCCATTAATTTTAGCAAGATTTTTGCAAACTGATTTGGCTCACAACACTTTCCTAAAAGTGTTTTCTTTTTTTTAAACTAAGGTTTTAGCAACCACTTGGTCTAAAAGGATCTCACTATTCAAAACATAATCAAACTGACTTGTAAAGGCAAGGGCACATTTTCATGTGGTCAAAGATTTTTATTATTTGACTTGGAGCTGGTTCTCATATTCAACTGGATTTTATAATTATATTAAAAATTATTATTTTATAGAAATATCAAGACAAATATTTCATTTGCTGAATCGTAACAGCCCTGAATATATCAGATGTAATTCCTCCTTTGATCATGGAACTGATATAAATACATTCATCTTCTGGATTAGAATATTCTGTTAAACTTGGTTCAAGATATTTAGATCCATTTTCCAATTGTTGACAAAATTTTTACCTTTCAATGAAACATTTATAAAAGGTATGCCTCTTATCATTCAACAAGGGTAATTTATAGCTGGACTATGGCAATTATTATTAAATAATAACATAAAATATCTACGACATATTTGGGTCAAGATTTTTCTGTTAATCTGCTTTGCTTCTTCTCAATTGCTTCTAGTCTCTATTTTCTACATACACGATTTATCCTAATTTTCAAAACCTATGTCCCCATTTTCTTAAAAGTCAGCATTATACCTTTCATTAAATCCATATCTATGACATACTGTCTTCAGTATAACCTTGAGGCAAATGGAGCTACTGAGACTTATTAAATATTTTATAGAATGTGAGATAATAGATAAACTTGAAGCCTGGAAGGTTCGGTTCAAATTACCTAATTTTGAAAATAAGGAAAGTATTCACCATTCTTAAAAAGATAAGTACCTAAGGCATTTTATACATAGCTCCTAATTATTTCATAAACTCCAGTGGGAGCCTCAGAAAACTGGACTTGCAGGGAGAGACAATAAGATACAATAGCCCTTACCTCCTGGAGGTGGTTTGTTTTTGGAGGTGAGGATGACAAAGCCAAATCCTTCATTTTCTTTTCGTTGCAAGACAACATCATAGGGCTCCTGGGGTGCAGGCCTGGCTGGGACCTCTGCCCGGTTCAGGCGGGGAGATCCATTCTGTGTTGAAATGAAGGCCTGAGAGCTGTCGTCCTCGGGTTGTTTTTCTGTAATAAACATGATCAGTTTTGATATGTCTGGAACATCATAATTTCTGGTGACTAA
Source organism: Homo sapiens (assembly GCF_000001405.40). Lineage (NCBI taxonomy): Eukaryota > Metazoa > Chordata > Mammalia > Primates > Hominidae > Homo > Homo sapiens. The sequence goes on along the minus strand of NC_000001.11, from coordinate 113,653,771 downwards.
AGTGTTTTTATGCTAAGCCTCTCACAGAAAAATTCAGTTTCTAATAACATAAAGAATAGAAAAGCAGCCCCACATGTGAGCTTCGGGTATAATCTGAGTGCAGATGTAGGCAACAGCAGTCCATCCGACTTCCCAAATACTCAGAGTGGATTACTGAAAAATACATACAATCTCATGTTATCTCATTTTTTTTTTTCCCCGAGATGGCGTCTTGCTCTGTCACCTAGGCTGGAGTGCAGTGGCGCGATCTCGGCTCATTGCAACCTCTGCTTCCTGGGTTCACGCCATTCTCCTGCCTCAGCCTCCTGAGTAGCTGGGATTACAGGTGCCCACCACCATGCCCGGCTAATTTTTGTATTTTTAGAAGAGATGGGGTTTCACCATATTGGCCAGGCTGGTCTCGAACTCCTGACCTCATGATCTCATTTTAAAGGAAGCTTTTCAAAGTTTCTGTGAGATTTGATAGTAAAAAAATTCTTCCTAAAACTGTTTTAGTTCCATCAAGTTTTATAACATGGACCAATAATTTTAATGAAACACATAATGAGGAATGACACATGAACTTCCTTTTAAAATCAATTATAAATATAATTTAGCTCAGTGACTGATATTCATTGATGTCTGTCTTAGAGGTTAAAGCATCAGGGCAGAAATGCTGCCCCATTATAACAGTTTGCTACCTGTACAGGATTTGTCTTATATGATGTGTTTTGCAACTGCAGTTTCCTGAGTGATGATATAAGATGAGTTCATCATTAGCAGTTCTCAGCCTTCAACCTCCCCAACCTCCACCCCTCAACTTGCTGGGACACATAACAAGCTGTCCACATGAATAGCAAACACTTCTGGGCATAGACAGGGTCATATGAAATTCCTGACAAATGGCCAATTAACCTACACCTTTTTCTGCTCTTCAAGGATGACATCAGAACTTGAGAATGACACAAAGTCCTAACTGATTTTTTAAAAAGGGCATATTTTTTGCCATAATTTGGTACAAACCATCGTTAATAATAACCACAACACACTGCAGTCATGTCCATATTTATAAGGTCTCTTTCTGGCTGAAAATTCACATGGTTTTAAGAATATGTTTTTTTCTTTTTTTTTTTCAAAATGCATAGTTAGAATGTATTAGCTAAAATGTCTCCAATAATACCAAACTACTATGAAACTTCTTCATGATTCTTTCCAGGGAAGAGCGTAGGTTGTATAACATCACAATTTTACTGTAAGTAGTTACATTTGGCCTCCAACACAACCAAATTGAGGCAGTACTGCATTACAATCTATATGCATTCTAAATGCCTGGTATTTACCAAAGGAGGCAGGCCTTTACTTTGAATGTTGCAATAAAAAATACAGTGCCTCATTTTTAAGAGTGATGTAAATATTCATCCAATTAACAACATTTATTAATGTCCACTTTGTACCAGACAGGCACTCTTTTAGGTGCCGAGCTTACAGCAGATAACTACACAAATAAAAATTCATACCTTCATGAGGCTTATATTCTTGTGCTACAGAGTTGTATTTTTTTAATTTTAAAGTGGAAAGAATTCACTTATAAGAATTTCTATTTAATTATTCATAAAGCTACTGGCGAGAAACTATAAGAGATATTCATATCCTAATGCTATGGTTTAAACCCTGATCTCTGAATTAAACTGCAACTTTTAATCCAGGCCCTACCTCTTACCAGTTATTTGTTTCTCAACCTTTCTCTGAGTAATCATAGAACTAGATAATGACCTCATAGTGTTGTGAAGATTAAATAAAATAATCCATGCATCTAGGACATAGTAAGCACTCAATAAATGTTAAATTATACTAAAACTTCTCAAGTAGAAACATCCTACTTTCCTTTAGTAGCTCAGATTTCACTGGGATCCAAAAATCTTTGTATATTCAGCTAGTGGGATATCTTGGTATGACTAAATAATTTTGTATTTGTTATTTAAAAAAAAACAAAACAAATTTAGGCTGGGCACAGTGGCTCACGCCTGTAATTCCAGCACTTTGGGAGTCTGAGACAGGTGGATCACTTGAGGTCAAGAGTTCGAGACCAGCCTGGCCAATGTGGTGAAACCCCGTCTCTACTAAAAATACAAAAATTAGCCGTGTGGTGGTGTGTGCCTGTAATCCCAGCTACTCAGGAGGCTGAGGCAGGAGAATCGCTTGAACCCAAGAGGTGGAGGTTGCAGTGAGCTGAGCTCATACCACTGCACTCTAGCCTGGGTGACAGAGTGAGACTCTACCTCAACTCAACAAAACAAAACAAAACCGGATTTAAATCAATACTCCCACCTATAATACATTTGCAAAATGCATCAATATATGAAAATAATCTTAATATAGAAGCCCAAAATTTATTTTTTTATAGTAGTATTATTTCTGAATCCTTTTGTGTTTGCATAGCCTTCCACAGTGAGGCCCTGGATCACACCAAATGGGTTATCTTAGATACTACTGAATGTAATAAAATAACCTGCAAAACTACACAGGAAGTAGACTAGTATCTTTGTTTCTTTTTTAACTTTTCAGAGCAGGAACAAGTTCACACACCTCCATAGAAGATCTTCCGTCTGACAGTTAGTAACACATGGCCATTTCGAGCAGCAGTTGTCATGAGGTCCAAGACTTGTTTGTGTGATTTCCCTTTAACAGGAATTCCATCAATGCACATTAGTTCATCAGCTGCGCGGAGCCGACCATCTTTCTCAGCTGCTCCCAGGGGAATAATAGCCCCAATATATATCTGATAAGATAACAAAGTACAGTTTGGTCCACAGTGTAAAGTTTAGCTGAAGAGTTAAGGAATTCCTAACTTAGCATTGTGCAAACCAACAGATTTTTGCAGTTCAACTATGAAAACAGTTATATTTTAGAAAGGTATTATCTGAGAAAGTGCCCATTCTCCAAAATGGCACTTCAAATAACCACATTGTATTATGTAATCCCTTATAGATCCTCAGGGCTGTGTACAAAGAAAATAGAAAATACAAAGTTGTTCGATAACTCAAAAAGCACAACCATTATCCCTATCATTACAATGAAACAAAACACTAAACTCAGAAAATATAAATCTGCAGAGTAGCTATTAAAAGTCTGTTCAATGTCATCAGGCAAGATTTTCTACATACTGTTCACAGCAACTGGGATCATTCTCAACAGTACTCCCATCACATATGACTAACGGTACAAGTTCAATATACACAGCACAGAGACATTTCTTGTTTCTAAATCTCAGCGGGAACAGAGTGGCCTGAAGCTTCACTTGCATCTAGGTGAACAAATCTGGTTCATTTTGCTCACCAGCATTAGAATCCTGTAATTAGGCAATCCTGAATGTTTAGGCTAGTTTCAGAGCTGCTAAAATCTGACATTTAAGAGAAAAGAAAGGTTTCTTCTAAGTTGTTTGAGACAAATTCTTAAAATGTCTAAGTGAACATTATGAGTATCAACAAAATAGGAAGCAATAAAACAAAAATACAAATACCAAGAACAATTAAAGTATCTAGTATTTGTTCTACATAGGGCAACCTGCCTTAAGCTTTATGTGTCTCCAATGACTGTTGTAACTGTAACCAATATGACCAATTAGAACAAATTTATACTACATAAATCAAATGTTCTATTCAGAAATAAGAAGCCTGTAATTTTTAAAGATTATTGTTCTTCACCTAACTTCCAACCATATTTTTTGATATATAATATATTGATATTATATAAAATAAAATGCAAATATGTTCTTAAAAATGCTACAGAACACATTACTTCTTTGTTATTCAAACCAAGAGCAAAACTTAGAAACAAAACCCACTACATTTGTTCTCTAAAACAAGTTTATGTGAGAATCATGTGTAAACAAAATCCTAGACTTCAAATGCTTTGCAAATATAACCCTTATGCCTCTGGACAAAAATATTAATTATTTTATATTCCTCTAGTTTCAAAGGTAACAGATGAAATGACATGCAAAGTACTGAGCATGAAAATGCCAACCTATTAATAAGACGAGGTGAAACAATATGCACAGGCTCATGCCAACCATTTATGGAGCATCCAGAAGATAGAGTAATAGTGGGAAAGAGGACATGGGATTATAGGCTTCTTAGAGAAGGAAAATGTCTTAGACTCTGTTTAATGAGGGCAAAGGAAAATATAAACTTAAAATAAGCTTTATGTAGTTATTCACACAGAGAAGTAAATAAATTAATCACTGTCTAATTTGCAGCTGACATATTCAGTTTTTACCCACAGTTTTTAGCCTCAGCTACACCACAATAACTGAGGGACTATGATAATAATGGAAATGCAGTTATTCTTCATATTAATGAAACTGTCAGAGAAAAAAAAACTTAAAACACACCATAATCCACCAAATCACCACTCAAAACGTTTGAACAGGAAACAGCCATGTTCCAAAGAAGTGACACTTACAGACTGGTCAGGTCCATCTCCTCCTAGCACCCTGAAGCCAAACCCTGACTCTTGTTTTCGAAGAAAAACATCCAAATCTTTGGTGTTTGGTGCTGAGGAAAATCAGAAAATATAAATACTATGATTTATTTTAAAAGGATTAAAACAAAACAAAGTTCAGTATTTAGTAGGATATTATAGAGTAACTCAATAAACTATAATCTCAGAACTTTTTAATATGGAAAATTTGCACAAGAGTGTAACACACACACACAATTCAACTATAAATCCTCGTTTTGAGCTCTAAACAAAACTGTATGAAGACTGTTTAGAAACATTTACTCTCACTTCCATATACTCAGTATTACACTGCCATTAACTTCTAATGCTGTCCAATCAATATAACAATGTTGAATTCAGAATGATCAAACTTGAGTTTGATATTTGACAGGTGCAAATGACCTAAGTTAACACTTGGGTAAGGTACATTAAATCTGTACAGGCACTGCTGTATAGAGTGCCTGTAAAATACCTTATTCCTGCTCTCAAGCTAATACCTTTCTCTCAGAAAAGTATTCCATATGAACTACTTACCTAGCCTAGTTTTGCAAAATGATAGCATTTTAAAGGAAAATAATTAAGAGCTAACATTTATTATTAGCCCCATTTTCTAGGTGGGAAAACTGAGGGTGTAAGTAAGTTGGCCATTGTCACATAGCAAGTGGTGAAGCTAAGATTTAAATCCAGGTTGATTTCCAGGGTCTAATCTCCTAACTCATACTGTCCTACCCTCAAAGGGTAGGTTGTATTCCTTAGAATATTAAGCAGGAGGATTGCTTGAACCTGGGAGGCAGAGGTTGCAGTGAACTGAGATCGTGCCACTGCATTCCAGCCTGGGCAACAGAGCAAGACTCCATCTCAAAAAAAAAAAAAAAGAATATTAAGTCACAAAAATCTATTTCATGACTAAAATTTTTCCTTTGGGAAAATATTAATGTTATTTATAGGTAAGAAGTATTTACTGTAAAGAGAGAAGAAATAAACATGTCAGGGAACTATGTAAAAAGTGAGATTAGTAAATTCCTGATAATATTCTATAGAAGCAGTATCTTTTGATATATACTTCCTATTAAAATTGTAGAACTTTAGAGATTAAAAGAGTCCACTTTGGGAGGCCGAGGTGGGCGGATCACGAGGTCAGGAGTTTGAGACCAGCTTGACTAACATGGTGAAACCCCGTCTCTACTAAAAATGCAAAACTTAGCCAGTCATGGTGGCATACGCCTGTAGTGCCAGCTACTCAGGAGGCTGAGGCAGGAGAATTGCTTGAACCTAGGAGGCAGAGGTTTCAGTGAGCTGAGATTGTGCCACTGCACTCCAGCTCCGGGTGACAGAGCAAGACTCTGTCTCAGGGGAAAAAAAAAAAAAGAGTCATCAGTTCAACTCACTTATTTTATGGGTGAAGCCTGATGGGACTGCAGAGTTTATACCAGTATTAATAATGTATCAGGCTATGAATGGAAAGTATGAAGAAAGGGATTCTACATTGTTATGCTAATTTAAATTATTGCTTTGCTGGGCGTACAACTGGTTTTCATCTTTCTGAATATGGCTTGGGATTATCAAGATGTACTTCTGCAACTAGTTAAATAAGCATTAAGTCAACTATACATATATTCCACTTGTACATATCTTTTCCAAGGTAGATTTACATCTCTTTCTAAGAACAAATAAATTTTAAAAAATTATACCTACTCAAATCTGCAATTTTACTTTGGAAAAGATTTATCATTAGTAAGTGAATTAGTAGGAACATGCATGAATTTCTGCCTTATGCAGTCTCTCTTTTTATCTCTCAGCTGGACTCCTGTAAGGAGTCAACTCTTTAGTTTCTTCTTCAAATTGCACACCCTCCCTCAAATTGCATACACCTCTGATTCATCCTTCATACTCCTGCCAGAAAAACCTTTCTAAAACACAAAACTATGCCTTCCTTATAGTTAAAGGCATTCTGTGGTTCTCTGTTATTTATATGACCAACTCCAGCTCCCTTGGAAGGGCATCATTGGCCTTCCTCAATCTGTTCCTGCTCTCCTCTGTGACTTTCCTTGCCAATTGCACCCAGCGAAAGTGAACTACTTGCAGAGCCCAAGTCATGCAAGGCCAGTGTGCATGTGCTATTCCTTCTATCTTTCCCTTTTATCTTCCTCAAAGACACTTTTTCATCCCTGATGACTTAGTTAAAGCTTTGCTTCCAGTATGAAGCTTTTCCTGACACTTCCTACTGCCCACACTGATAAAACTGAATATTCCTTCTTTGGATCCCAATTTATCCATTTCATCTTTCTATCACTGTACCTGTTAGGCTTATTATGTGTACTTATTTGTATACTATTTGATTACATATTTGTCTTTTTCCATTTAGTTCTAATAATATTTTTGGGTGCAGGTCCTATGTAACCTATTTATCTCTGTATTCTGGTTACCTAGTATGGCATCTGGTAGATAACTAGCACTTAAAGCATGATTTTGAAAAAAATGAATGTGTGAATGTCGAATATACATGGAAGAAGTCCAGAGTTCTATTAAAATGGTAATGAAGGAATAACTTTTCAATATGCTTCTGAAAGATGGGAAGGTCCTAGTCTAAAATAAATCCAAATTTATCTTGTTATATGCTCTCCTGAAATATTCCACAACTACTTACGTTTATCTTCATATAAAGTCTTAGATTTCAGGTAGACCTCAGAAGGATCCAATTTTGGGGATCCTGACCTGATAATGCTCGGTGGAAAAGGCATAGGCTGAGGAATAGGCTCATTTATGGCCTCCAAACTTCCTGCATTTTCCTTTTTATCTGTTTTCTGAAATGGAAAAGAGCCTTACTTAGTATTTTTTAAAAAGCAGATGGTTGATTAATTCATAAAACTGATATCTGAAATGGATATGTCAACTGATTATAGTTGTATAGGTGGCAGGATCAAAGACACAGCAGATTTACAGTTACAGGAATTCATTTTCATAGCAATGTGTATTTGGTTGAAACATATTTAACTTAAATTAGAAAAAAGTTTATAGTAATATCAACTGAAGAGCCTTAGTTAGTCCTATGTTTAAACAATTTTGCCCTTTTCTCCACCACCAAGACACAAATTGACTTTGAGATGAAGATAAATAGAAATACAATACAAGGCAGCACTTCTAAGTAAAGTAAGAGGGAGATTCAGAGAATATCTTCATAAAATTCTTAGCACGGCCCACCTCCCATTCACTGAGTTTAATTTCTAAGGAAGATGTTTAAGATAATACTCTTTCTAAGAAAACAGGAGAGGTTAACTCTAATTTAGGTTATAAAGATGGCACTGTGAAAACCCTGTCTGGCCAATTCACATATATTAAGAGAAAATGTACCATGCAAGACAATTAGATAAGGGAAAGCATAGTAGCATATTTTGATATTTTTCCTATTCAGCTAGAACTTTCCCAAGATAACAGCCAAGCAAAATGACTTATTTAATAAAATGTTAACAATGAAATCCAATAAATGGCCTAAGAAATATGGTTTTGAGACCAGCTCGTTTTCCTGGATTATTGTTAGGAGAGGGAGATTATGGATGTTTGTGATCATTAACAATGACTAGAATGCAGGGGCACCAGTCTGTCAGGGAGTAATCAGGGGTCAGCCACTACAAAGTGTCGTGCTAGAGGGGACCCTTCAATCACCCAGACCCAATGAGAAGGCAGAGAAGCTAACAGTAGTCTCCTACCCTTCCCCATACATCTTAGCATTCTGTCAGAGGCGGTTAAAGTTCATCAGACCCTTCCATCAATTATAAAGCATTAGGGCCACTGCGACTGCAGTGGCATCCATTATGAAATAAATATGGTGGCACAGGAGTTAAAAATGATTACTAGAGGAACCAGAGAAATGTAGAATACAGTGCAATTTGAACTGAATGGACAAAAACAATTTCTGTTCACACTGGACCCAAGTAGTATAAGCAGTCAATGAAAAGGGCAGAAGCTGGCCGGGCGCAGTGGCTCATGCCTGTAATCCCAGCACTTTGGGAGGCCGAGGTGGGCAGATCACCTGAGGTCAGGAATTTGAGACCAGCCTAGCCAATGTAGTGAAACTCCATCTCTACCAAAAATATAAAAATTAGCTGCGTGTGGTGGCGTGCACCTGTAATTCCAGCTACTGGGAGGCTAAGGCACAAGAATTGCTTGAACCTAGGCGGCAGAGGCTGCAGTGAGCCAAAATCACACCACTGCATTCCAGCCTGGGTGATGGAGTGAGACTCTGTCTCAAAAAAAAAAAAAAAAAAAAGGCCAGAAGCTGAGGGATTCTTTTTAATCTATAAAACAGCAAATTTGCAGAGGATTCCTACTTGGTGGGCTAGAAAGAACTAATTCATTTAATATAATTGTCTATAGTTTATGGTTATGGAAGGCCATCTTTTGATTTTGAGATAAAAGACTCCAAAGGAGCAAACTAGAACTAAATTAGAATTTTAAATAAAATTGTCTTTATATCCAAAACATTGTGGATATTTAAATAGCTACAAATGTGCACCTTGTAGAGTTTCTTCCACAACAGCAGCATTTGATGCACTCCTTTTTAAAGTTCTTATTCTCTGCACAGGTCCTTAAACAGGCTACGTGATTATTTAGAAGAATGCCAAAGAAGACACTGTTTCAGGTCTTTCACTTTGACAACAAGCAAATTTAGCATAGAAGGCCACAATTACTCTAGAAAGTCTTGTTTAGTCAGCCGGACGTGGTGTATCATGCCTGTAATCCCAGCACTTTGGGAGGCCGAGGCGGGCAGATCATGAGGTCAAGAGATTGAGACCATCCTAGCCAACATGGTGAAACCCTGTCTCTACTAAAAATACAAAAAAATTAGCTGGGTGTGGTGGCGTGCACCTGTAGTCCCAGCTACTTGGGAGGCTGAGGCAGGAGAATCGCTTGAACCCCGGAGGCGGAGGTTGCAGTGAGCCGAGATAGCGCCACTGCACTCCAGCCTGGGCGACAGAGCAAGACTCCGTCTCAAAAAATAAATAAATAAATAAAAAATAAATAATAAAAAAATAAGCCTAATTTAGTCTTAAAAGTAAGAAGATTATCTAAAGGTGCATGCATATTTATAGTCCCCACAAAATTATGTGAACTAGTACGTCTTCTCTTCAGGCAGGGGCAAGACGATGTAATAGTTTATCATCTGTCTTAACATTTAGGTCCTTCCTACCTTGTTTCTCTGAAACACAAAAGTAAAAAGACCTCTAGGTTGGTTCTTTAATGTGTTCACATTTTATAACTTAGAGAACAGGATTATTGGTACAATAGGCCTTTAGTAATCCTCCAGTTGCAATACTTAACCAGTGGAGCACATCTCCTCACTAGGGGGCTTTTTCAAACGCTTCCCTAGTTTCTAATAAATACAAGCCAAGGGCAGCATGCCTCCTAACTTCTCCCAGTCGATAATCATCACCACAGTGAGCTCCTCTTACAGAGGGGAATGTGGCATCTCTCTCAGTGTGTTGGGGAAAAGATTTGAGGACCAGTGTATACTCACCATTTTGGCAGTTTTGGTTGGTGAAGGAGGACCTTAAAAAAAAAATGAACCAAAGTTTAAAACCAGAGGATGCATTCCCAGATCACAAATACTGCTAATGTTTACGATAAAACTAGCTTCAACTTTTAGTACGCTAGTAAATTCTGTGTCTAACCTCCTATGTACCAGGCATTATACATATATTATCTCATTTCATTTTTATAACAATCTGAAGGCACAAATGTTATGACCATCTTACAGAGAAGGTAAACTAAGATTCTTTCCTATACCAAAGAACCAGTAAGTGGCAAGGCAGGAAACTGACATCAAACCTGTGTGACATTGAACTTTGGTGTCTTTGTTATACTTGTTGAAGCCCTGGATTACTCTCAAGCACTCACAAAGAGATTTCTACCTTACTTGGAGCACATTCCACCATCACTCAGAGAAGAAACCCATGTGAATCAAAGAAACGAGAATAAGAAACAACTCCCAAAGAAGCTGAAGTGCTCGTTTGCCTCAATAGTGAAAAGTAAAATCCAGAGAGATAAAAGAGTAAGTGGCTTTTATTCTTTAAGATACTAGTCACTTATAAGTATGGATTTAAGAAAGCATATTAAAATTCAACTTTGTGATTATTCCTTGGAACTGAATTTGTAAATGTCTGGGAGGAGTTCATGTCAGCTGATGACCTTGGAAAATAAAAATTATATTTCTCTCACATAAGCACTGTGTGGTTTAATTAACATTTACAGTCAGATACTAGAGCTTAAGATGAAAACTTTATGAGCACATGCTATCATGATTGCCTCTGCAGAACAGATTAATACACCATCCAACATTTTACTTATCCACAGAGATGCTAGCTCTTTCAAAACATCTTTGGTGCATTACAGAGGTCCAGATGACACACCATTGGTTGAAAGAGTCAATTTCTATTACTGTCATCAACAGAGAAATGAAATTAAGAGGATGTATTTCATTTGAAGTATCACAATGCTGTGACTCTCTCTAATCATTAAAGCCATGAATCAGATTTTCAAAAGAATACAGAGGGAAATAAATCCATAATGGACATGAATGAAATCACTAATAATTTTTTAAAAACTGCTGAAAAAGACACTGCTTATGGAAACAATCAGACAGAACCTTAAGGAAAATGCACACTAATTACTAGTTAAGTCTGCTGGGAAAACACATTCTAAACTGTAAGGAAAGACAATCAGTAGATATAAACGCTTGAACACTGAAACTTTTTCTATGTTGTGCTTTTACTTACCTCCTCTTAAGATAAGCAATGGTACATCAGCACCTACTGGAAACTGCTTTAGCACCTCTACCACTTGGAGATGTGTTAAATTCTGCACATTTTGATGGTATATTTCCTTAATTATATCTCCTTTCTGAAGGCCTTGACACCACTGACTATCCAGTATCATTTTCACCTTCTGTCCAGTAGGGCTGTCAGCAATTGCAAACCCAAACCCTTTAGGGCCCTTAATCAAAGGGATAGTCACTAGTTCAGGCTGGGAGCTGCCTGACGATGCCATGGATACTCTCTGCTCACTTGCATCTGATGGTCCATTGAGACCATCACCAGTCAAAGTGTGTCCCGATTTTCCATTCTGCTCCAGAACCATTGCTCCTGGCTTAAAATCCTGAGGATTCATGCAAGTCTCTCCCTTGGTTAATGACTGTCCATTGATGACAGGGGTAGCAGCAACAATGTCCACAACAGGATCTTCACTGTCATCAGGAAGTGGATAACCACGACATAAAGTGAGGTTTACATACTGATTGACAGGTACCAATTGAAACATCTGGACAACATCTGCATGAGTGTGACCGAGGACACAGTTGCCATTGATGTCTACAATAACATCGCCTGGAAAAACATAATCATGTTAAAAATATTAAAATCAACAAATAAGTTAATTTTTTTGCTAGAGGGGCAAAAATAACTACAATTTAGCAACTAAATTTGAATTTTGGAAACCTCTATTAACTGCTGAAAAGATAGATTTCTAACACAGACCTTCTCCCTTTTCTAACTCCTCTCTAAAATGTATGTATAAATGTCTAAAATCCTACTTATTTCAGTAGCAAAGAATTTTGACTTCAAGCTCAAGTGAATCATTAAAAAAAAAACCCTGATAATTTATATTATCATTGTTAGTATACCCTCTGAGTCATATCTAAGTATCCATGCAAAGCTAGGCACATTGCAGTAGGTATTTAGTACAGAAGCAAATAACTCCACTGACTACTTGTACAAACTGTATTATATTTTTTGAATAAATTAATTTTATTTATATATCTGTATGTATGTATATATACATACACTGAAAAAGACGCTGTCCTTAACCAAACTCTAGACAGGTTCCTCTGAGCTCTTTTTTCAGTAGGCCTCATCCTTGGCATGTCCTCCAGAGCCCAGCTTTAGCAGGAATCCTGCTAAGTTGGTTTAGCCAGAATCACCCACTCTTGATATATGATCTAAGTCCTCATTCCCCACCATTCTCCAGGTGATTACCTGATCACCTCAGCCTGCATTCAGCAAGAATCCTGTCAAGTTCCTATAGCCCCTATAGCCAGAAATCCTCCTCCACCCCTGATATATATATAGATTTATATATATCTCATATATATTTATATATCATATATATAATATATATCTCATATATATTTATATATCATATATATAATATATATCTCATATATATTATATATATCATATATAATATATCATATATATTATATATATCATATATATTATATATCATATATATTATATATATCATATATAGTGTATATATATTATATATCATATATATATTTAATATTATATATATTTATATATATGATATATAAAATATATCATATATAAATATATATATATTTAAATTTTACTTTAAGTTCCAGGATGCAAGTGCAGAATATGTAGATTTGTTACATAGGTATAAGTGTGCCATGGTGGTTTGCTACACCTATCAACCCGTCATCTAGGTTTTAAGCCCCACATGCATTAGTTATTTGTCCTAATGCTCTCCCTCTCCTCGTCCCCCAACCCCCGACTGGCCCTGGTGTTTGTTGTTCACGGCCCTGTGTCCATGTGTTCTCATTGTTCAACTCCCACTTATAAGAACATGCAGCGTTTGGTTTTCCGTTTCTGTGTTAGTTTACTGAGGATGATGGCTTCCAGCTTCATCTATGTCCCTGCAAAGGACATGATCTCATTCCTTTTTATGGCTGCATAGTATTCCATAGTGTATATATACCACATTTTCCTTATGCAATCTATCATTGATGGGCATTTGGGTTGGTTCCTGTCTTTGCTATTGTAAATAGTGCTGCAATAAACATACGTGTGCATGTGTCTTTATAGTAGAATGATTTATATTCCTTTGGGTATATATCCAGTAATGGGATTGCTGGATCAAATGGTATTTCTGGTTCAAGATCCTTAAGGAATTGCTACACTGTCTTCCACATTAATTGAACTAATTTATACTCCCACCAATAGTGTAAAAGCGTTCCTGTTTCTCCACAGCCTTGCCAGCATCTATTGTTTCTTGATTTTTTAATAATCACCATTCTGACTGGCGTAAGATGATATCTCACTGTCATTTTGATTTGCATTTCTTTAATAATCAGCGATGTTGAGCTTTTTTTCATATGCTTGTTAGCCACATAATTGTCTTTTTTTGAGAAGTATCTGTTCATATCCTTTGTCCACTTTTTGACAGGGTCAGTCTATCTTTAAATACCACCTTATTTCTTGAGTTTAAGAAGCCACTGGCTGGGCGTGGTGGCTCAGGCCAGGCGCAGCGGCTCATGCCTGTAATCCCAGTACACCTGAGGTCAGGAATTCGACACCAGCCTGGCTAACATGGCGAAACCCCATCTCTACTAAAATACAAAAAAATTAGGCCAGACGCGGTGGCTCACGCCTGTAATCCCCGCACTTTGGGAGGCTGAGGCAGGTGGATCACCTGAGGTCAGGAGTTCAAGACCAGCCTGGCCAACATGATGAAACCCTGTCTCCACTAAAAATACAAAAAATTAGCTGGGTGTGGTGGTATGTGCTATAATCCCAGCTACTCAGGAGGCTGAGGCAGGAGAATTGCTTGAACCCAGGAGGCAGAGGTTGCAGTAAGCCGAGGTCGCAGCACTGCACTCCAGCCTGGGCAACAAGAGTAAAACTCCATCTCAAAAAAAGAAAAAAAATTAGCCAGGCATGGTGGCGTGCGCCTGTAATCCCAGGTACTTAGGAAGCTGAGGCAGGAGAATCACTTGAACGCAGGAGGCGGAGGTTGCAATGAGCCGAGATTCTGCCATCGCACTCCAGCCTGGATGACAAGAGTGAGATTTGGTCTCAAACAAACGAACAAACAAACAAAAAAACTAAACAGGTGGGAGCCGAGATGGCCGAATAGGAACAGCTCCGGTCTACAGTTCCCAGCGTGAGCGACGCAGAAGATGGGTGATTTCTGCATTTCCATCTGAGGTACCGGGTTCATCTCACTAGGGAGTGCCAGACAGTGGGTGCAGGATAGTGGGTGCAGCGCACCGTGTGCGAGCTGAAGCAGGGCGAGGCATTGCCTCACTCGGGAAGTGCAAGGGGTCAGGGAGTTCCCTTTCCTAGTCAAAGAAAGGGGTGACAGACGGCACCTGGAAAATTGGGTCACTCCCACCCGAATACTGCGCTTTTCTGATGGGCTTAAAAAACGGCGCACCAGGAGATTATATGCCGCACCTGGCTCGGAGGGTCCTACGCCCACGGAGTCTCACTGATTGCTAGCACAGCAGTCTGAGATCAAACTGCAAGGCGGCAGTGAGGCTGGGGGAGGGGCGCCCGCCATTGCCCAGGCTTGCTTAGGTAAACAAAGCAGCCGGGAAGCTCGAACTGGGTGGAGCCCACCACAGCTCAAGGAGGCCTGCCTGCCTCTGTAGGCTCCACCTCTGGGGGCGGGGCACAGACAAACAAAAAGACAGCAGTAACCTCTGCAGACTTAAATGTCCCTGTCTGACAGCTTTGAGGAGAGCAGTGGTTCTCCTAGCACGCAGCTGGAGATCTGAGAACAGGCAGACTGCCTCCTCAAGTGGGTCCCTGACCCCTGACCCCTGAGCAGCCTAACTGGGAGGCACCCCCCAGTAGGGGCAGACTGACACCTCACATGACCGGGTACTCCTCTGAGAAAAAACTTCCAGAGGAACGATCAGACAGCAGCATTCACGGTTCACGAAAATCCGCTGCTGTGCAGCTACCGCTGCTGGTACCCGGGCAAACAGGGTAGGGAGTGGACCTCTAGCAAACTCCAACAGACTTGCAGCTGAGGGTCCTGTCTGTTAGAAGGAAAACTAACAAACAGAAAGGACATCCACACCAAAAACCCATCTGTACATCACCATCATCAAAGAACAAAAGAAGATAAAACCACAAAGAGGGGGAAAGAACAGAGCAGAAAAACTGGAAACTCTAAAAAGCAGAGCGCCTCTCCTCTTCCAAAGGAACGCAGTTCCTCACCAGCAACGGAACAAAGCTGGATGGAGAATGACTTTGACGAGTTGAGAGAAGAAGGCTTCAGACGATCAAACTACTCCGAGCTACAGGAAGAAATTCAAATCAAAGGCAAAGAAGTTAAAAACTTTGAAAAAAATTTAGACGAATGTATAACTAGAATAACCAATACAGAGAAGTGCTTAAAGGAGCTGATGGAGCTGAAAGCCAAGGCTCGAGAACTACGTGAGGAATGCAGAAGCCTCAGGAGCCGATGCGATCAACTGAAAGAAAGGGTATCAGTGATGGAAGATGAAATGAATGAAATGAAGCGAGAAGGGAAGTTTAGAGAAAAAAGAATAAAAAGAAATGAACAAAGCCTCCAAGAAATATGGGACTATGTGAAAAGACCAAATCTACATCTGATTGGTGTACCTGAAAGTGATGGGGAGAATGGAACCAAGTTGGAAAACACTCCGCAGGATATTATCCAGCAGAACTTCCCCAACCTAGCAAGGCAGGCCAACATTCAAATTCAGGAAATACAGAGAATGCCACAAAGATACTCCTCGAGAAGAGCAACTCCAAGACACATAACTGTCAGATTCACCAAAGTTGAAATGAAGGAAAAAATGTTAAGGGCAGCCAGAGAGAAAGGTCGGGTTACCCACAAAGGGAAGCCCATCAGACTAACAGTGGATCTCTTGGCAGAAACTCTACAAGCCAGAAGAGAGTGGGGGCCGATATTCAACATTCTTAAAGAAAAGAATTATCAACCCAGAACTTCATATCCAGCCAAACTAAACTTCATAAGTGAAGGAGAAATAAAATCCTTTACAGACAAGCAAATGCTGAGAGATTTTGTCACAACCAGGCCTGCCCTAAAAGAGCTCCTGAAGGAAGCACTAAACATGGAAAGGAACAACTGGTACCAGCCACTGCAAAATCATGCCAAATTGTAAAGACCATCGAGGCTAGGAAGAAACTGCATCAACTAACGAGCAAAATAACCAGCGAACATCATAATGACAGGATCAAATTCACACATAATAATATCAACTTTAAATGTAAATGGACTAAATGCTCCAATTAAAAGACACAGACTGGCAAATTGGATAAAGAGTCAAGACCCATCAGTGTGCTGTATTCAGGAAACCCATCTCACGTGCAGAGACACACATAGACTCAAAATAAAAGGATGGAGGAAGATCTACCAAGTAAATGGAAAACAAAAAAAAGACAAGGGTTGCAATCCTAGTCTCTGATAAAACAGACTTTAAACCAACAAAGATCAAAAGAGACAAAGAAGGCCATTACATAATGGTAAAGGGATCAATTCAACAAGAAGAGCAAACTATCCTAAATATATATGCACCCAATACAGGAGCACCCAGATTCATAAAGCAAGTCCTGAGTGACCTACAAAGAGATTTAGACTCCCACACAATAATAATGGGAGACTTTAACACCCCACTGTCAACATTAGACAGATCAACGAGACAGAAAGTCAACAAGGATATCCAGGAATTGAACTCAGCTCTGCACCAAGCAGACCTAATAGACATCTACAGAACTCTCCACCCCAAATCAACAGAATATACATTTTTTCCAGCACCACACCACACCTATTCCAAAATTGACCACATAGTTGGAAGTAAAGCTCTCCTCAGCAAATGTAAAAGAACAGAAATTATAACAAACTGTCTCTCAGACCACAGTGCAATCAAACTAGAACTCAGGATTAAGAAACTCACTCAAAACCGCTCAACTACATGGAAACTGAACAACGTGCTCCTGAATGACTACTGGGTACATAACGAAATGAAGACAGAAATAAAGATGTTCTTTGAAACCAACAAGAAGAAAGACACAACATACCAGAATCTCTGGGACACATTCAAAGCAGTGTGTAGAGGGAAATTTATAGCATGAAATGCCCACAAAAGAAAGCAGGAAAGATCCAAAATTGACACCCTAACATCACAATTAAAAGAACTAGAAAAGCAAGAGCAAACACATTCAAAAGCTAGCAGAAGGCAAGAAATAACTAAAATCAGAACAGAACTGAAGGAAATAGAGACACAAAAAACCCTTCAAAAAATTAATGAATCCAGGAGCTGGTTTTTTGAAAGGATCAACAAAATTGATCGACCACTAGCAAGACTAATAAAGAAGAAAAGAGAGAAGAATCAAATAGATGCAATAAAAAATGATAAAAGGGGATATCACCACCGATCCCACAGAAATACAAACTACCATCAGAGAATACTACAAACACCTCTACGCAAATAAACTAGAAAATCTAGAAGAAATGGATACATTCCTCGACACATACACCCTCCCAAGACTAAACCAGGAAGAAGTTGAATCTCTGAATAGACGAATAACAGGCTCTGAAATTGTGGCAATAATCAATAGCTTACCAACCAAAAAGAGTCCAGGACCAGATGGATTCACAGCCGAATTCTACCAGAGGTACAAGGAGGAACTGGTACCATTCCTTCTGAAACTATTCCAATCAATAGAAAAAGAGGGAATCCTCCCTAACTCATTTTATGAGGCCAGCATCATCCTGACACCAAAGCTGGGCAGAGACACAACCAAAAAAGAGAATTTTAGACCAATATCCTTGATGAACATTGATGCAAAAATCCTCAATAAAATACTGGCAAACCGAATCCAGCAGCACATCAAAAAGCTTATCCACCATGATCAAGTGGGCTTCATCCCTGGGATGCAAGACTGGTTCAATATACGCAAATCAGTAAATGTAATCCAGCATATAAACAGAACCAAAGACAAAAACCACATGGTTATCTCAATAGATGCAGAAAAGGCCTTTGACAAAATTCAACAACGCTTCATGCTAAAAACTCTCAATAAATTAGGTATTGATGGGACGTATCTCAAAATAATAAGAGCTATCTATGACAAACCCACAGCCAATATCATACTGAATGGGCAAAAACTGGAAGCATTCCCTTTGAAAACTCGCCAAGACAGGGATGCCCTCTCTCACCACTCCTATTCAACATAGTGTTGGAAGTTCTGGCCAGGGCAGTTAGGCAGGAGAAGGAAATAAAGGGTATTCAATTAGGAAAAGAGGAACTCAAATTGTCCCTGTTTGCAGATGACATGATTGTATATCTAGAAAACCCCATTGTCTCAGCCCAAAATCTCCTTAAGCTGATAAGCCAAAAGTCTCAGGATACAAAATCAATGTATAAAAATCACAAGCATTCTTATACACCAATAACAGACAAACAGAGAGCCAAATCATGAGTGAACTCCCATTCACAATTGCTTCAAAGAGAATAAAATACCTAGGAATCCAACTTACAAGGGACGTGAAGGACCTCTTCAAGGAGAACTACAAACCACTGCTCAATGAAATAAAAGAGGATACAAAGAAATGGAAGAACATTCCATGCTCATGGGTAGGAAGAATCAATATCGTGAAAATGGCCATATTGACCAAGGTAATTTATAGATTCAATGCCATCCCCATCAAGCTACCAATGACTTTCTTCACAGAATTGGAAAAAACTACTTTAAAGTTCATATGGAACCAAAAAAAAGCCCACATTGCCAAGTCAATCCTAAGCCAAAAGAACAAAGCTGGAGGCATTACACTACCTGACTTCAACCTACTACAAGGCTACAGTAACCAAAACAGCATGGTACTGGTACCAAAACAGAGATATAGATCAATGGAACAGAACAGAGCCCTCAGAAATAACGCCGCACATCTACAACTATCTGATCTTCGACAAACCTGAGAAAAACAAGCAATGGGGAAAGGATTCCCTATGTAATAAATGGTGCTGGGAAAACTGGCTAGCCATATGTAGAAAGCTGAAACTGGATCCCTTCCTTACACCTTATACAAAAATTAATTCAAGATGGATTAGACTTAAACGTTAGACCTAAAACCATAAAAACCCTAGAAGAAAACCTAGGCATTACCATTCAGGACATAGGCATGGGCAAGGACTTCATGTCTAAAACACCAAAAGCAATGGCAACAAAAGCCAAAATTGACAAATGGGATCTAATTAAACTAAAGAGCTTCTGCACAGCAAAAGAAACTACCATCAGAGTGAACAGGCAGCCTACAAAATGGGAGAAAATTTTTGCAATCTACTCATCTGACGAAGGGCTAATATCCAGAATCTACAATGAACTCAAACAAATTTACAAGACAAAAACAAACAACCCCATCAAAAAGTGGGCGAAGGACATGAACAGACACTTCTCAAAAGAAGACATTTATGCAGCCAAAAAACACATGAAAAAATGCTCACCATCACTGGCCATCAGAGAAATGCAAATCAAAACCACAATGAGATACCATCTCACACCAGTTAGAATGGTGATCATTAAAAAGTCAGGAAACAACAGGTGCTGGAGAGGATGTGGAGAAATAGGACCACTTTTACACCATTGGTGGGACTGTAAACTAGTTCAACCCTTGTGGAAGTCAGTGTGGTGATTCCTCAGGGATCTAGAACTAGAAATACCATTTGACCCAGCCATCCCATTACTGGGTATATACCCAAAGGACTATAGATCATGCTGCTATAAAGACACATGCACAAGTATGTTTATTGTGGCACTATTCACAATAGCAAAGACTTGGAACCAACCCAAATGTCCAACAATGATAGACTGGATTAAGAAAATGTGGCACATATACACCGTGGAATACTATGCAGCCATAAAAAATGATGAGTTCGGCTGGGCGCGGTGGCTCACGCCTGTAATCCCAGCACTTTGGGAGGCCGAGGCGGGCGGATCACGAGGTCAGGAGATCGAGACCATCCCGGCTAAAACGGTGAAACCCCGTCTCTACTAAAAATACAAAAAATTAGCCGGGCGTAGTGGCAGGCGCCTGTAGTCCCAGCTACTTGGGAGGCTGAGGCAGGAGAATGGCGTGAACCCGGGAGGCGGAGCTTGCAGTAACCCTAGATCCCGCCACTGCACTCCAGCCTGGGCGACAGAGCGAGACTCCGTCTCAAAAAAAAAAAAAAAAAAAAAAAAAAAAAAAAAAAAAAAAATGATGAGTTCATGTCCTTTGTAGGGACATGGATGAAATTGGAAATCATCATGCTCAGTAAAATATCACAAGAACAAAAAACCAAACACTGCATATTCTCACTCATAGGTGGGAAGTGAAGAATGAGAACACATGGACACAGGAAGGGGAACATCACACTCTGGGGACTGCTGTGGGGTGGGGGGAGGGGGGAGGGATAGCATTAGGAGATATACCTAATGCTAAATGACGAGTTAATGGGTGCAGCACACCAGCATGTCACATGTATACATATGTAACTAACCTGCACATTGTGTACATGTACTCTAAAACTTAAAGTATAATAATAATAAAAAAAAAACTAAAAAACTAAACAAAACAAAAGCCATTGCTAACAATGTACTTTAAAAATTCATTCTAGTTTGACAAATTTTGAACTGAAGATTAGAATGATGTTAATTTATGAGTGTATTTTCTTGTAGTATCCTTCTTTTTCCAGCAATTTTGAATTTGATGTATAAATCAGATTTCAAAAGGTGAAACAAGCAACAAAAAATTCAACAGAAGCAAACAATGCATTATTGAAGACACTGACAAGGCAGCTTAATAAATCCCTCTAAAAGTTGGTTTTGCTTTCCTGATTTGACATTAGTAAGACTATTTTGGTTGTAGAATCATTACCAGTTGACGGTCATCAGTTGGGTATTTTTTAATACAGTCTTGACTTAAAATTTGGCCCCTGTTGTCTCATCAATTAGCTTTTATTTGAATATGATTATTTAAAAGGTTATTGCCAAACAAAGGTGCTTTAATTTGTTCTGATGGCTTTTAAAAAACTCAATCTGGTATTAAAGCTCCCAGAATTTTCACGGAAATATTGTATTGCCATGCAAATTAGATAAGCATATTAGGCAAATATGAAACTACATTTTGAAATCCTGACAGCATACACAATAGCTAAGACATGTGTTTCATGGATAAAATGTTGAAAAGGTCAAAACTGAAAACAAAAGAACCTTACTATTAATTTTAATCTCTAAAGTTTGTTAACTTTATAAAGTAATAAAGTAGAAAAAAATAATTTTCTTTACAAGTATAACTTGATTATTTTAAGTTTTCCTGTTTTAAGTTTTTGTTACCTCAATGGGAAAGCATAATATGAGAGATCAAAAAATACTATGACAATTCAACCATCTGAATGTTGGTCCATATTTTCACGGTATGTGAAATAACAGAGGATTAGAAAAGTCTAGCAAACACTGCAAAAAGCAACCTCAGTATTAATACTAAAATCTTTCTGGAAAACAATACTTAAACTTCCCCCCGCAATCAGAAACTAGTCTTCAACCTTCTCCAAGTTCCTGAACCACAAACACTCCCAGCCATATTAAAATATCCAGCAATTACCAAGTAAAGGCTTTAGGAAACTATAGAAAAGACAAGTTTACACTACTTTGTAAAAATGGTAATGTTATGTCTACAATTCTTAACATAGGAGTTCAATTTAATAACCAGTAAGATTAAGGAAGCAAACAAACTTGGGAAAAACGGCAAGATTTAATAATTTGATACCATGATAAACACCACACAGGACCTTTTTTTCAAATAAGGTTATAGGTAAATGTTTGCTCCAAAAGTATCCTTTATAATTCAAGAAAATCAAACAAATATTTTTCTGAGATGATTAATAAATCTTTAGTTTTATACAGCAAAAGGATTATCTCAAAGTTATATAAAATATTTCAAAATATTAATAAATTTAATGTTTTCTCCAACAGTTTTCACCTGTTTGTAAAATGGCCCACCATCAAAGATAATATGCATTTAGTTTAGAGGATAGATGGTGACGGAGGGCAGAGCAAAGTGGCGGGATAGAAGCCTACACTACTCATCCCCCTACCCCCACAGAAACACCAAATTTTAACAACTAACTACACACTAAAAGTACCGTTACAAGAGACAAAAAGCAGGTGAGCAATCATAGTGCCTGGTTTGGACTTCATATCACTGAAAGAGACACTGAAGAAGATAGGAAAGGCAGTCTGGAATTGCCAGTGCTACCACTCCCCCATCCTCCCTGCACTGGTGGTGAGAATTTGCATGCTTGGGAGAGGGTGAGCACAGCGATTGTCAGGATTTGCATTGAACTCAGTGCTCCCCTGTCACAAGGGAAAGCAGAACCAGGCTGTACTCAGCTGACATATGCCAACAAAGGGAGCATTTGGGTCGACCCTAGCCATAGGGGAATTGCCCATTCCAGTGATTGGAGACTGAGTTCCAGCAAGCCTCACCACTGGGGGCTGGAGTGCTCTGGGCCCCGAGTGAAATGAGTGGCAGTCTAGGCCACAAGGACTGCAATTCCTAGACAAGTCCTAGTGCTGAGCTGGGATCAGAGACACCTGACTGCAACCTACGAGACACCAGCCAGGGCAGCTAAGGGAGTGCTTACGCCACCTCTCCCTTAGCTCCCGGTAGCAGCCACCTGGTATGGAGAAATCTGTGTGATTGTGAGAGGGGGAGCACAGTGGCTGATGGACTTTTCATTGAACTCAGTGCTGCCCTGTCACAGCAGAGACCTGGCAGGTTTCATCACCTGCCTGCTCAAGAGCCCCTGGGCCCTGAATAACCAATAGCAATACCCAGGTAATAAATACACCACGGATACTGGGCTCTGAGACATGCTGGCTTTAGGCGTGACCCAGCACATTCCCTGCTGTGGTAACTATGGTGAAAGACTGCTGCTTGAGAAAAGTAGGGGGAAAGGTAAAGGTGACTGTGTCGTGCAGCTTAGGTACCAGCTCAGCCACAGTAGGGTAGAGCACCACGCAGGCTCTCGGGGTCCCTGAGTCCAGGCCTAGGCTCTTGGTCAGCATTTCTGGACCTAGTCTGGATCAGAGGAGAGCCCACTGTCCTGAAGGGTGAGTCCCAGGCCTGACAGCATTCATCACAAGCTGACTGAAGAGCCTTTGTGCTTTAGGTGAGCATTAGCAGTGGCCTGGCAACACCCCCACACACCCACATGGGCCAGTGTTGGTGGCCACAGGGAGAGGTTTCTCTGTCTGTGGAAGGTGAAGAATGGGAAGAATTCTGTCTGTCTTGTGGTTTGAATGCCAGCTTAGCCAGAATAGAATAGAATACCAGGTAAATTTCTAAGGTTTTTGACTTCAATCCCTAGCTCCCAGACGATATCTCTGAATCCACTCGCGGCTTGGGGAAACTCACCATCCTGAAGAGAGGGACACGAACCTAGCTCACTTTGCCACCTGCTGATCATAGGGCTCCAGGGCCTTGAGTTAATTTAAGTGGCAGCCAGGTAGTGGTTACAGCTGGCTGTGGGCAAGATCCAGTGCTGTGCTGGTTTCATGTCTCACCCAGCGCAGTCCCAGTGGTGGTGGCCACAGGGATGTTTATGTCCCCCAACCCCCAGTTCCAAGAGGCTCAGCACAGAGAGAGAGAAAGAGAGAGACAGAGAGTGAGGGAGGGAGGGAGGGAGGGAGGGAGAGAGAGAGAGAGAGAGAGAGAGAGAGAGAGGGAGACTGACTTTGTTTGTTTGGAAGAATGTAAGGGAAAAGAACAAGAGTCTCTGCCTATTAATCCAGATAATTCTTCTGAATCGTATCCAAGAATACCAAGGTGGTACTTATTGTTATTGGGTTTAGGACCTAGGTCCCTTCGAATACCTGGAAAGCCTTCCCAAGGATGGGCACAAAGAAACCCAGCCTGCAAAAACTACAATAAATGCCTAACTCTTCAATGCCCAGACACCAACAAACATCTATAAGGATCAAGACCATCCAGGAAAACATGACCTCACCAAATGAACTAAATAAGGCACTAGGGACCAATCCTGGAGAAACAGAGATATGTGACCTTTCAGATAGAAAATTAAAAATAGTTGTTTTGAGAAAACAACAACAAAAAATCAAGATAACAGAGAGAAGAAATGCAGAATCCTGTCACATAAATTTAACAGAGACTGAAATAATTAAAAAGAATCAAACAGAAATCTAGAGTTGAAAAATACAACTGACATGCTAAACAATGCATCAGAGTCTCTTAACAGCAGAATCGATCAAGTAGAAGAAATAATTAGTGAGCTTGAAGACAGCCTATTTGAAAATACACAGTCAGAGGAGACAAAAAAAAACAAGAATAAAGAACAATAAAGCACACCTACAGTATCTAGAAAACAGCCTCAAAAGGGCAATTCTAAGAGTTATTGGCCCAAAAGAGGAGGTACAGAAAAAATGAGGTAAAAAGTTTATTCAAAGGGATAATATCAGAGAACTTCCCAAACCTAGAGAAAGATACCAATATTCAAGCACATGAAGGTTATAGAGCACCAAGCAGATTTAACCCAAAGGAGACTACCTCATGGCATTTAAAAATCAAACTCCCAAAGGTCAAAGATAAAGAAAGGATCCTAAGAGCAGCAAGAGAAAAGAAACAAGTAACATACAAAGGAGCTCCAATATGTCTAACAGCAGACTTTCCAGTGGAAACCTTACAGGGCAGGAGAGAGTGGCATGACATATTTAAAGTGCTTAGGAAAAAAACCTTTTACTCTATAATAGTGTATCTGGCAAAAATATCCTGTAAGCATGAAGGAGAAATAAAGACCTTCCAGACAACAAAAGCTAAGGGATTTCGTGAACACTAGATCTCTCCTACAAGAAATGCTAAAGGGGGTTCTTCAATGCGAAAGAAAAGGACATTAACGAGCAATAAGAAATCATCTGAAGGTACAAAACTCACTGGTAATAGCACACAGAAAAACATAGAATATTAAACTGTAATTGTGGTGGGTAACATACTCTTAGGTAGAAAGACTAAACAATGAACCAATCAAAATAATAACTAGAACAAATCTTCAAGACAAAGTACAATAAGACATAAAGAGAAATAACAAAAAATTTAAAAGGAAGGGATGAAGTTAAATTGTACAGTTTTTATTCATTTTCTTTTTGCTTGTTTGCTTCTTTGTTTATACAATCAGTGTTAATTTGTCCTCAGTTTATAATTATGAGTTATAATATAGTATTTTCTAGCGTCCTGGTAAACTCAAATAAAAAAATACAATGGATACACAAGAAAATAAAAAGCAAGAAATTAAATCATACCACAGATAAAATCACCTTCACTAAAAGGAAGGAAGGAAATAAGGAAGAGACAATCACAAAACAACCAGAAAACAAATAACAAAATGGCAGGAGTAAGTCCTTACTGATCATTAATAACACTCAATCCATATGGACTAAACTCTCCAATCAAAAGACATAGAGAAGATGAGTGAATAAAAAAAGCAAGACCTGATGATCTATTGCCTAGAAGAAACATATGTCACCTGTAAAGGTACACATAGAATGGAAATAAAGGACTGGAAAAAGACATTCCATGCCAGTGAAAACCAAAAAACAGTAGCAGTAGCTACATTTATATCAGACAAAATAGATTATAAGACAAAAACTGCAAGAAGAGACAAAAAGGTCATTATATAATAATAAAGGGGTCAATTCAGCAAGAGGATATAACAATTGTAAATGTATATGCATCCAACACTGGAGTACCCAGACACATAAAGCAAGTGTTACTTGCTTTACTAGAGCTAAAGAGAGAGGTATTTTATCATATATTACAATTATATATTTTATATATATAATTATTATATAATATATGATATATATTATTAGAGCTAAGGAGAGAGAAATAGACCTCAATACAATAATAGCAGGAGACTTCAACATCCCACTTTCAGCATTAGATCTTCCAGACAGAAAATCAACAAGGAAACATCAGACCTAATCTGCACTATAGACTACATGGACCTAATAGATATTTACAGAACATTTCATCCAATGGCTGCAGAATATATATTCTCCTCAGCACGGCATCATTCAAGGATAGACCATATGTTAGGTTACAGAACAAGTCTTAAAACATTCCAAAAAATTAAAATTATATCAAGTATCTTCTCAACTGCTATGGAATAAAATCAGAAATTAATAACAAGGGGAATTTTGGAAACTATACAAACCCATGGAAATTAAACAATAGGTTCCTGAATGACCAGTGAGTCAATAAAGGAATTAAGAAGGAAATTGGAAAAATTTCTTGAAACAAATAATAATGGAAACAAAACACACCAAAACCTATGGGATACAGCAAAAGCAGTACTAAGAGGGAAATTTATAGCTATAAGTGCCTATATATATAAAAAAAGAAAAACTTCAAATAAATAACCTCATGATGCATCTTGAAGAACTAGAAAAGAGAAAACTAAGCTCTAGATTAATAGAAGAAAAGCAGAAAGAGTAGAAATAAATGAATTTGAAATGAAGAAAACAACACAAAAGATCAAAGAAACAAAAAGTTGGTTTTTTGAAAAGATACAATTAACAAACCTTAGACTAACAGAAAAAAAGAGGTAAGATCCAAGTAAATAAAATCAGAGATGAAACAGGAGACATTACAACTGATACTGCAGAAATTCAAAGGATTGTTAGAGACTATTATGAGCAACTATATGCCAACAAATTGGAAAACCTAGAAGAAATGGATAAATTCCTAGACACACACAACTTACCAAGATCAAACCACAAAGAAATCTAAAACCTGAACAGACCAATGACAAGCAACAAGATTGAAGCCATAATAGTCTCCCAGTAAAGTAAAGCCCAGGATCTGATGGCTTTACTGCTGAATTCTACCAAGCATTTAAAGGAGTAATACAATTCCTACTCAAACTATTCTGAAAAATAGAGGGAAGAATAATTCCAAACTCATTCTGTGATGCCAGTATTACCCTGATATCCAAATCAAAGACATATCAAAAAAAAGAAAACTACAGGCCAGTATTTCTGATAAGTACTGATGTAAAACTCCTCAACAAAATATTAGCAAGTAAAATTTGACAATACATTAAAAAGAACATTCATCATGACCAAGTGGGATTTATCCCAGGAATGCAAGGATGGTACAATATATGCAAATAATCAGTGTGATACATGGTATCAACAGAATGAAGGATAAAAACTATAATCATTTGAAGCAGATGGATCACCTGAGGTCAAGAATTCGAGACCAGCCTAGCTAACATGGTGAAACCCCATCTCTACTAAAAATATAAAATTAGCCAGGCGTGCTGGTGAGTGCCTGTAATCCCAGCTACTCTGGAGGCTGAAGCAGGAGAATCACTTGAACCCAGGAGGTGGGGGTTGCAGTGAGCTGAGATCATGCCACTGCCCTCCAGCCTGGGTGACAGAGACTCAGTCTAAAAAACAAAACAAAACAAAACAAAAACAAAAAAACTATAATAATTTCAACTGATGCTGAAAAAATTTAATAAAATTCAACACCCCTTTATGATAAAACCCTAAAAAAACTGGTTATATAAGAAACATACCTCAATATAATAAAAGCCATATATACAACAGAGCCACAGCTAGTATCACACTGAATGAGGGAAAAACTGAAAGTCCTTCCTCTGAGATCTGGAAAATGAAGATGCCCACTTTCACCACTGTTACTCAACACAGGACTGGAAGTTCTAGCTAAAGCAATCAGCAGGAGAAAGAAATAACAGGCATACAAATTGGAAAGGGAGAAGTCAAATTATCCTTGTTTGCAGATGATGGGATCTTATATTTGGAAAAACTTAACAACTCCACAAATAAAAAAACTATTAGAACTGATAAATTCAGTAAAGTTGCAGGATACAAAAGCGACATACAAAAATCAGTAGCCTTTCTATATGCCAGTGAACAATCTGAAAAAGAAATAAAAAAGTAATCCTATTCACAATAGCCACAAATAAGATTAAATACCTAGGAATTAACTTAACCAAAGAAGCGAAAGATCTCTGCATTAAAAATTATAAAATGCTGATGCAAGAAACTGAAGAGGACACAAAAAATGAAAAGATATTTCATGTTCATAGTTGGAAGAATCAATATTCTTTTCAATACTACCCAAACCAATCTATAGATTCAATGCAATCTCTATCAAATCTCTATCAAAATACCAATGACATTCTTCACAGAAATAGAAAAAACAATTCTGAAATTTATATGGAACCACAAAAGACCCAGAATAGCCAAAGCTAGCCTGAGGAAAAAGAACACAACTGGAGGAATCACATTACCTGACTTCAAATTATACTACAGAGCTATAGTAACTAAAGGAAGATGGTATTGGCATAAAAACAGACACATAGACCAGTGGAACAGAATAGAAAAATCCATACACCTACAATGAACTCATTTTCAAGAAAGGTGCCAAGAACATACATTGGAGAAGATAGTCTCTTCAATGGTTCTAGGAAAATTGGATATCCACATGTAGAAGAATGAAACTTGACTTCTATCTCTCGCTGTATACAAAAATCAAATCAAGGTGAATTAAAGACTTAAATCTAAGACTTCAAACTGTAAAACTAAAAAAAGAAAACATTGGGGAAACTCTCCAGGACATTGGTCTGGGCAAAAATTTCTTCAGTGATACTCCACAAGCCTAGGCAACTAAAGCAAAAATGGACAAATGGGATCACATTAAGTTAAAAAGCTTCTGCATAGCAAAGGAAACAATCAGTCAAGTGAAGAGACAGCCCACAGAATGGGAGAAAATCTTTGCAAACTATCCATCTCACAAGAGATTAATAACCAGAATATATAAGGAGCTCAAACAACTCTATAGGAAAAATCTAATAATCTGATTAAAAAATGGGCAAAACATTGGAATAGACATTTCTCATGAAGAAGACATAGAAGACATAGAAACAGCAATATGAATAAGTGCTCAGGTCATTGATCATCAGATAAATACAAATCAAAAGCACAATGAGGTATCTTCTTGCCCTGGTTAAAAATGGCTTTTATCCAAAAGACAGGCAATAACAAATGCTGGAGAGGGTGTGGTGAAAAGGGAACCCTCATACACTGTTGCTGGGAATGTAAATTTGCACAACCACTATGGAAAACAATTTGGAGGATTCTCAAAACACTAAAAATAGAGATACCATACGATCTAGCAATCCCACTGCTGAGTATATACCCACAAGAAAGGAAATCAGTATATTGAAGAGATATCTGCACTCCCATGTTTGTTACAGCACTTTTCACAATAGCCAAGATTTAGAAGCCACCTAAATGTCCATCGACAGATAATTAGATAAAGAAAACATGGTACATATACACAATGGAGTACTATTCAGCCATAAAAAGAATGAGATCTTGTCATTTGCAATGACACAGATGGAACTGAAGATCATTATGTTAAGTGAAATAAGTCAGGCAAAGAAACACAAACTTTGAATGCTCTCATTTCTTTGTGGATGCTAAAAATTAAAACAACTGAACTAATGGAGCTAGAGAGTAGAAGGATGATTACCAGAGGCTGGGAAGGGTAGTTAGGGTTGGTGGGGCGGTGAGAGGGAAGTGGAGATGGTTAAGGAATATAAAAAATATATAGCTAGAAAGGCCGGGTGCGGTGTGGCTCACGTCTGTAATCTCAGCACTTTGGGAGGCCAAGGCAGGCGGATCACGAGGTCAGGAGATCCAGACCATCCTGGCTAACATGGTGAAACCTCGTCTCTACTAAAAATACAAAAAATTAGCCAGGCGTGGTGGCGGGCGCCTGTAGTCCCAGCTACTCGGGAGGCTGAGGCAGGAGAATGGCGTGAACCCGGGAGACGGAGTTTGCAGTGAGCCGAGATCGCGCCACTGCACTCCAGCCTGGGCGACAGAGCAAGACTCCGTCTCAAAAAAAAATATATATATGTGTGTGTGTGTGTGTGTGTGTGTGTGTGTGTGTATGTGTGTGTATATATATGTGTATTATATATATGTGTGTGTATATATATATATAGCTAGAAGGAATGAATAAGACCTAGTTTTTGATAACACAATAGGGTGACTACAGTCAGCAATAATTTAATTGTATATTTTATAACTAAAAGAGTATAAACGGGTTGTTTATAACACAACAGATAAATGCTTGAGGAGATGTATACCACATTTTCTATGATGTGGTTATTACTTATTGCATGCCTGTATCATAGTATAATATCTCATGTATCCCATAAATATATATACCTACTGTATACCCATACAACTTTTTTTTAAATTAAAGTATAAACTATTTTAATACTGGAATCTCTTTCTTTAGTTATATAATTTAATTATTTCTCTCTCTTTATGTATATAAAATCTCTTCACTATAATTTTTGTTATAGTATCACTACTCTTCAAATAATTATGAAAAATTTCTTACCTGGTGCAATTTTCCCATCCTGAGCTGCGGGACCATCTTTCAGCACATTTTTCACTTGTAGGAACTCATCAGGTCTATCTCCACCAATAATAGTAAAACCAAATCCCATTGTGCTTTTTTTCAGTGATGCTCGAACAAGGACACCTTTAAGCTGGGATGGATCTCTTGTGAAGTGTGATTTTTCCATATCTGTGCCAAAATGAGAAGTGGGTTTGAGAACAAAAATAATTACAATGAATATAGCACTCAGAGTCAATCTTTTATATGACTTTTTAATGTTATTCTCAACTTAATCTCTTTCTCATTGCCTTGTCTGTGCTTACTTTCAACCCAGAGTCCATTATATGAAGTCAAAATGATACAACCTTTAGCACTCAATTTCTGAAAGTTTGGATACTATTCAACTGTACTATAAAACTCAGCATCTACTGAGTTTTATGTGCAAAGTACTATACCAGGAAGATGAAGTCAAGTGTCACAAACTTATGAAAGAGAGTATATTGAGAATTTTTATAATTCACAGCTCAGGCTTTCTGCAGTCTTTGATTTATAACTGATGGAAGGAGTGAATCTTTTTACTATCAGTAAATAGCTTCATATTTCTATCCCTTTCACTCATGTTTAGTGGATAATTTAGGAAAAAAAAATACATAGTTCTTTTGAAATGCCCATTATTAGGGGTTAGATGACCCTAGTGATTCACATCTGCAAATAACAACTTCCTTCCAGAACCTCTTCTCTCTTCTCCTCAACCATGCCTGCCATTAGGAAAGTGACAAAAACTGAGAGAATCAAATTGTGCAGGTTTATAATTTATGAAGTATTAAATTAACTGTAAAAAAGATTTTAAATGTTCTGCCATTATCTATTTTTTAACAAATTTATTGAGATATAATTCACATACCATAGAATTTAGCCCTTTCAAGTGTACAATTCAATGTCATGCGACTATCAGCATAATCTAATTTTAGAACATTTTCTTCCCTCCTCAGAGGAAATCCCCATGCCCATTAGCAGTCATTATCCAATTTCTCCCCAACCCACATCCATATCCTAGCCTTAGGAAACCACGAATCTACTATCCATGTATAGATGTGCCCAATATAGGCATTTCATATAAACAAAATCAGACAATATGTGGTTTTTTGAATGGTTTCTTTCACTTGACAGTGTTTTTGAGGGTCATCTGTATTGTAGCATATGTCAGTACTTTATTGCTCTTTATTATTAATATATAATAAATATTAAATTAAATATGTACTTACTAAAGATAAAATATATTTATTATATTATTGCCAAATAATATGGCACTGTATGGATAAACAACACATTTTGTTGATCCATTCATTAGTTGATGGACATTTGGGTTATTTCCACTTTTTGGCTATTATGAATAATGTTGATATGAACACTCACAAGGTTTTGTGTGGACATATTTTCATTCATCTTGGGTATACACTGAGTGGAATTCCAGCAGTTACTATAAATATATGGTAATTATGTTTATCATTTTGCCAACAGTTGTACTGTCTGACCTCCCATACCCTCTTCATTCTATTGCAATTTTACTTCACTCTCTACTTGCTCTTCCTAGAGTGACTAATGACCTCCCTACTGTCAAATCCAACACATATTTTTCAATCTTCAACTTCCTTGACATTCCAGCAACATATGACATACTCAACCTCTTCTCATGGCTGCCTATCCCTACAACCTCATCGCTTGTTACTACCCTACAAATACCCTATGCTGTAACCACACCTACTTGCCTTCTGGCCTTTCGGCACACCATTTCATGCTTCTGTGATTTTAAACATTCTGTTCCTTCTACTTGGTATGCTTTCTTGCTCCTTTAAAATTTTTGTCTGCCTGCTTTAACTTTTCCTGACTTTTCAAGACCTAGTTTCTATCTCTTCTGCTTTGAAATTTCTCCTGCCCACTTGACATTTCCCACCAAAGCAGAGTTGGGTACTCCCGTCTTTATGCCACCACTGTAACTTGTACATGTCTATTAATAACAATGAAACTATCATTTATTAGTCAACATGTGCTTAATACCATTGTAGGCACTTTACATCTGTTAATTTACATACTCATAACCACCTTAAAAGGTGGGTACCATTATTATTCCTACTTTATATATGAAGAAATAGGAGCATTTAGAGATTTAGGAAACGTACCCAAGATTACACAGCTGGGATTCAAACCTGCTCCTCAGCTTACCATTATAACTACTACTCTATGATGGCACCTATCTCCATGTATTATAACCATCAGTTTCCTGTATTAGACTATGAACTCTTGAGGGCAAGCCCTGTCTTACTCTTAGTCATTTTTGAATACCTAGAGCCTAGCAAAGCACTGGGGATATAGTCAGTGCTCAAAAGTATTTGTTAAACTCAAAATGTTTGCTAAACGAAATGCAGAACTTTAGGAGGAGGACGATGTTTTTGAAGAGTAACTATAAGAAAGAACTATTTCTCTCATAGGCAACCGAAGTGGAGAATCTACTGGATTACTACAATATGGCCATATATACCCCTGGTTATTAATGACAAATGAGGGCTGGAAAAGGGATGGGGAGGGATAAGTAGAATGTAAGAACTTCCTGAGCAGTGTTTTCAAAATACACATGATTAGACTCATCGAAATTTCTGGATCTATATTTTTAAAAAAATGCTCCCTAAATGAATCTGATGTTACTAATAGCTACCATCCCATTTGAGACTCAATGATGTAGGTAAATCATTTGATATATTTAGTATTTATTAATATTGGTTAATGAAGAAT
The DNA here is from genome assembly GCF_000001405.40 of Homo sapiens. Lineage (NCBI taxonomy): Eukaryota > Metazoa > Chordata > Mammalia > Primates > Hominidae > Homo > Homo sapiens. The sequence goes on along the minus strand of NC_000001.11, from coordinate 113,620,204 downwards.
CCTCAGTGGTTACAGATACCATACTTAAGCAATTAACTTGGGAAAAGCTAACGATGAACTGGAGACCTAATATTGGTCTAGCCTTAAACATAAGGAAACATTCCAATCTTCAAAACAAAATCTCAAATTCATAAAAAAGCTGCCGAAATCCCTTCTCCCAACAACTTCATGCTTTTTGTATACTCCTGAGAAAAATCTCAGTATTCTGATAATGTTCAGATGTTTTATTAAGATTATTCATATCTTTACAGTAACAACTAGACACTCTTTAGTGTCAAAGCCATAGAAATAAGAAGTTCAAACTCACTTTTATTAACTCAGCATACAAATTTCACAAGTTATTCTTAGAAGAAAAGATTGAAAAGAATGCTTACCTGGTTTTGAAGACCCAATTTCAACCTGTCCTAACTGCTTTTTCCTTTTGGCTTCCTCCACTGGATTTTCAAACTGGGTTTTCTGGTTAAGGTGACTGTAGAATGCAGAAAAATATACATTTCAGTTTAAAATAAAACAGTAACATATTCTTAAATAGTCTATCATACCATTCCATCATCATAGATTAGGGGACAAATATGTATCTTTAGGCTATGGAACATGGAGAGACTGATAGATGATAGCAGAGGGGCTTTCTGCTGCTAAATAAAGTCCTGCAGAAGATGCCAAGCTGTGAAGCTTTTGATATTATATTTACTATAGCTTCTTCATAAACGTACCCAATATAGCCAATAACAGTTTTCAAAACTATAGCCTTCTTATCTGATGCAATCAGAAGTACTTGTTCTTGGTAATTTAATTTTTTTAAAAAAGGCAGTTAATGATAGAAGGGTTTTAATTTAAGTTTCTCCAAAATGAAGCAAGCTGTAAAGGCACTTTGAAAGAAATTTGTGTATAGAATCCTTTTTAAATTATATTACTATTACTTTTCCACTGACTCACCTATATCCGTTCAGTAGCAACTAAGAAAATGACTTGCTTTTATCAACTATAGTATAGAATAACTCTTTCACACTTAAATTTCTTCATAATTATATCATAATTAAATGAATAATTATAACATAGGTTCAACTGGCATTTATGATTTGGGAACATTCACTACTGACTCTTGGAATGCATACAACTCTCTGAGAGAAAGCAGGAAGCCTGGGGAGACTAGCCGCTAGGAGATTAGCCAAACTATTCAACACGCTATGGGCGATAGTATGTTTTACAGAAGAAAAAGAGCACTATTCTTCTGGCAAGCCAGTTAAGTGGAGTTGGTTAAGAAAGGAAATGCTGTAAAAAAGATGTTTAGGACCTCGAATAGGTCTAATTCAGAAGCAATGGAAATCATATTCTAACACTTCCATAGTACAAATATATTTCAGCATATGCTACAGTTTTCCACTTTAATTAAAGAAGTGAGGCCGGGTGCAGTGGCTCACGCCTGGAATCTCAGCACTTTAGGAGGCCAAGGCAGGCAGATCACGAGGTCAAGAGATAGAGACCATCCTGGCCAACATGGTGAAACCCCATCTCTACTAAAAATACAAAAATAAGCTGGGCGTGGTGGTGCATGCCTGTAATCCCAGCTACTCAGGAAGCTGAGGTAGGAGACTCACTTGAACCCAGGAGGCGGAGGTTGCAGTGAGCCGAGATCATGCCATTGCACTCCAGCTTGGGCGACAAGAGTGAAACTCCACGGCAAAAAAAATAAAAAATAAAAATAAAGAGGTGATATGAGTGAACACCAACAATTAAATACCAAATCATGAGAATTTCAGAACATGATTGTTTTTAGGTAGACTGAATATTACAAAATGTACATATAAATAGTCACACAAGTTGAACATTTACTTTGCCTTTTTATTTCTTTATTTATTTTTTTTTTGGAGACAGGCACTCATTCTGTCACCCAGGCTGGAATGCAGTGGTCCAATCACAGCTCACTGCAGCCTCAACCTCTCAGGCTCAAACGATATTCCCACCTCAGCCTCCTGAGTAGCTGTGACCACAGGTGTGTGCCACCATGCCCAGCTAATTAAAAAAAATTTTTTTTTTTTGTAGAGATGGGGTCTTACTATGTTGTCCACGCTGGAGCTTTGCCATTTGTAAACATTAAGAGTGGTGGTAGAGAAATGGGCAGCAGGGACTAAAATAAAAATTTAAAAATTAAAAAAACACTTTCAAAAAAAGGAATGTTAGCTTTCTCCATGTCACTCAGGCTACTACTACATATCAGTTCCACAACAGACGTAGTTACTTATTAAATAGTTTAAGAGCTCTAAATATGGTAAGTGCCACTGGACATTGTTTGGGTTCTGATTTCACTGACACTCAAGTATGCTTCTGCTTCATAATATGCGGGGGATACACTGTCCACTGAGTTAACTGTTTAACTCTGTGAAAATAAAAATCCTAGGAACTACTTTAAAAAATTTATTTAGGTACTGATATTTTACATATTCTTTTGAAAAACAACTAAAAATTGACACTCAGAAAAGAATAAACCTGTTCAGAAAGAACCTTGGCTCACTTTCACTTTAAAGTCATTGGCTAGAATGACTCACTTTGCCACCCAGGCATTAGAACATAAAAAGTAGTAATTTGTATTTATACCCTTTGTAATGTGTGGGAGAGGAGAGTAGACGTATGCAAATGAGTAATCCTTTTCCTAAAAATTTGACAAAAGAATATAAGATTTACTGAAGGAAGTTATTGTCTTCATTATCTTAGACTATCTAGACTAAAATGCCACTCAAAAAAAATCAAAAAATAAAAAAGTGAAAATACTGTCCTTTTCATTTAATTACTTATACCTACACTATTATTAAGACACAACAAATTTTGTTTTCCAAATAACTAGCTGTGGGAAATAAGAGAGGAGAATATTACAGATTATCAGAAAGAAACAAAGCAAACAAGAATGATTAAATATTAGTACACAATTTGACACATTTTCTGTATTAAAATTTTATGTCTAATATCTGGATTTAAAAATTTATCTCAACAAAATATTCTTTCATAAAGAGTTTTAGATGGCTGGGCATGGTAGCTCACGCCTGGGATCCCAGCACTTTGGGAGGCCGAGGCGGGTGGATCACTTGAGGTCAGGAGTTTAAGACCAGCCTGGCCAACATGGTGAAACCCCATCTCTACTAAAAATACAAAATTAGGTGGGTGTGGTGGCGCATGCCTATAATCTCAGCTACTGGGGGGCTGAGGTACGAGAATCACTTGAACCTGGGAGGCAGAAGGCGGAGGTTGCAGTGAGCCAAGATCGTGCTGCTGCACTCTAGCCTGGGCAAGAGTAAAACTCCGTCTCAAAAAAAAAAAAAAAAAAGTTTTAGTTGTGAAAGCAAGTATATATTTTGACTTTGTCATCTAGGTGCATCAAGACATTTAATGCTTATCACCCTGATCTAATCACTATATATTACGTGTACTGAAACATCACTACGTACCCCCAAAATGTGTATAATTATATGTTAATTTTAAAAAGACATGTAATGCAATATAATCAAGACCGCATTTCTAAATATATAAGCATATTTATAGCTTATGCATATTTATATTTATGCATATTATAAGCATATTACATTTTTGGAAAAATTTTATTTTAAAAAATAACTTCATCCATTTCAGAATCCCATCCTCTAAAATAAATACAAAGAAAAACTACCACTGCAGTTGGTGTTACTACTACAAGGCTCCTGCCAAGAGCAATCATCGTGCCATCTGGTTTGACAAACTAAGAGAGCCAAAGAGTAGCCATTCAAGTAACAGCTTTTTATCTCCATCAGTAAACTCACTGCAGATTACTATGGTCGAGATTCAAAACCTAACTAATCTGGGAATCAAGCCACACTCCACAGCTCAGCTGACTCCATACTAATGTGCATCTTGAGTACAGTCTGCTCCTTCTTAGTCTAATACAAAACCCTCCTGTAAAATGAGCTCATTCTGGGAATAATCATACAAAATCATGTCGCTGCTGCTGTTGCTTCTAATTCAGGCTATTTCATGTACCTCCCTGACAACTAGGAGCAGGTCGCTTCAGGATTTGCCCTAAAGTTGCTTTAATATTATATCTTTGCATAATGGGGACCAGATCATTCAGCTCAAGGTTTTATAACAGGCAAATGACTTTCACCTTTTGACCATGTATTCAAATTCACTTGGAATGGATAATAAAGAGAATGAGAATCATTATCTCAGAAATGTTCAGCAGTGTCAATGGCAAATAGCTGATTAGAGCCCAATTTAAATAGACTAAACTTTGAGGGGAAGAAAAAAATCCTGCAAAACCTTTTCAGTCGGCCCCCAAATACTCCTTTGATGTGAAAAATGGTTGTTTCTTCCTTTAACAAAATAAGTCTTAGGAAAAAATAATAATAAAAGAGCTGCTGTATACTTTTTACATCACAGTATCAGTAAGACATTAAGTAACACAATGGAAACAAAATTAGCATAGCTTTCAAAGGAACCAAGATATTGAAATTCTAAAGTTATATACTTAAGTGTCAATCTAATTGAGTCATTTCCTTAGGAGACACATTTAATTTTAAGAAGTCATTCCAAAAATCCCTCTAACCACAGTGACTCAAGTAACAACCTGCACAATAGAATAAAGACTACAGTTGCAACAGGAGTCAGAGATACTTACTTTAGGGATAACTACCAGGAAATGGCATTGGTTTATGCCTATAAGTGTTGAAACATTAAGAAACAATTATAAAATTAAAGATGATTGTGTTTGTTACTTTTTCAGGTAATAATAACATTTTGTCTTTGCTACCTAGGCAGCAGGTTTAACTCCTAGTCTCCAGGTAAATAGTAATGTTTCTGATAGAAGTATTTGCCTGCTGCTAGACGCTTGAGGTCAAATTCAGTGTTTAGCATCTGGAAAGAAAGCAATCCCAATGGTCATAACATTGTAGCAATTAGATAAAGAAAAGAGAAGGCAAAATTAGACATTGATATTAGCTTAATTTCTCTGGCTAACATAGGCAGGTGTCTGGCACTCCTCTCCAATATATATTTATGTTTAAATTTAACCATAGCAGCTGCCTAAGAAGCAACTTTCACCCCTAAAAAGAATACTAAGTTTTCCTTGAATAACTCCTTAAAAGAGAGCACACCTTTAGGTGTATGCTTCAAAACTTCAGATAATTATGTTATAATGCCCTAAAGATCTTCCACTGCTTTCAGAAGGATACAGTGGTAGTGTTGGAAATGACCTTGATAATTCATCTAGTCTGTTGCCCTCATTTCAGTTTTCTATCAACTGACTTTCTCTTTAGAGGCTGTAGTAGTAACAATACCATCTCTAGCTATTAATTGTCTAGGCAACTTCCCCCTTATTCTCTATATTTAGAAATTCAAAGCCAACTTCCAGGAAGCCCAAGGTCAATGAAGCAAATGCTCACTGCCCCTACCTTTTCATTCCCCTAGTTGAAAAACTCAACAGCTGGATCACAGAAGCATAAAGTGCTGTATCCAGTATTCTCTAAAGCTATATGCTGAAAGGAAAATATTTGGGAGAATATTAACTGAGGTAACAAACTTACTCAACATAGTATGTCCCATACTGAGGGTCCTCTATTTTCTCCCAGCCATAAGGAAGCTCTGTAAATAAAGAAAATTGAGTGAAATGCCAGATTCAAAACTGACAGAAAAGAATTCACCAGTGAGTGAATTTATTATTTCATTATACTAATATTTGGGTGTCAGAAAGCTGAGGGCTCACTTTCAAGGAACAAACACAATTTAAGTCTGAGTGGCTTCTTCACCAGCCAGTGAGAATTTCAGCAAGCAATCAGAAGCCCAGAACAGAAGATGGCATTAAACAAAAAGGTGTTCATATGAACCACAAGCCATAAAAATGCTAATAAAAATTACTGTGTACTTCTTTCATTTAAAAACCTTGATCATGCTGACACAAGACATATTTACCCTTGTAGTCCAATAGAAGAAGCAGGTATCTGTTCAATTTTTTACTATTATACATAGTCATTTTTGATGTTATGTTCAGACCCACTTCTCCTCAAAGGAAACCCTAGCCTTGGACTTTTGTCATTTCAAGTGAGCAATCTAGATTTGCTTAAAACCTACAAAAGTACCTGCTTTCTCTTGGTGAACAAGATCTGAGTATCTGAAGGAACACTAATCTAACTACCACAGTGCTTTGTGTAATCTGTATTTGTGAATGATAACAAATAAATACCTTACATAGCATTTTTATATATTACTAATTCTCAGTAAGTGACCAATAAAATATAACCAGAAATACTGAAGGTAGTTGAATTTCTGAAAGTTAAAACAAATCTCTAGCCTTTTCAACATGAACTGACATGAGCTTTTCAATGTGAATGTGAATCTTTTCCCTCCCACTTTGTCTGCATTCCTTGTAAAGTTAAGGTTTCTGAAGAACCATCTTATTAGTAAAACATGGATAAGTTGGGAAGAATGTTCCTAGCAGGTGGTTCTAGTCCTATCCATTTTATATAGCAGTTGAGCAAAAAAGAATTTTTTTAAAAGTCCACTGTTGTGCACTATGATGTCCCACGCTTTTATTTTCAATTTCTCTTAAGAATGCTTCTGCTCTGCTGAAAGACACACACACAAAAAGTACGCTGGACAGCAAACAGGTTTAGAAAGCATCACAAGACTTATTAGTTTTATATCATTTAGCCTCAGTTATGACATACCAACTTTGTAAGTAAAAATTCCATTATAATAAACTTGACAAGCTATACTGTTTTACTCTAAGAAAAATTATTATTCTGCATTCAGAATATAAGAAAAGAACAGATGACTAGCCTCCTGGTGAAAATGTCTGAATTACCCCTACCCCATTTCTCCACCATACTTTTCTGCATATATATTGATTGGTGGTTTCAAAGTTTGATGAGTTTTTGTGTTTTTCCTTTGAAGGACCTGGTTGAAATGTCTCAGGTGGGAAAGATGAGAACAAATGAAATACTAAAATAGTTGAAATATGTGAGAAGAGAACAAAACATTAAAAAGAACTGAGATGTACTTTAGTTCACTTTAATCCTCCTTAGCTATGAAGCAAATCTATCAAATAGATATAATATTTTATCGCCAAACAACTGTTTCATGGATAAGAGTAATTTTTTTGAATATATCTGTAAAACTGCACTATAACAGTTATGGATCTTCCATGAAAAATATTTTTTTCTTTAATAGAAATTTTCTTGAAATAGCATGGGAACTGAATAGAGCTGAGTAAGGAGGAATTCTACAACTGTACCACAATTAGATTTATGTTTTGTCTTTAGAGAAGTTTGGAGAAATTAAGGACTATAGAAATAGCTGAAATAGTCCATTTGATATCTGAAAAATTCACTAAAAGGGATGTACTAATAGTAAGGATAAAAGATCAACATAAATATATTTTAATCTTAACTTGAAAGTTGATTTAGCATTTTAGTTAGCACTCAAGGTAATTAGCAACTAAGAGATTAACAGTCCTTTCTTTAGGAGGGCAAACAAATGCAGCCATTTATCTTCTGGGTTACTTTATTAATTTTACACCTTTACCACTGATACCATTAGCAAGTTTTTTTTGTTTGGTTTTGTTTTGTTTTCACACAGGGCAATTTAATACAGATAAAGAAGTGGTTATTATTTGCTCATTTAAAGTGAAGGTAATAAAAATCAAGACTAAAATACCTAGCAACTTTATACACTATTTAGTGGATCAATTCATTTATTCATTTTATTCTTTTTTCCTTCCTCCCTTCTCATCCTCCTCTCCCCATCATCCTTATGCAGAAATAAAAATTAGAAATATAACCCAGTTCTTGACTTCAAGGAGTTTATAGTCTAGACAGGAAGACAGAAGAGATAAATGATAAGATAAAGATAAACATAATCTTTTTTGGGGAGTGCAGAGGAATACCAATTGCCTGGTAAGATTGCTATCAGGAAAGCCTGCTAAAAGCTGATGTTTAAGCAGTCTTTAAAGATAAGTTGGCTCACGCCTGTAATTCCAGCACTTTGGGAGGCCAAGGCGGGCGGATCATGAGGTCAAGAGATCGAGACCATCCTGGCCAACATTGTGAAACCCCGTCTCTACTAAAAATACAAAAATTATCTGGGTGTGGTGGTGCACGCCTGTAGTCCCAGCTACTCAGGAGGCTGAGGCAGGAGAATCACTTGAACCCAGGAGGTGGAGGTTGCAATGAGCCAAGATCGTGCCACTGCATTCCAGCCTGGTGATAGACCGAGTCAAATAAATAAATAAATAAATAAATAAATAAATAAGTTGGGATTAGGGAGAGGGAGATGATTCCAGATAGATTAAAGGGCATTGAGGTATTAAGAATGCTTGGTATTTTCCATAATTACAAATAATTTGGTAAACTAGAATGAAAGTTGTATGCAAAGGGAAATGAATTTTATGAACAAGCACAAAATTCCAACATTCTTAGAGTGCTGTGTTGAGAAGTTTGATCTTTATTTTGACGATGATAGAGAATTGATTAAGGTGAACTGTGACATGATTTAATTTATATTTGAAAAAGATTATGGGAAGCAGTAATAAAGGACGAAATAGATGGTGTGCAATGAGAATAAAGGCAGACAAATAAGATAAACACTAATAGACTGCATAAGAACTTGTGAAGACTGGAACTAAGGCAGGGGTAGTAGAATGGATAATAAAACAAAGAAGGTAAAGTAACAGAACTTAATGACTACCATGAGGATTGAGGAAGGGAAGGGAGGAAAGAGGCAAAGATGATTCCCAGGTTTCTAGCTTTTGTGGCATAAAAGTGATACATTATCAAATATTTATTGAATAATTATGAAAATGGGCCGGCACGGTGACTCACGCCTGTAATCCCAGCACTTTGGGAGGCCAATGTGGGCAGATCATTTGAGGTCAGGAGTTCAAGACCAGCCTGAGCAACATGGTGAAACCCCTATCTCTACTAAAAATACAAAAATTAGCTGGGCGTGGTGGTAGGTTCCTGTAATCTCAGCTACTCAGGAGGCTGAGGCAGGAGAATTGCTCGAACCTAGGAAGTGGAGGTTGCAGTGAGCTGAGATCTCATCACTGCACTCCAGCCTGGGCAACAGTGTGAGAGTCTGTCTCAAAAAAAAAAAAAAAAGAATAATTATGAAAATGGCTGTGGGAATAGAAATTAGAAATTAATGTGGATTTAGAGGAATTTAGGAGACAGATGATATATTAAAAGTGCCTAGTAATGTGTCTACCACCAATGGACACTCAAGAAATGGCAGGTTTTTATTTTTTATTTTTTTTTGAGATGGAGTCTTCCTCTGTCGCCAGGCTAGAGTGCAATGGCATGATCTCAGCTCACTGCAACCTCCGCCTCCCCAGTTCAAGTGATTCCCCTGCCTCAGTCTCCCGGGTAGCTAGAACTAAAGGTGCGTGCCACCATGCCCAGCTAATTTTTTGTATTTTAGTAGACAGGGTTTTACCATGTTGGCCAGGATGGTCTTGGTCTCCTGACCTCGTGATCCACCCGAATGGCAGGTTTTTAAAAGTTAGAATTGATAGAACTTGGTAGTTAACTGCAACAGAGAGGAGACAGTGAGGGAAAGGCGAGGATGACAACCAGTTTTTGGCTCAAGCAGCTGGGGGGATGTCATATCTGTTGAAGGCAGGAAGGGAAGGTGTTACATTTGAGTGATCTGTAGAACATCCTGGTACAGATAAATAACAAGCTCTTGGCCGTATGAACCCGGTACTCCAAAGAGAAATATAAGAAGATAAAGATTTGAGAGACATTGTAGTTAAAGCTATGACAGCAGACATGATTACCTAGATAAACTGAGCAGAGAAAGGTGAAGAACAGAACCTTAGGAGCACTAACATTTTAAGCGGCAGATGGAGAAAGTAAGAATCATCAGGGGGAATGGTGTAAAAGAAGACAGAAGAGGAAGGGCATGGTCAGCATTAAAAAACGCTTTGTTGGGGAGGCTGAGGCAGGAGAATGGCATGAACCCAGGAGGCGGAGCTTGCAGTGAGCCGAGATCGCGCCACTGCACTCTAGCCTGGGCAACAGTGCAAGACTCTGTCTCAAAACAAACAAACAAACAAACAAACAAAAAAACGCTTTGTAAAGCTGTTAGGCATAAAGATAAGGGCTAAAAAGAGTCTATAAGATCAGGAGGTTACTGGTAACCCTGAAAAGGTAGGAGGCAAAAGTCAGAATACTGTAGTAACTGAAGAGAAAAATACGAAGTAGAGTCCTTAAGAATAGATGACTTAAAACAAAAATTTGCTTGTGGAAAAGATAGTATAAAAACTATGGGGAGGGTTAGGGCCAAGAGAAAATTTGTTTGTTTATTTTTGATACAGGAAAGACCTAACCTAACCATCTTTTCCTGTGTATGAAGCCAAAGTATTCCCCTAAAAAGCTATTTCAAAAGACAAAACTATTTTGGGCATATCAAGCAGCTGGTTGGTTCTAAATCCCATGAATTTATCTTTCTTTCCTCTTCCCCAAATAGGATTTTTCTTGTTTAAATGTAAGAATTACAATTATTTTCTCATGGTGGAGCTCTATTCAGTTGATAATTTTTTTAATCATTCTCTAAGCTCTGAAATATCAACATTCAATATATTTGTAAGCTGCCTTTAGCAAAAATTTAATCTTTCTTTCATCATAAGAGAAATGGGATGGGTTGAGGGTAAAACGAATTCCTAATGTTGTATTTTCAAGACAACTACCTAACCAAAACACTATTTTATTTGAATAGAAGATAAAATGTACATCAATTAAACCAAGCTGTTCAAGCTGTGTCCTTACACTGTATTTGAATACACAGCTGTGTTCAGAATATCAGAAGACTGGGAAGAAAAGGGCATGTTTTAGAAACTGTAAGGTCTTTCTAGAAGATCTTAAATGTTCAGCAGAATGTAAACAATATCTTAACCTATAAAACCTACACTTAAAATATTATTCTTCTCTTTTCAGCATCTACTCTGTGCAAAGCACTGCAGAGAATACTAATATGAATCACACATAGTTCATCCTGAAAATAGTCTTCCGTGGGGCTATTACGTGGGGAGACAAAGTGTAGAGAGGAAAGTGGAAAAGGCTGGCTGAGCATAAAACAAATAGACTCAATGTTCTAAATTGTAGGCTCCCCCGAAGATAAGTATAGGCAATGTTAAAAAGGTGTACCCAGTTTTGTAAGTGGGAGAGTAGCCCATATTAAAGAGTTTCAAACATTCCCAGAATACTGAATGCAATTTTGATCATTCTATTTTAAGAAAAATATACTTAGGATGATCATAAAATGTACTGTCCACTTTTGAGAATAAAAGGGGATACTATTAATAATTATGTTGGGGCAACAGGAAAAAGCTGGATCAGTCCTGGGCCAACCAAGACATATGTTCAGCCTTAATGTAAAGAGCATTAGGGGGAAATGTTCATCCAATTCTTCAAATTCCTTAGAGAATAAAGAATGGGAGGAACATTTCCAGTTTCTCGGAGCCCCTTCACTTTCTTCCCCAAGGAAGAAAGAATGTCTTATCTGACTGGGGAGTTTTACACAATGAACTCAATATGCTTGGCTCAGGGACTCTTGAGTTCTCTCACTGTTTTGGTTAACAGCCTGCCTGCAGAGGCGTATTCTGGTCTGTTCTCTGCCATGTCTGCCCGTTGGGAGGAGGCTTGCAGTTGAACACAGAGGCCAAAGACTAAGTACTCATGTCTCCCTCCTGCAGGGGTAAAATAACAGCAAGGCCATGTACATGCAGGGCTAACATTCATTTGCTGACATTCTGACTTCATCTGTCTGTCTCTGGTGTCTTATTTCTCTATTGACTATAAACTGGTGAATGAAGACGGGCTTATTATTTATTGGCCCCTCAGAGCCTTATAGAGATTGAAAAGTATTTCCAAAAGGGCGACCAAAATAATCTGGAGGATAGAGTAGCTTCTTTCTTTTTTTCCCTTTCTCTTCCTTTTCCCTTCTTCCCTCCCTCCCTCTCTTCCCTCTTTCCCTCTTTTCAAACATTGAAGTCTCTACTGAAAGGATATACAGATGAATGTGTCAAAAATCATTGCTCTGAGTGTGGTATCTAGTTACAATGCAATATAACTGCTACAAGAGAGACATGTCATATGGTACTACTGAGCACAGAGGAGAGGACGTCTACTTCTGACTTGCAAGAAAATGACAGAAGGGGCTACAAAGAAATTATACTTTAGATTGGAGCTTCGAAGGATAATAGGTATGAGCCAGGTAGACACAGGAAACAAGACTGATTCCTGGCAGAAGAAATGGGTATATGGCAAAGACGAAAAATATGTCAGATTTATGACATGAGAATACTTTGAAAAATAAATATAGAATATGATTCAATTATAAAAAATCTTTAATACTTAACCAAGGAGTCTGGACTTTACTCTGCTGACAATGGACAGCAAGGGAGAGATAGATAGAAAATTAGTTTTAGAAAGATTAATTTGGTCTTACATAATATCTCCAAGGTTTTTTGATCATGTAGCCTTTTTAGTAAAAAATCTGACATCTGCCCCTCTTCTAATATGTATATAATAAAACATATACAAAAATAGATGTTTTTAAAGGAGGTGATTAAACAAGCAATTATCATGATTTTACCTTGAAGTTGAAAAAAGCTTATATATGGTCATATATGATACACAAACAGTATCGGTTCTTCCATTTTCTTGCTATTAGTCTGGGTTTGCCTATTTGTATCATCTTCAATCAGTAGTGTTTTTGTAGAAATCTTTTAAAGTGACATTTCCATTTTATGTGAGGTTAGTTTAAAAACTATATAACTAGTCTATAAATCCACTTAACTGGGCACAAATCAACTGTAAAATTTCACAGTGTCCTTGAAAAAAGAGCAAAGGTGTCTCATCCATTCCTCCCTCAAGGCACTCTGGTTAGAGTATGTGATAATCCGACATACGGAATCAGTAAGAATGCCATTACCAATCTGTATGTAAAATAGTAGTGAAGCTTAGTTTGTTTCTTTTTCTTTCAGTAACAACATTATGAAAAATTAGTTCTAATATTTTCTACTGGGTACCAGTAGATAGTTTGAGTATGATCATTTTGAAAACCACTGGCATAAAAGATGTATTAAAGAGAGAGAAATAACTGGAGGAAGAAAGACCAAGAATAATCCAAGTGTGTAGTGATTAGGAGAATGGAAAGGAATATATAATATAAAAGAAAAATCACAGATAGAGAAAGAATAAATGAATAATCATGTGAAGAAGCAAATGTAGCAAAATGTTAATTGTAATATCCTAGTGGTGGGCATATGTATGTTCACTGTATGATTCTTTTCATTTTCCTATATGTTGAAACTTTTGCATAATAATATATTGGCAAAAAGAGAAAAAAGAAAAAGCAACAGGACGTGAAAACTAAATCAGGAAGTAGAGCAAGAAGAGAGGAACAGGCAAACATAATTGCAAAGATTTTGGCATAGATGATTATGAGAATGGTACGTATATGACAGAAAGAGGGACGGGTTGTATTAGGAGAAAGATGTCAATTTAGTTTTAAATAAGCTTATTTGAAGTATTAGTAGGGAAATCAAAACCAAGACTCAAAAGCAAGAGGAAACAGAAATATAATTCAGAACAAAGGACAATACTAGAGATTTTGATAATGGGGCAGGCTATAGTAAACTGATAAAGCTATGAGAATAAATGCTTTCTACAAAAGAAAACAAGAAAAGGCAGAAAACTGAACTGAAACAATTAGGGACCAGGAAAAAGAATGGAAGCCAGTAAAAGGGACATGCTCTAGAAGACAAATACCATGTTCACAATAAAAAAAGTCAAATTCTATAGTATTATATATTCTAGTTTGCCTTTAGAATGGCTGATTTCACCATAAGAAGGAACTTACTATGGAAAGCTTTATAAACAACTACGGTATAAAAATTATTTTAAAAATTATTTCTTGGGCTGGGCATGGTGGCTCACACTTGTAATCCCAGCACTTTGGGAGCCTGAGGTGGGTGGATCACTTGAGGTCAGGAGTTTCAGACCAGCCTGGCCAACATGATGAAACCCCATCTCTACCAAAAAATACAAAAATTAGCCAGCCATGGTGGCATGAGCCTGTAGTCCTAGCTACTGGGGAGGCTGAGGCACGAGAATCACTTGGACCCAGGAGGAGGAGGCTGCAGTGAGCAGAGATTGCGCCACTGCACTCCAACCTGGGTGACAGAGAGAGACTCTGTCTCAAAAAAAGAATAATAATTGAGGTATAATTTACAAACAATAAAATGCACAACTCTTAAGTGCCCTTTTAATGGTAAAAAAAAAATCTGGCTGGGTGCAGTGGCTCACACCTGTAATCTTAGCACTTTGGGAGGCCGAGGCAGGCGGATCACGAGGTCAGGAGTTCGAGACCAGCCTCGCCAATACGGTGAAACCCCGTCTCTACTAGAAATACAAAAATTAGCTGGGCGTGGTGGCATGTGCCAGTAGTCCCAGCTACTTGGGAGGTTGAGGCAGAAGAATCGCTTGAACCCAGGAGGCAGAGGTTGCAGTGATCCAAGATTGCGCCACTGCACTCCAGCCTGTTCGACAGAGCATGACTCCGTCTCGGGGAAAAAAAAAATCGAGTGCTTGTTCAATTATAAAAAGTGGGTTTTGGCAACTGGATATGCCTGTGTAACTGTCACCTCAATTGAGATGGAGAATATAGCATTCCAGGGAATTATCTCACTTTACCCCACTTCTACTCTCCCCAGTCATTTTCTGATTTCTATTACCACACATGAGTTTTGCCTGTTCTCAAGCTTTAAATAATGAGTAATTGAGAACCTACTCTTTGGTGTCTGGTTTCTTTTACAACATGTTTCTGAGACTCATCCATATTATTGAGTGTTATCAACACTTTTTTCTTTTTACTCATGAGTAGTATTTTATTGCATGAATATACCACAAATGGTTTATCCATTCTCTTCTTGATAGATATCTGGGATGTTTCCAGGTTTGAGCTATTAAGAGAAAGGCTGTCATAATCATTCTAGTTAAGTCTTTTGGGGAACATATGTTTTCATTTCTCTTTAGATATTACCTCATAGGAAACTGTGAAAAGTTCTAAAAAATGTTCAGGTAATTTTGTGTCCCCACTCACAATAAATGAAAATGCTAGTTGCTCTAAAATCTCATTAATCTTTGGTATTGTCAGTATATTTTATTTTACTATATCTAAAAATAATATTACATATATTATATATTATATATGTATATTTATATCAGGGTATAAGTGGTTTTTGGTTACATGGATGAACTGTATAGTGGTGAAATCTGAGATTTTAGTGCACCCATCACCCAAGTAGTGTACATTATACCCAATATGTAGTTTTTATCCCTTCCCCCATCCGACCCTCCTCCCTTCTGAATCTTCAATGTCTATTATACGACTTTGTTTGTCTTTGTGTACCCATAGCTTAGCTCCCACTTATAAGTGAGAACATAGAGTATTTGGTTCTCCATTCCTGAGTCACTTAGAATAATGACCTCCAGCTCCATCCAAGTTGCTGCAAAAGACATTATTTCATTCTTTTTCATGGCTGGGTAGTATTCCATGGTATATATATACCACATTTTCTTTCTTCTCTTTTTTTTTTTTTTTTTTTTTTTTTTTTTTGAGATGGAGACTCACTCTGTCGCCAGGCTGGAGTGCAGTGGCATGATCTCAGCTCACCACAACCTCCGCCTCCTGGATTCAAGCGATTCTCCTGCCTCAGCCTCCCGAGTAGGTGGGATTACAGGTGCATGCCACCATGCCTGGCTAATTTTTGTATTTTTAGTAGAGATGGGGTTTCACCATATTGGCCAGGATGGTCTTGATCTCTTGACCTTGTGATCTGCCCGCCTCAGCCTCCCAAAGTGTTGGGATTACAGGCATGAGCCAATGCACCTGGCAATACCACATTTTATTTATCCACTCATCATTTGATGGGTACTTAGGTTGGTTCCTAAGTTGGTTCCACATGTTTGCAATTATGAATTATGCTATGATAGACATACATAAGCAGGTGTCTTTTTGATATAATGACTTCTTTTTCTTTGGATAGGTGCCCAGGAGTGGGATTCCTGGATCAAATGGTAGATCTAATTTTAGTTCTTTAAGAATGCTCCATACTGTTTTCCATAGAGGCTGTACTAATTTACATTCCAACCAGCAGTGTATAAGTGTTCTCTTTTCACTGCACCCATGCCAACATCTATTGCTTTTTGACTTATTACTCTGGCTGGAATAAGGTGGTATCTCATTGTGGTTTTAATTTACGCATCCCTGATGATGAGCATTTTTTTTCATATGTTTGTTGGCCATTTGTGTATCTTCTTTTGAGATATGCCAATTCATGTAATTTGTCCACTTTTTACCTTTTGGTGGCATTATTTGGTGGGTTTTATTTATTTATTTTTCTGACTTGTTTGAGTTCCTTGTAGATTCTGGATATTGGTCCTTTGTCGGATGCATAATTTGCAAATATGTTCTCCCATTCTGAAGGTTGTCAGTTTACTCTTATGATTATTTCTTTTGCTGTGTAGAAGCTTTTTTGTTTAATTAGGTCGCATTTATTTTTGTTTTTGTTGCATTTGCTTTTGGGGTCTTTCTATTTTCATCAGGGATACTGGTCTATAGTTTTATTTTTTTGTTAGGTCCTTTCCCGGTTTTGGTATCAGGGTGATACTGGCTTCATAGAAAGAGTTAGAGAAGATTCCCTCTTTCTCAATCTTTTGGAATAGTTTCAGTAGGATTGATACCAATTATTCTTTGAATGTCTGGTAGAATTTGGCTGTAAATCCATTTGGCCTCAGGCTTTTTGTTGTTGTTGTTGTTGTTGTTGTTGGCAATTTTTAAATTACTGATTCAATCTCACTGCTAGTTATTGGTTCAGGATTTCTATTTATTCCTGATTTAAGCTAGGAGGGTTGTATGTTTCCATGAATTTATCCAGTCCTCTAGATTTTCTACTTTGTGTGCACAGTTTCAATTTCACTTATTCATAGTAGCCTCAAATTATCTTTTGTATTTCCGTGGTGTTTGTTGTAATGTCTCCATTTTCATTTTCATTTCCATTTCATTTTCATTTTCATTTCGAATTGGGCTTATTTGAATTTTTTCTCTTCTTGGTTAATCTAGCTAATGGTCTATAAATTTTGTATATCTTTTTCAAATAACCAGCTTTTTGTCTCTTTGATCTTCTGTGTATGTATACACATATATATATATGTGTATACATACACATACACACACTTTGATTTTTTTTATTTTTTGAGACAATCTCGTTCTGTTTCGCAGACTGGAGTGCAGTGGGACAGTCTCGTCTAACTGCAACCTCTGCCTCCTCCAGGCTCAAGTAATCCTCCCACCTCAGCCTCTGGAGCAGCTGGGACCACAGGTGGGCACCACCATACCTGGTTAATTTGTGTATTTTTTGTAGAAATAGGGTTTCACCATGTTGCTTAGGCTGGTCTCAAATTACCAAGCAATCTGCCTGCCTTGGCCGCCTAAAGTGCTGGGCTTATAGGCATGAGCCACAGTATCTGGCCTACTGTTTTTGTTTGTTTTAATTTCATTTAATTCTGCTCCGATCTTCTGTTATTTCTTTTATTCCACTAACTTTGGGTTTGTTCTTGTTTCTCTAGTTCCTTGAGGTGTGACATTACGTTGTCAATTTGTGATCTTTCAGACTTTTTGATGTAGCAATTTAGTGCTATAAACTTTCTTCTCAGCACTGCTTTGCTGTATCTCAGGTTTTGATAACTTATGTCACTATTATCATTCATTTCAAATAATTTTAACACTTCCATCTTGATTTTGTTCTTAACCCAAAAATCACTTAGGAGCAGACTGTTTAATTTCCATGCATTTGTATAGTTTTTAGGGTTCCTTTAGGAGTTGATTTCTAGTTTTATTCCACTGTGGTCTGAGAAGATACCTCATATGATTTTGAGTTTTTTTTATAATTTTATTATTATTATACTTTAAGTTTTAGGGTACATGTGCACAATGTGCAGGTTAGTTACATATGTATACATGTGACATGCTGGTGTGCTGCACCCATTAACTCGTCATTTAGCATTAGGTATATCTCCTAATGCTATCCCTTCCCACTCCCCCCACCCCACAGCAGTCCCCAGAGTGTGATGTTCCCCTTCCTGTGTCCATGTGTTCTCATTGTTCAGTTCCAACCTATGAGTGAGAATATACGGTGTTTGGTTTTTTGTTCTTGCGATAGTTTACTGAGAATGATGATTTCCAATTTCATCCATGTCCCTACAAAGGACATGAACTCATCATTTTTTATGGCTGCATAGTATTCCACGGTGTATATGTGCCACATTTTCTTAATCCAGTCTATCGTTGTTGGACATTTGGGTTGGTTCCAAGTCTTTGCTATTGTGAATAGTGCCACAATAAACATACTTGTGCATGTGTCTTTATAGCAGCATGATTTATAGTCCTTTGGGTATATACCCAGTAATGGGATGGCTGGGTCAAATGGTATTTCTAGTTCTAGATCCCTGAGGAATCGCCACACTGACTTCCACAAGGGTTGAACTAGTTTACAGTCCCACCAACGGTGTAACAGTGGTCCTATTTCTCCACATCCTCTCCAGCACCTGTTGTTTCCTGACTTTTTAATGATTGCCATTCTAACTGGTGTGAGATGGTATCTCATTGTGGTTTTGATTTGCATTTCTCTGATGGCCAGTGATGGTGAGCATTTTTTCATGTGTTTTTTGGCTGCATAAATGTCTTCTTTTGAGAAGTGTCTGTTCATGTCCTTTGCCCACTTTTTGATGGGGTTGTTTGTTTTTTTCTTGTAAATTTGTTGGAGTTCATTGTAGATTGTGGATATTAGCCATTTGTCAGATGAGTAGATTGCAAAAATTTTCTCCTGTTTTGTAGGCTGCCTGTTCACTCTGATGGTAGTTTCTTTTGCTGTGCAGAAGCTCTTTAGTTTAATTAGATCCCATTTGTCAATTTTGGCTTTTATTGCTCATTGCTTTTGGTGTTTTAGACATGAAGTCCTTGCCCATGCCTATGTCCTGAATGGTATTGCCTAGGTTTTCTTCTAGGGTTTTTATGGTTTTAGGTCTAACATTTAAGTCTTTAATCCATCTTGAATTAATTTTTGTATAAGGTGTAAGGAAGGGATCCAGTTTCAGCTTTCTACATATGGCTAGCCAGTTTTCCCAGCACCATTTATTACATAGGGAATCCTTTCCCCATTGCTTGTTTTTCTCAGGTTTGTCAAAGATCAGATAGTTGTAGATAGGCGGCGCTATTTCTGAGGGCTCTGTTCTGTCCCATTGATCTATATCTCTGTTTTGGTACCAGTACCATGCTGTTTTGGTTACTGTAGCCTTGTAGTAGGTTGAAGTCAGGTAGTGTGATGCCTCCAGCTTTGTTCTTTTGGCTTAGGATTGACTTGGCAATGCGGACTCTTTTTTGGTTCCATATGAACTTTAAAGTAGTTTTTTCCAATTCTGTGAAGAAAGTCATTGGTAGCTTGATGGGGATGGCATTGAATCTATAAATTACCTTGGGCAATACGGCCATTTTCACGATATTGATTCTTCCTACCCATGAGCATGGAATGTTCTTCCATTTCTTGTATCCTCTTTTATTTCATTGAGCAGTGGTTTGTAGTTCTCCTTGAAGAGGTCCTTCATGTCCCTTGTAAGTTGGATTCCTAGGTATTTTATTCTCTTTGAAGCAATTGTGAATGGGAGTTCACTCATGATTTGGCTCTCTGTTTGTCTGTTATTGGTGTATAAGAATGCTTGTGATTTTTGTACATTGATTTTGTATCCTGAGACTTTGCTGAAGTTGCTTATCAGCTTAAGGAGATTTTGGGCTGAGACAATGGGGTTTTCTAGATATACTATCATGTCATCTGCAAACAGGGACAATTTGACTTCCTCTTTTCCTAATTGAATACCGTTTATTTCCTTCTCCTGCCTAATTGCCCTGGCCAGAACTTCCAACACTATGTTGAATAGGAGTGGTGAGAGAGGGCACCCCTGTCTTGTGCCAGTTTTCAAAGGGAATGCTTCCAGTTTTTGCCCATTCAGTATGATATTGGTTGTGGGTTTGTCATAGATAGCTCTTATTATTTTGAGATATGTCCCATCAATACCTAATTTATTGAGAGTTTTTAGCATGAAGGGCTGTTGAATTTTTTCAAAGGCCTTTTCTGCATCTATTGAGATAACCATGTGGTTTTTGTCTTTGGTTCTGTTTATATGCTGGATTACATTCATTGATTTGCGTATATTGAACCAGCCTTGCATCCCAGGGATGAAGCCCACTTGATCACGGTGGATAAGCTTTTTGATGTGCTGCTGGATTCAGTTTGCCAGTATTTTATTGAGGATTTTTGCATCAATGTTCATCAAGGATATTGGTCTAAAATTCTCTTTTTTGGTTGTGTCTCTGCCCAGCTTTGGTATCAGGATGATGCTGGCCTCATAAAATGAGTTAGGGAGGATTCCCTCTTTTTCTATTGATTGGAATAGTTTCAGAAGGAATGGTACCAGTTCCTCCTTGTACCTCTGGTAGAATTCGGCTGTGAATCCATCTGGTCCTGGACTCTTTTTGGTTGGTAAGCTATTGATTATTGCCACAATTTCAGAGCCTGTTATTGGTCTACTCAGAGATTCAACTTCTTCCTGGTTTAGTCTTGGGAGGGTGTATGTGTCGAGGAATTTATCCATTTCTTCTAGATTTTCTAGTTTATTTGCGTAGAGGTGTTCGTAGTATTCTCTGATAGTAGTTTTTATTTCTGTGGGATCGGTGGTGATATCCCCTTTTATCATTTTTTATTGCATCTATTTGATTCTTCTCTCTTTTCTTCTTTATTAGTCTTGCTAGTGGTCGATCAATTTTGTTGATCCTTTCAAAAAACCAGCTCCTGGATTCATTAATTTTTTGAAGGGTTTTTTGTGTCTCTATTTCCTTCAGTTCTGCTCTGAATTTAGTTATTTCTTGCCTTCTGCTAGCTTTTGAATGTGTTTGCTCTTGCTTTTCTAGTTCTTTCAATTGTGATGTTAGGATGTCAATTTTGGCTCTTTCCTGCTTTCTCTTGTGGGCATGGGTACATAACGAAATGAAGGCAGAAATAAAGATGTTCTTTGAAACCAACGAGAACAAAGACAACATACCAGAATCTCTGGGACACATTCAAAGCAGTGTGCAGAGGGAAATTTATAGCACTAAATGCCCACAAAAGATTTTGAGTTTTAAAAATTTATTGAGACTTGTTTTGTGGCCTATCATATGGTCTACTTTGCAGAAGGTTCCATGTGCTGATGAGAAGAATGTATATTCTGCAGTTCTTGGTTAGAATTGTTCTGTAAATATCTGTCAGGTTTATTTGTTCTAGAGTGTAGTTTAAGTCCAGTGTTTGCTGATTTTCTGCTCCAATGATCTATCTAGTGCTGTCAGTGGAGTGTTGAAGTCCCCTACTATTATTGTGTTGATATCTCCTTTCTTAGGTCTAATAGTAATTGTTTCATGAATCTGGGGGCTCTAGAGTTAGGGGTATATATATTTAGTATTGCAATATCTTCTTGTTGATCATTTTATCATTGTATAATGACCTTCTTTGTCTTTTTTTTTAACTGTTGTTGCTTTAAAATCTGTTTTCTCTGACATAACAATAGCTACTCCTGCTCACTTTGAGTTTCCATTTGTGTGAAATATCTTTTTCCACTCTTTTACGTTGAGTCTATAGGAATCCTTATGTGTTAGATGAATCTCTTGAAGACAGCAGATATTTGGTTTGTGAATTTTTATCCATTCTGCCAATCTTCTTCTTTCAAGTGAGCACTTAGACCATTTACATTCAACATTAATATTGAGATATAAGGTACTATTCCAGTCATCATGTTGATTGTTACCTAGTACTTTGTTTTCTTTACTGTGCTATTGCTTTATAGGTCCTGTGAGTTTTTTTTTGGAGGGGGGGTGGGGGGATGGCAGGCAGAGTCTCGCTCTGTTGCCCAGGCTGGAGTACAGTGGTGCAATCTTGGCTAACTGCAACCTCCACCTCCTGGGTTTAAGCAATTCTCCTGCCTCAGCCTCCTGAGTAGCTGGGATTACAGGTGCCCACCACCATGTCTGGCTAATTTTTGTATTTTTAGTAGAGATGGGGTTTCACCATGTTGGTCAGACTGGTCTTGAACTCCTGACCTCATTATCCGCCCACCACAGCCTCCCAAAGTGCTGGGATTACAGGTGTGAGCCACCGTGCCTGGCAGTCCTGTAAGTTGCATGCTTTCAAGAGGTTCTATTCTGGTGCATATCAACTTTTTGTTTGAAGATTTAGAACTCCTTTTACCATATCTTGTAGGGCTGATCTGGTAATGTCAAATTCCTTCAACATTTACTTGTCTGAAAAATACTTTATTTCTTCTTCATTTATGAAACTTAGTATTGCTGGATACAAAATTCTTGGCTGACACTTATTCTGTTTAAGGTGGTTAAAGATAGAACTCCAATCCCTTCTGGCATGTAAGGTTTCTGCTGAGCGTCAGTGTACTTTAGTCCTTCTAAAGGATGTAGATGGTATCTCTAGCCCTTGTAGTGGGTGTTGATGGTATCTCATTGTAGTGATAACTAATGATAAGCACCTCTTCATGTTCTTCTTGACTCTTCTTTTATCTTCTTTTGTGAAGTGCATAAGTCCTTTGGCCATTTTAAAAACAACTTTATTGAGGTATAATTTACATATATACAATTCATCTGTTTTAAGTATACAGTTCAATAATTTTTAATAATTTACTGAATTGTACAACCATCACCACAATCCAGTTTTAAAACGTCTTCATAACTCCAAGAAGATTCCTCATGCTGTTAACAGTTAATCTCTATTCTTATCCTTAGCCCAAGGCAACCAGTAACCTATTTTCTGTTTCCACAGATTTGCCTATTCTGGACATTTCATACAAATAGAACCATACAATATCTGGCCTATTATGTCTAATTTCTTTCACTTAGCATGTTTTTGAGATTCATACATATAGCATGTATAGTATTTTGTTCCTTTTTATTGCTCAATAGTATTCCATTGTAGGTTATAGCACATTTGATTTATCTGCTCATTGGTTAATGGACAGTTGGGTGGTTTCCACTTTTTGGCTATTATGAATAGTGCTGCTATGAATATTTGCATGCAAGTCTTTATGAGGACTTTTGTTTTCATTCCTCTTGGGTAGATACCTAGGAGAAAATTTACTAGGTCATATGGTAAATTTATATTTAACCTTTTAAGAAACTGCCAAACTGTTCTCCAAAGTGGCTATACCATTTTCCAATGGCACAGCAATGTACAAGGGTTACTGTTTCTCCCTATCCTCCCCAAGATTAGTTACCATCTGTTTTTTTTTTTGTTATACTCATTCTAGTGGGTGTAAAGTAGTAGATCACAGTGGTTTTAATTTGCAAAACACCTAATGATTAATAATTTTAAATATCTTTTCATGTTTTTATGGGCTGTTTGTATATTTTCTTTGGTGAAATGTTTATTAACATATTTTGCCCATTTTAAAATTTGGCAATATTATTGAGTTGTAAACAGTTCTTATAGATTCTGAATTTAATTCCTTTGGCAAATATATATTGCAAAGTCTGTGACTTTGTCTATTCATTTTTCAATGGTGTCTTCTGATGAAGAGAATTTTAAAATTTCTATTACATGCAAAATATTAACTTTTTCTTCTATGGTTCATATTTTTTGTGGCCTGTTTAAGAAATCTTTGCCAATTCTGACTCATGAAGACACTCTCCTATATTTTCTTCCAAAAGCTTTGTGGTTCTAGCTTTTATGCTTAGGTCTTTGATTCATCTGAAATTAACTGTTTGTATGAAGTGAGGCATAATTGAGGTTCATTTTTCCATATCAGTTGGCACTTTGGTTGAAAATAAAGTGACTACATACATGTGTATTGATTTCTAGACTCTCTATTTTGTTCCACTGATCTATTTATCTATCCTTATGCCAATACCAAACTGTCTTTATCACTGTAGCTCTAAAATAAGTCTTCAGATCTGGTACCCTATGTCTTCCAACTTTGTCTTTTTTTTTTTAAGGTTCTTTGGCTAATGAACAGAATATATCTTGTCAATTATTATTAGTA
This sequence comes from Homo sapiens, assembly GCF_000001405.40. Taxonomy (NCBI): domain Eukaryota; kingdom Metazoa; phylum Chordata; class Mammalia; order Primates; family Hominidae; genus Homo; species Homo sapiens. The sequence continues at coordinate 113,596,052 of NC_000001.11, read as the reverse complement.
TTAGTATTAGTATTAGTATTTTGAGACAGGGTCTCACTCTGTCACCCAGGCTGGAGTGCAGTGGCGTGATCATGGTTCACCGCAGCCTCAACCTCCTGGACTCAAGCGATCTTCTCACCTCAGCCTCCTGAGTAGCTGGGTCTACAGGCGCATGCTACCACACCCAGTGAGTTTTTGTACTTTTAGTAGAGACAGGGTTTCACCCTGTTGCCCAGGCTGTTCTTGAACTCCTGGGTTCAAGTGATCCATCCACCTTGGCTGTGATTACAGGCATGAGCCATCATGCCCAGCCTCTTGTCAATTATTTTAAGTCTTCCTATGTCTTTCAATTATGTTTTGTAGTTTTTAGTGTTGAGAACTTGCACATTGTTCAGAAGATTTGTTTCAAGCTATCTAACTTTTTTGATGCCATTGTAGAGGGAATTTTAAACAATTCCATTTTCTGATTGCTTCTTCCTAGAAAACTCTTAATATTATATTATAATCATGCTGAACAATATATGTGGAAATTCTGTTTAATTTCTTTTTATAGATTGGACTTCAATACAAGGAGGACTACTGTGAACCTCATTTTACGCCACTTATTTTTTAAAACCAATTAATACATAGTTTCTGATTAGTAATACAAAAATGCAAATTTTATTCATCTCCTAAGGTAAAGACATAGCAAACAATTTTGGATGGAATAAATTCTATACTTATTTACAAAACTCTACTCTTTTTAACAATTTGTTTATTTATTAGTTTTTAGAGACAGGGTCTCTCTCTGTTGCCCAGGCTGGAGTGCAGTAGCATGACCACAGCTCACTGTGATCTCAAACTCTTGAGCTCAAGCAATCCTCCCATTTCAGCTCCCCATATAGCTTTAGGACTACAGGTTTGTGCCACCACACCCAGCTCAAAACTACACTGTTAAATATAACCTATAATATATAGGACAGATAAGTGCTATTATCTGATGATTCTTAGAGAAATAATTTTTCCTTTAAGCAGTAAAAAGTAAGTGTGTATATGTGTGGGGGCCTATATTAAAGACTTTCCTTGAATTTCTACTGCTGCTGTAAATGGCTAAGAATAGCTATAGATACTTGCATATCTACTGTAATGTATACTAAATTAAATATACTTTAAAAACTTCATAAGACATGATAGACCTAGCTTATGGTTGAGGATGTGCCTAATTTTTAAATATTTATTTAGAATTTTAAAAGTCTGTCTTCAGGACAGATGTCAAAAAAGGGCAAATGTATTTTAGTGTTGTTGTTATTTTTTATAGAGAGTTATGTAATCCTGAAAAAGAAATGAAATCTCTCATAAAGTTAGATGTAATGACATAATTACCACAATCAGTTGATTATGATATCCACCCACTGCTTTTTTGCTTGTGTACATTATGGTTTGTTTAGGGTTTTGAAAAACCCATTATCTGAGCAAGAAGAGCAAGAAAGGATTAAGAGAATAAGTATGATAGAGTAAGTTTCTGAATCTCTACCTCCATCTTCACAGTCTTCAGGGGCTTTGGCTTTCTTACAAAGACGAGGATCCAACCAGGTGGTTGTCTTGGTATTGTGGCTGTAGAATAAAGATTTTAATTAGAAACAGTAAAATAAAGGAGGAGAAAATTATTTCAAAAGTAAAGATTAAAAGTGACTAAAAGACATGATGTTTGAACATTAATCTCCAACAGGCTCCATTTGTATTCCTCAGATTCATTCATTAACCCTATTGTTCTCAGTCTACTTCAAAATTTCCATAAAGGAATGGTAATGCTAGAGGCACTAACTTGAGAATCAAGAGACTTTAAAGAAGGCCTAAAATGCCAAGTATGGAATAACAGACACTATTTAAGCAGTTAAAAATGTTTCAAAAGGTGGGCGCATAGCCACATACTGTGCATTATCTAGCCAACAATACTGCACTGAAAACCTTGTTTGCTCACTGGCTGAACTCCTTTCTTCTTCCCTTCAAAAAGTACTATATTTCTTGTGTGCCTGTGATACGTAGGTACTGTGTGGGAAGCTGGAATATAAAGATAAATAAACATCAGATAGAGCTCCTGCCCTCAGGGACTCTTTAAAATAAAATAGAATAAAATAAAACAAAGAGTTTTAAAGTGGCTGTTTCTGCCACATGCAAGTAAAAACAACAGGTATAGTTAAACTCTGCTCTACAAAACTAAGTTTTCATCAGCATGATCCACACAGGAAAAAAGGGAGGAATAAAAATATCCTGCCCCTGCTTCATTTTATGATATAGGCCAAAGATGACTTTAGAGAGCAGTATCTGTTTAATTTCATTATATGTCATAGTCAGTTAGTTTCAGACCAGGTCACCATGCAGCAGATACTAACGCCGAAATGAAACTATCTCATTGCTTAGTGGACAAACAGTGTTAGTTTAAATATCTGACATACAAGGATATTAAAGAAAGAAAAAGTCATGGAAGAAAATACATAGGAAGGGAATAAAATGTAAATTAAAGTTATTGTTATTATTATTATTATTATTTTGAGACAGAGTCTTGCTCTGTTGCACAGGTTGGAGTGCAGTGGCATGATCACAGCTCACGGCAGCCTTGACTTCCTAGGCTCAAGTGATCCTCCTGCTTCAGGCTCCCAAGTGGCTGTGACTACAGGCGTGTGCCACCATGCCTAACAACTGAAAAAATTTTTTTTGCAGAGAGAGGCCTGGCTATGTTGCCTAGACTGGTCTTGAACTCCTCGGCTCAAGTGATTCTCTTGCCTAAAGTTATTATTGGAATACCATGTCATACTTAACTGAAGTAATTAACTGTTATTAATTAGTAACAATGAATGTAAACAAGTTATATTTCCTGAGTGTGTTTAACATGAAATAAACTCACTAATCTGTACCTTGACCACTCTTAGGAAATGAAGCCAATAAGGTTTCAGGGAATTACTCACATCTTCTATATCTTTTGTAACCGCTGAGCTACTTGCAGAGCTCTGCAGCCACTGCCAGGTATAATACTAGCTGGTAGAATGTGATAGAAACACTTTTTTGTTTGTTTGTTTGTTTTTGAGACAGAGTCTCACTCTGTCACAGAGGCTGGAGTGCAGTGGCCCGATCTCGGCTCACTGCAAGCTCCACCTCTCAGGTTCACACCATTTTCCTGCCTCAGCCTCCCGAGTAGCTGGGACTACAGGCGCCCGCCACCGTGCCCAGCTAAGTTTTTGCATTTTTAGTAGAGACAGAGTTTCACCATGTTAGCCAGGATGGTCTCGATCTCCTGACCTCATAATCCGCCTGCCTCGGCCTCCCAAAGTGCTGGGATTACAGGCGTGAGCCACCGTGCCTGGCCAAAACAGTTTTTAATATGCTGAATAATAGCTTATTTCTGTAGAAAAAAGTGAGATTATCTCTAGAAAGTCTATATTACTCATGCTATTAGAGAAATAATCTCCCCAAACTTAAAAGTTTTTTGCTTAAAAAAAAATTTTAGAAAATGCAAAGGATGAGAACTCAGGGGCCTAGGAGCCACATAGATTGTTAGGAAACAACAATAAGAACAACAACAACACGAAAATACCTTGCTAAACCCAACTAAAAACTGCCACTTGAGAAAAGCTTAACTTAGGTTCCCATGATCCAAAATTTTATTGCTAAATCAGCAGATGTAGGCAATTTGCTAAAATTTTACCCAAAATTTTCCAATGAAAAGAAATATCCATAGGGGATATTCCCAAAACATAAGAACTAAAGTCTATAGACCTATATGAACATTATTTTCTTACAGTTGCATTTTTCAACAGCAGCAGTAATACAGATCAACCATACTGGTTATACCAAACCAAACAGCTTTATCTAGCAGCAAATATTTAACTATATTCTACATATTAACCCTTTATAATATATATGGTTTATAAATATTTTCTCCTATTCTATATATTGCTTTTTCACTCTGTTGATTGTTTGCTTTGCTATGCAGAAATTTTTAAGTTTGATGTAGTCCATTTTTGTCTACTTTGGCTTTTGTTGCCTGTGCTTTTGGTGTTATATCTAAAAAGCCCTTGGCAAATCCAATGTTGTAAAGCTTTTTCCCTATGTTTTCTTCCTTTTTATAGTTTCAGGTCTTACATTTAGATCTTTCATCCATTTACATATATTAAACTATAAAAATATTTCTTTTTATAAATTCTCCCTCTTTAATTTACTAACTTAGCCCTGTTTGCAGGGTGAAGTACTGTCAGATTAAATGTCTCATAATCTGTTTTTAAAGATATTTTAGCTACTTCTAATGACTCTACACCTTATTTTGGGGCTTAGTTCTAAAGTCAGCATGAAAGTCAAAAGTCTAAATTTCCCTTAACAAATCCCTTAAAGTTGTCAATAAAGAAGAATATACCACCTGGTTGTACCTGCTTTGTATAATTGTGGTGATGAATGTTTATATAAATGTATAACCTCATCAATAATGTGCAATCTATAGTAAAAAGAACGCTACACATCCAAAGATCCGTGTCTTTTAAAAACTAGAATCCTATTTGGTATAGCAAGACGCTCACTCTTTTGGAAGGGTACGGAATTGGGACCATCTGAGGAAACAGATTCAAGACTCCCACTCCAAATTCATTTCTGAGTATATGTTCTTTGAGTGTAGTGCCTAGATCCAAATATTTTAACCGTTATTTAATTGTTATATTCTGTAACTTTACTACATTAATATTCTACCTTTGGGCAAATTACTTTACGATGAGAATTACAGCTACGTGAGAATATAAAAATTCTTCATGATAAAACTTCCAATAATTATTTGCATAATATTATTCTCTAGTACAAACAACATACAATTTTAGGTTGATCTAATATATATGGTAATCAGTATCTCTATAAATATTATATTAATAGTGCTTTTCCATAAAAATAATGTTTTTTGTGAACTTAAATTTGTACCAATTACTCTGATGATCAGTGATATTTTCTTCCTACATCATTCAACTATATTGCCTGAACACATCAAACTCAAACTCCAGGACTGAAAATATTTAATTCGGATAATAATATGCTCCTACTCATGATGACAATTCTTGAAATCTCATTAAGCTGGACAATCTACCTAAAAGCTTTTTAAAAAGCCAAGCAAAATACCCTTTATTCTTTACATTTTTCACCATTCGTGAACTGTTTTTGATCCTCCTGCTCTTATAAAACCAGAAGTCAAATACACTATTCCTTTATCCAAGTCAAATAAAAATGAAGTGTCAGATTAAATCTGATTAAAAATCAACTGTCAGTTTTATGAAAAATATTTTTAAAGAAAGAAAAAAAATGAGTCTTCTGAAAAAGGTATGTGTCTAAAATGAGGTTTAAAAAAATCTTAGACAATCCTCAACATGTTAGGGCACATTAGAAGAGATAGAGACATTTGCTTACTCAATGAAGTAGATCATCCCTGTGTCAGTGTAGGCCATTTCCCAGTTTTTGGGCAGTGGTTCCAGAGTCTCATCTCTCATCATATAATTTCTAAAGTCCATGGAGCTATTTGTTTGGTTGTAACTTGGAACAGTCTTCATCCAGTCAGATGACTCAGAATGCCTCTCTCTGTTTTCTGCCATTGTTCAAAACAGAAAGGTGTGAAAAGTGGGTAAAGTTATATTCTTCTTCAAACAGCACCTTTCCTTTCTAAAAAAATTCCAAATACATAAATATGGCAAATTTCTTGTCTATTATGTCCACATTCTGCTATAAATTTTAAAATAACCAACATATTCAACTCTTTTCCCCTAGTAATTGACAATTAACTCTGTATAGCACCTCTGATGCTAGTCTTGGAAAGAAGCAAAAAACAACAATAGAATTAATTCAGTATAAATCCTAATAAGCCACAGCAGCTACAGCAGCACTAATGTAGTCCTTTTATGTGTCAGGCTCTATTTTAAGTGCTTTCTGTATGTTAACTCATAATCATCACAGCAACCCTGTGAGTATCTATTATTAATCTCCTTGTTTTATAGACTGAGAAAACTAAGGCACAGAGAGGTTAAGTTAACTTAGTCAAAATTACACTGCCAATAAACAGCAAAGCCATGAACTGAATCTAAGTGGTCCATGCTCTCACCTGCTATACTAAGCTGCCTTGTACACATTTAACACTGGCCTTTAAATAATAGTAATTTTTAAAAATTACACTCAATAGAGTTCCTGTTGTTAAATATAATTCTGTTTAGTAATATTAAAATCCTTTTAGAGTCCCAAAGCCCATAATGTAGGTAAGAATACTAAAATTTGGGTACTGTCTAGGGAGTTCACAATTCGTGTACTTAAAACTTGTTTCTAAAACTTAAACGATGCTATGTAATATCACTATAACAACTTCAAATTGCAGGCAATGGCTCAGATTCAGAGAATCTGACAGAGATCTTATATATCCTTAGATATCCTTCTCTATAGTATTTCAACTCCAACCATTCTTTATCTAACCATGCCCTACTATTTACTACCTTTCACTATTCTTTATCCTCTACCCATTTCCCCATTGCCCTGCTAACCCAACTTAAATTCCATGATGAACCACTATAATTATTCCCTTGTAAATATTCCTGATTCCTTTGCCCTAACCTTACTTCATAATACTGCCTGGCTAAATCAGAACTCTGCTTAAATCCTACTCTCCACCTACTCCATGTCACCATACACAGCTGAATACAGGCAATATTGACAAGTTTACTTTAAATTCATGATCACTAACCTTATGTGGGCATTTAATGATGCATGATGATCATAGCACATTTCTTTAGTTGATTCACTCTGACATTCTCCAAGATAATTATTTCATACCTTCTTTCTCCTTAAACCATCCACTACTTTTCCCTTATCCCTCATCTCATTTGATGACCTTGTGTCTTATTTCACTAACAAAATAGAAGCAAGCAGAAGAAAACTTCCACAAACTCCCACCATCACATCTACACAGAAACTGTGCCCATTGACTCCACCATCTGTTACTATGGAAGAACTGTTTGTACTCCTAGCTAGGGCTAACCCTCCAATTATAAATTATATCCCATCTTCTCTTGCCTACAGCAATTCTTTCACTCTCCTTCCTGCATCACCAATCTTCTCTATCTATTAGATCATATCCAACCACATAAAAACATGTTCCCAGTTCAGTAAAAAGAAAATAATTCTCTTTACCCCTTGGCAGCCAACCTATTTCTCTCCTCTTTACACCAAACCACCTTGAAAGAGTTTATATTTGCTACCTCCACTTCCACTCTTCCAGTTCTCTCTGGACCTCACTCCAACAAGGCTTTTGAATTCCTATCATTAAACTATTCTTATCAAGGTCATCAATAACCTCTACATTGCTAAATCCAATGATCATTTCTCAGTTCCATCCTACTTGAGTTATCAGCAGCATCTGATCACTTTCTTCCTTGCACATTCAATAACCTCCTAACTGGTATCCCAGTTAGGGTATTTTGCCCATGTCCTCCTTTTGCCTATTCTCAATACAGTAGTCACAATAAGCCTGTTAAAAACTGTTGTACCATGTTACTCTTTGAATCAAAACCCCATAATCGTTTCTCATTTCAGAATAAAAATCAAAATTCTTCCAATGACCTACAAGATGCTTTATTATATACATTCTTCCCTCCTCATGCCCATCATTATCTAAATGATCTTATTGGTTACTATTCTATTCTATTGCCTTCCATCACTCTGCTCCAACCACATAGAATGCATTGTCCACATTGTATCCAACCACTCTGGTTTCCTTGCTATTGCCTGAATATTCTAGGTATGTTCCCATCTCTGGGCATTTGTACCTCCAGTTCTGTCTGTCTAGAATGCTCTTCTCCCAGATATCCTGAGTTTACTCACTTGATTCTTTCAAGTCTTTTCTTCCACACTGTCTAAAATTGCAAACCTTGACCACCACATCTTACCACCTCCTGCTCTGCTTCATTTTTCTCTGTAGCACCATCTAACACACGATGTATGTTATTCATTTAAGTTGGCCAGTTCTGTCTCTCCCACCAGAAGGTATAGTTCATGACAGGTTTTTGTCCGTTTTGTTCACTGCTTTATTGCTAGCATTTAGCACAATGGCATTTAGTATTCTAGTAAGTGCTCACTACATATTTGTTGAATAAATAAATGAATCAAACACATGATTTATTTTGTATGCAGAAAAAATGATAGAAATTAAAAGGTACCTAATGGAAAAATCAATCTGGAAAGGAGTTACATTCTTGGGAAATAACCATGTTGGAGAAAAGTAAAAGCAAGTATATGATCTATAACACTTTTCTTAATATAGTTCCAAGCAATTGAATAAAGGAGTTTGCTTAATAGCCAATGACTTGGGAAGATGTTCTTTATATAAAACCATTTCTTAGAAAAAAAATAATTATTACGTAACATATGTTATTGTACATGACCATTTTAACTTTCTTTTGGGTTATTTCTTCAGCAAGATATAAAATAATAAACATACTGGTGTGCACAAATAAACCTCTACCTATCCTCTCCTCATTTCTACTCCCGAACAATTTTCTGATTTTTCAAGGCAGGGATTCCAAAGCGATACACAGGCTGGGCACGGTGGCTCACGCCTGTAATCCCAGCACTCTGGGAGGTCAAGGCAGGCGGATCACCAGAGGCCAGGAGTTCGAGACCAGCTTGGCCAACATGGTGAAACCCTGTCTCTACTAAAAATACAAAAATTATCTGGGCAGGGTGGCACATGCCTGTAATCCTAGCTACTTAGGAGGCTGAGACATGAGAATTGTGTGAGCCTAGGAGACAGATTGCAGTGAGCCAAGATCGCACCACTGCACTCCTGCTTGAGCAACAAAGGGAGACTCTGTCTCAAAACAAACAAACAAACAAATAAACAAAAAACAACAAAAGCAACACACAAAGCATATTTCCCCAACTTTGATTAGTTAACTAACAACTACAGTTCATACTTATTCAGAAGGTGAATTCTGTTTGTAGGCGGGTGCTTTGTATTTTTTCACTTAAATGTCCTGTATATTTTCTATGACAAAGAAATATGTAATTCAATGTAAGTGTCCTATGGTATCTATACATAAGAGGTAGTATACGAACTGCCTCCCACACACCCTTGGATATATTCCCTTTAAATATTAACATCAAAGAGTATATAACATCAGTTTAACAAGTGACTTACATGAAGCATCAACTATAGAGATTACAAACAAGTTTACCGCTAAAAGAACTGCAGTGATCAATTAAAGGCTCTGTATTAGGAAGTAAAAAAAGAACATTTTCTTTTCCCTTAAATCAAGAACATATAAATTCCCATATTGGGAAAGATTCATGGTCTCCAATCCTACTGTTTAGCATTTTTAAATGTTAACAGACTTAATTTTGTGGGATAGCAAAGCTGATATCAACATTAAAAGGCTCAACGGTGTGATGAGTTCCCTTAGGAACTCCTAAAAATTAGATGTGAATTCACCTAAACCTTTTAAAACCTGTTTTTAGTATTTACATTTAAATACATTGGGGTAATCCATTTAACATTAAACGTATTATGTGAAAGATAGGACTATAAAACAGAACTCACACTCTGGAGTGGGACATAAACAATGAATGTATTAACTCAATAAATATACATATCACATTTTAATAATTGATGAAAAAGATTAGGGTGCTTTGGGAAAATGATAAGGAAATGTGTTCTGCAAATTTGAGGATTTTAGTTCCTATTACATGCCAGGCATGTTTTTGATGGAAGGGATAGAACAGTACATAAAAAAAGGAAAACTTCAGCCCTATGAAGTTTACATTCTAGTGTTCTGAATGGAATTTTTGCAATGAATACCATTGAATAAGCTCAGCTGTGATTCTATGGTTTCCTAGTTATACTCTCAGTTATAAGTCTAATAACCCTCTAAGCAATCACCACATTAATTAGGGCTACTCAAAAGGAGCAGATTCTTCACCACTGAATTTCTGTTGGTTTTACATTTAATGAAGGGTCTCATATTTGAAATTTTTCTTTGAGTGAATCCAAAATTTAAATTCAAAATATTATAAACCAACCTTTTAGATAATTTTTATCAGCATACTTTCAAGCCCTATTTACTTTGTTTAGGCTGAAGTCTACATTCTAAAACATCCATATATTGTTTACATCCTGTAAAGTAAGACATAGGCCAACAAGACTCCCACATTGCAACATCAGAGGCAAATCTCAAATATTTTAAACAGCAGGGTAATGGCATATATTTTATTACTAATGATAGTTTATCATTGATTTATCCAAATTGGGACAACTCACTTTAGCTTATAGGATGGTCTACAGAAATACACTTTGCTCCACATACAACCTTTACAAAAAAATTAAAATCCCATCACTTGCTCTCCATATGCTTTGTAAAAAATTTTAGTGCTTTTAATTCAACGTAATAGTAAAATCAATCTAGAAGATCAGTTAGAAGTTGTTCATCTATTTACAAACCTGCGTTTCCACTGCCATTAATAGCTTCCTTGTCCTCATCTTCTTCCTCTTCAGGAAGAGAGCTATCCATTCTTTCCATCTTGCTGACAGATGTCGTTCGTTTTCTTTGAGATTCTGCATCAAACTCATTATCAAAGAGGACTTGATCAACTGGATCTGGCTGAAAAGGGCTGGGTTCTGCTGGAGGCTTGGGAGTTCCATAGAAGTTTCCTGAAGTGAATAAAATAGCAGCTGAAATTACTAATGTTGCAGTGAGAGTCAGAGCAATTTGACCTAGTGTATGTCTCTGCCCTGTTTTTCACAAAGAAGTTTTGAAATATCTACCATAGGGGTGGGCATGGTGGCTCACACTTGTAATCCCAGCACTTTGGGAGGTCGAGATGGGTGAATCATTTGAGGTCAGGAGTTTCAGATCAGCTTGGCCAACACGGCAAAACCCATCTCTACTAAAAACACAAAAATTAGCCAGGTATGGTAGCACATGCCTGTGAATCCCAGTTACTCGGGAGACTGAGGCAGGAAAATCACTTGAATCTAGGAGGCAGAGGTTCCAATGAGCTGAGATTGCGCCACTACACTCCAGCCTGGGTGACAGAGACTCTGCCTCAAAAAAAAAAAAAAAAAAAAAAGGAAATATCTACCATTGGCCAAAAGGAGGCCAAAGCGCTCAAAGCACTCATCTTACGAGAAGAGAGAGCAGAAATAGGGGAAAGAACTAATTTCTCAAGTGCTCTTCACATATATTATCTAATATCTTAATACTATTTGTTTAAGGCCAGGAAGTTGACTGTATGTAAGTAGATTATTCATTCCTACAGGGATTGCCTTACATGGGTTCTGAATTAGGACATACTTTGTGAATTTAAATGCATTGATGCTGTCATGTAAGACTAATTGGCATAAAAGGTGGGGGTAAATGAGGATAAAACTAACTGAAATAATTTTGTTCTAATGTGTAACATAATGAACTATTTTGGTAAAATGAGGAAGTATGTAGGTAAAGGTTAAGCTAAGAACTAACCAGATCATATAAAAATGTAGGCTTTTTATGTAAGGGTAATTTTTAAAAGTTTTTCTGAGCATTCTATTATTTTATCTGACAATTTATTGAACAAACAGAGACATTAGCAGGATAATTCAGTATTGGCTTACTCTCAGGAAAGCAAGAAATACTTTAACTTTCTCTTGAGAATCTGTAATTTTTGCAGTAAAAATAAATGTTCCAGAAAAGAATGAAAACAATTGAGTATCTTCTCAATTTGTCATGCAGTTCCCACTAGGCCGCCAAATAATATGGGAAAGCACTCAACAGGTCTAGCCACATTAACAGTTTGTGGTTCCTACTACTTTTGACATTCTATTAATCATTATGCTAACGTTAGAGAAATATATATATGATTAGAGAGTAAAATACTCATGATTTTTCTAAAATCATATTTTCTAATCAAATTCCTTAGCTCCTAAGGAAGTAATTAAGATGCTCATTCACCTAAGGTAAATTAATGAGGTAGATAATTGATTGTTTTTTCCTAGATAGAAAATAGCATAGGTTCTTCCCCATAATGCTGAGACAAATCTAGACATTACATAGTTTACCTTAAATTGTGCATGTTTTGAGGGGGAAAACATTTAACATGAATTCTTTGGAAGTTTGACTTTCAGCAGTAATTGTCATTAAAATAATGAAGACAAAACAATAAAATGAAACTAAAAAACTTTTCAATGACATCCTGTCTCTCCCTACTCACCTACTCCCTTGTTTCCAAATCCATATTTGAAATGGAGTTACTCCAGTCATACAGATGGATGCAAAGATTTGTATGAAAACAGACTAAACTTTCTGCAAACTTTCTAGCTCAGAAGTAAAGCAAAGAACCAATGAAAAAGCCAGTCACGCTTCTCTGGGGCAGCCGGCACAGAAATACACCAAACAGAGATTTGGCTGGGGATTAGGAGGTTCGAGGGTCTCTATTTTTCCTGAATTATGCCCATTAATCACAGTATCAAGGAAACTGGATATACCATGACAGAAATAAAAAGTCCACTTTTTCTAAGTAAGGTAGTAGTACTACTAGAAACACATCTTACTGAGAATTCTTGGTAATTATTATCTAACTCGAGAAAATTTAACCTTTTTCTAAGGGGAAAATATAAAAATGCAGGATATGATAACTGCCATCCATAATCACTGAAAAGATTTTAGGACTTCATAATAATTTTGGGCAGTTTCCTTGTTTAAAAAGATAATTATGGGGCTCAGATTAAAAAAAAATTAGCATTGTTTATAAATAAATTAGATCTGGGGGGAGGGATAGCATTAGGAGATATACCTAATGTAAATGATGAGTTAATGGGTGCAGCACACCAACATGGCACATGTATACATATGTAACAAACCTGCATGTTGTGCACATGTACCCTAGAACTTAAAGTATAATAATAATAAAAATAAATAAATAAATAAAATAAATTAGATCTATTTTTTCTTGAGATGTTGGTAAATACCAAGTTTTCAGATACAGTATACAATTCCAAGGTTTGTGAACCCTAACTATAGTTACTGACAAAGATTTTCATTGTTTTAGAGCTGTTTTGAAGTTTTTTTTATTTTCTGAAGGCTTTTTCATTTTTGCAGAAATGCCAACTATTCAATATTTCAAACATATAAAATTACAGACTGTAGTATCAGAATAGTATTAGAAATATCTATATAAAATTTACTTATATAAGTATATGTACATGTATTTATTTATATATACATCATCTAGATATTATTGCTAGATTGCTTTCAAATCTCCCTTTTTTTCTCTTTAAGGATATATACATATATGGCCACATCTACAATTAAAGCTCTAACTTCCTGTCCCTATAGCCACTCCCTCCCTGAGCTGTCCTGAAGTTGATATGTGTCTTTCCTCCTGAATATACATCTAGGATATGTATATATGCATCTATAACATGTAAATACTATTGTTTTCATAAAAGCTTCACAGAGTATTTTCACAATATTTCACATATTTTTTCATAAATAGTATAATGTACATATCCTTTTGTAACTTTCTTTTTATACAATTTTATACCTTTATATAATTTTATACTTTTTATGCCTCTTAAGACCTATTAATGTTGATACCTATAAATCCAGTACATTGAACTGCTGTATAGCAGTCCATTTTTATGAACAAATTAAAATGTATGTTATTCATTCTACTAAAGGAGAGTTGTTTCCATTCTGTCACTGTTTCACACTATAACAAATATTCCCATATGTGTCTACATATGCATATGGGCAACAGTTTTTCCTGAGTAGATGTCTAGAGAGGGGCACTGCTAGGTCAGAGTTATGTATATCTTCAAATTTACCAGCTACTGCCACGATGCTCTCCAGAAGGATTATACCATTTTATAGTCTTGCCAGCAGTGTATGGGAGTTTCCATTTCTTGCAATTATCAGACTGTAAAATTGTTGCCAATCTATGGATGTGAAATAATGTACAACTATTTTAATTTGCATTTTCTTTGAATTGAGCACACAGCAATTAATAATAAGTAATATGCCACTTCGTCCATACCAAGCTCTTATATTTAGTGGAAGAAAATGTAGAGCATCTTCATCATTTAAGGGGAGAGGGCTTCTTAAAAAAAAACAAAAACAAACAAAAAAAAACTTCAAAAGCACTTTAATCTTGTTCATTACAGTATTCCGAGATTCTCTTTTAGTACTTGGCACATAGTAGGTACTTAATAAATGGTTGTTTAATGAATAAAACAGGATAAAACGAATGAACAAATGAATGAGTCATGGGCGCTAAGCCCAGAAAAGGTAGTTAGGTTAAACTTAGCAGATGAAAGGAAATCATTGAAAGTTCTGAATAGGAGAGAGACATGATAAAGCTGCTCTTGAAGAAGACTAGCATGGTAGCAATGGGCAGGGTGGAAGAAATGGGAACAAATGAGATCAACAGCAATAGTCCACACATGAGCTCTTCTAGTGGGCCTACAATGAGGTGGTGAAAGTGAAAGAAGGGTATTGTGAATGCAGCTACAAAAGAAGAAATGATGAGATTTGGCAAATGGATGTGAAATGTGAGAAAAAGGAGAAAGTAAATAATGATTTCACTGTTCTGAGATCATGGTGCTGCTAAAGAGAGAAATGATGAAGAATTTCTCTTTTGGATAGAACACAAATGCATATTTAGATACGCTGAATTCCAGGTTAGATATTTATTGAACACTATCTTTAGGCACTGAAGATAATATCAAGTAAGAAAGACATGACCATTACTATCACAGAGCTTATAAACAGGCAATTATAATAGTATGAAAAAGCAATAATGGACCATAGCGTAGGGTGCTATGGAAGTGGATAAGCTTGCCAGGGAAGGGTATGTTACATAAGGGGAAAAATAGATCTAACAGAGTCATTTAAAAATGGAAATTGATCTCAAATATCAAATATCAATGGAATCAAGTGGGTAGAGGAAACAGAAATGAAAAGAAAACCAATTATTCTGTTTTTGTTGTTTTCTCCCCAAATTTTATATTCTCTTTTTTCCAGGATAGTCAAGGTACATGTAAGTTTTTTAAAGTACAGATTTTGAATTCCAACCACAAATAAAATGCAATCAACAAATACTCACTGAGTTCACATGATGAATGTGAATTACTATGAAATATATAAACTGGCCAGTCTGGCTGATTTTTAGTATACTGTTCACAATCAACTTTAAAATATGATGGATTTTTTTTGCTTATTATTTAATCCCATTTTAATTAATAAATTACAAATCTCCCCATCAAAAGAAAATTTTCTCAAAAACAGAGAGGAAAAAAAGTTTTTCAAAAAGTGGTACTTTACTGGTCAAATTCCCTCTGAAATAATTCCAGTCGTTCAGATAGTTTTTTGGGTGGTAGTGATGTTATTTGGGGACATACCATCATATGTCCCACTTTCTAACAATGCTCCACTCTCTTCCAGTGCTTTGAACTGTTCAACGGAAATGAAATTATAATCCACTCCTGGTACTTCTCCATCCCTGGGGGCCCTTGTAGTGCCTAAGAAAAAAGAAAAAAAAAAGTAGGTTGTAAAGTACTTTTAAACTTACAAAATATTCAAAGTAAAAGAATATTCAGTTTGTAGAGAACACATAAGAGATGTTTCATTCCCCTGCCCCAACTTTATTAAGGTAAAATTCACAGATAAAATTGTATATATTTATAGCATACAACATGTTTTGATACATGTGCACACCTGGTGAAAGACAGACTTATTTTAAAGTAGTTATCCTACTTAATTTTTTCATCTCTAGCATAAATGTAAACATTCTACTTACTAGAGTCATGAAAGACAAAAAATAATATTTTTTATAAGTTATTTTAATGAACTTTATTTTTAAAAGTTGGACAAACACTGGTTATAAAGTTACTTTATATGTGAATAAAAGGCTTAAGATAGGTATTCACATATGGCTTCTTAGCCATTATTCTCTTCAAGTAATTTTTAAAAATTAAGCAGTAAGTAAATTGTTTCATAAAATTAACTACAGTAACAGATCACTAAATGCTAAAGTACAATCTTTCAGCTTCAAGGTGTAAATTCAGGTTATGGCAGCATTGCTACATTTGACTGAATTTTACTAAACAAGAGTCACTTTTACACAATGTCATTTCAAATACTAGATAATACAAAGAGATACAGGATTTTCACTGGGAATTGGTTGCAAGTCTAGGACAAGAACACTTTCCTTCTCAAACCTGTTCCTCCACTTAGGCCCCTATTCAGTAATAGCACTCCAGGTAGGAAATCTGAGAGTCAGTCGTCTTGGGCTCTTCCCTCTACTCCACATCCAGTCACCAAATCTACCTCATAAGTATTTCTAAATACTTCTTTTCATTCCCATAATCACTGAATTCATATCATTATCTAGGACCTTTATTGTTGGTACCCCTAGGTCAACCTTTACTTCTTCCCAGCTACACTCCTCCTAGTCACTGCAGTCAGTGACTTTTCTAAAACACAGTCTGAGGAAACAAACAAAATCTCTCTCTAAACCTATCAATGGCTTCCCATGATCCTTGGCATAAAATCCAGATTCTATAACAACACATTTTACAAAGCCCTTTGTGATCTGGCCCCTGGCAACCTCCCCAAATTCTTTCTTGCCTCATTCCTTTCACATTAGGCTTTAGTATACTACATATATTTTTCAATTATTTTAATGTTCCTTTCACTCACATACTTTCAAGGTCGTTGTCATGTCCCCAGAGGACTTCCTACTCCCTTTCCCACTCTCACCTCAGCTAACTTCTACTCATCCTTCAGGTCCTGGCTTAGAAAGTTCCTTTAGAGAACCTTCCCTGATTTCTATCTAGGGTATGGCAACATGCAGAAACCATGTCGATTTGATTCAGAGTAATAGCCCCAAGTCTTGACACAGTGCAAAGATCACAGTAGGTGCTGAATATACATAGCTGTCAAATAAATTAAGTGAAATTGTAAACAAATGCATTTAGGACAGTGCCTGGCAATATGCTCTTATTATTACTGTAAGTTAATTCATGGGAAACTCTTAATTGCTCCTACTGTTTTTAGTCACATTACATTCTATTATATTCTGTAACATGCACAAAAAAAAACAAAGATTATGATAACAAATTAATGGTAATAATCTGAGAAAATAATGATTATGTCAACATTCTGTGCAACAAAGACTATATTGAATTTTCTCCCCCATTTTTTAACCCAATTTTTTTTTCTAAAAATAAGCATTTCTTTACCTGTTTTACATCATAGAGGATATAAAATCTGGAAAACAGCTTTTTTCCTTTAATTTTTAATACGTTTTTTATTTTCAAATTTTTATATTTCTCATTATTGACCAAAACTACATTGTTAGATTCTCTGAATCAACAGCTTCTTAGCTCCATATTAAATAAAAGTTAACATTAGACATTAACTCAAGCCTGGGCAACATAGTAAGACCTCGTCTCTATAAAAAAATTTTTAAAATTAGCCAGGTATAGTGATGCACACCAGTAGTCCTAGCCACTCGTGAGGCTGAGGTGGGAAGATAATTTGAGACCAGGAGTTGAAGGATGCAGTGATGCAGTGGGTTATCATTGCAGCACCACTGCACTCCAGCCTTGACGACAGAGTGAGATCCTGTCTCTTAAAAAAAAAAGGAAATTCAAGGATTAAAATTATAATTTGTAATTATCTATGACAGATGGAAAAAATATGATGACGATATTCTGCACCTCCTAAGAGGTGGGGCCTGTTGCCTCATCCCTTGAATTTGGACTGGATTGATGATATGCTTTGATTAATTTAATGTAAAGGCTGTGATGTTGTCCAAGTTTAGGGATCTAGACTTCCATATTCACCCTCTTGGAATGCTCCTGCTACCATGCAAGGAAGTCCAGGCTAGACTACTGAGTGATAAAGAGAGCCCAAGCCAACAAAAAGCAGCAAGGCCCCAGACACATGAATGAGGCCATCTTAGCCCCTCCAGCTCCAGTTGAGCTGTCAATGATTATAGCCACATGAATGGTCCCGACTGAGCCCAACTCATGAAATCATGAGAAATAAACATCACTATTTTAAGCCACTAAGTTTTAGGGTAGTCTGTTATACAGCAAAGGCTAATTGAGATATCCAAATAAACTCCACTATAAAACATAATGACTAAAAAACAATTTAAAAGCAAGCCATATTATAGATAATACTATAAAAACAGCACTGATCGAAAGGGCAGGAGGAACTCTGTTTTGGTCTGTGATTATTATTAACGGCACAATTTAGGCAACTACTTAATCTCTTTTGGCTTTCTCTTTCTGCAAGGTGGTGTTGAGCAGGATGTTGTCCATGATTCTTTTCATGGACAGATATGAATGGTATGTGTAATTCTACCATATATTTCTAAGACTAGAAAATAGTTTTAATGTTAATTCTCTTTACAAAGTATTATAAATTTTCACTCCCCCCACAAAACCATACAACCCAATACACATAAAGTTATCTTCCTTCCTTCACCCCATTACTTTTCGCATTCCATAAAATTTATCTTTATATTCTCCTAATACTGTATATTTTATATAAAGCTTTCTACATCCCCCCTCACCCCCACTTCTCACCACATTTCTCCTTTATACATAAAAATTGCTCCGAAGAGTTCTTTGGAGCCATACACAGTCTCCAATTCTCCTCTCACTGTCTCCTGAGCCTATTCAAATAAGATCTTTTCCCCAACCATTCACTGAGACAATGTGCTATGTTTCAACAATAGTCTCCACTTTGCTGAACTCAATGGCCAAGTCTTACCCTCATCTTAACTGACCTATGAATAACATTTGACATAACTGATCATTTACCCTTTCTGTTTAGTTACAAGCAAATCAACCCAAGCAAAAAGCAGAACATTACCAGGACCTCAAAAACCTTCTTGTGTGTCTCTGATGATAAACCTCTCCCTCCCTCCATCCTCAAAAGTGACTACCATCTTGACATCTGTGATGATTTCCTTTCCTTTTTAATGATTGTACCAACTAAATAATGCATTTTTAAGCAACATAGCTTAGTTTTGCCACTTTTGCAACCTCGTATGAATGGAATCACATAACATGCATTCTCTTCTGTCCACACCAATACTTGTCATGAGGCTTATAAGATTTTTCCAATATCCTGGGTGTGTAAAGTCACTTCACTGTTTATTTAATCCCACACTTTCTTTAAAGCCATACTATTCATATGCTCCGGATATATCATCCACAACCTCAACAATGAACAAGACATCCGAAAAATAGGAGGGCTACTCAAGATTTTACCCTTCACTTCAACCTCATAAAGCAATTGCTTTATGAGATTAAACATTCTTTTTAATACATTTAGAAGCCATATAGATTTCCTCTGTTGTGAAGTGGTTATTCAAGTCTTTCCCCATTTCTCTGTTGGGTTTGTGTCTTTAAAATTGATTTGTGGGAGCTGGCAAGATGCCCAAATAGGAAAAGCTCTGGTCTGCAGCTCCCAGCAACACCAACACAGAAGGTGGGTGGTTTCTCCATTTCCAACTGAGGTACCCAGATAATCTCGTTGGGACTGGTTAGACAGTGGGTGCAGCTCGCGGAGGGTGAGCAGAAGCAGGGTGGGGCAGCGCCTCATCCAGGAAGCACAAGGAGCCAGGGAACTCCCTCCCCTAACCAAGGGAAGCCATGAGGGACTGTGCTACCTGGCCCAAATACTATGCTTTTCCCACAGCTTTTGCAACCTGCAGACCAGGAAATTCCCTCGTGTGCCTACACCACCAGGGCCCTGGGTTTCAAGCACGAAACGAGGCGGCTGTTTGGGCAGACATTGAGCTAGCTGCAGGAGTTTTTTTTTGTACTCCAGTGAGACAGAACTGTTCACTTCCCTGCAAAGGGGGCTGAAGCCAGGGAGCCAAGTGGTCTTGGTCAGTGGGTCCCACTCCCACAGAGCCCAGCAAGCTAAGAACCACTGGCTTGAAATTCTCAGTGCCAGCACAGCAGTCTGAAGTCCACCTGGGATGATCGAGCTTGGTGGGGGGAGGGGCATCCACCATGGCAGAGACTTGAGTAGGTGGTTTTCCCCTCACAGTGTTAAGGAAGCCGCCAGGAAGTTCGGACTGTGTGGAACTCACTGCAGCGCAGAAAAACGGCTGTGGCCAGACTGCCTCTCTAGATTCCTCCTCACTGGGCAGGGCATCTCTGAAAGAAAGGCAGCAGCCCCAGTCAGGGGCTTATAGATAAAACTCTCATCTCCCTGGGACAGAGCACCTGGGGGAAGGGGCAGCTGTGGGTGCAGCTTCAGTAACTTAAATGTTCCTGCCTGCCGACTCTGAAGAGAGCAGCAGATCTCCCAGCACACTGCTCAAGCTCTGCTAAGGGACAGACTGCCTCCTCAAGTGGGTCCCTGACCCCCATGCCTTCTGACCGGGAGACACCTCCCAGTAGGAGTCAACAGACACCTCATACAGGAGAGCTCTGGCTGGCATCAGGTGGGTGCCCCTCTGGGAGGAAGTTTCCAGAGGAAGGAGCAGGCAGCAATCTTTGCTGTTCTGCAGCCTCTGCTGGTGATACCAGGCAAACAGGGTCTGGAGTGGACCTCTAGCAAACTCCAGCAGACCTGCAGAAGAGGGGCCTGACTATTAGAAGGGAAACTAACAAACAGAAAGCAATAACATGAACATTAACCAAAAGGACGCTCACCCAAAAACCCCATCCAAAGGCCATCAGCATCAAAGATCAAAGGTAGATAAATCCACAAAGATGAGGAAAAACCAGTACAAAAATGCTGAAAATTCCAAAAACCAGAATGCTTCTTCTCCTCCAAATAATCACAACTCCTCTCTGACAAGGGCACAAAACTGGACAGAGAATGAGTTTGATGAATTGACAGAAGTAGGCTTCAGGAGGTGGGTAATAACAAACTCCTCTGAGCTAAAGGACCATCTTCTAACCCAATGCAAGGAAGCTAAGAGCATTGATAAAAGGTTACAGGAACTGCTAACTAGAATAACCAGTTTAGAGAAAAACATAAATGACCTGATGGAGCTGAAAAACACAGCACGAGAACTTCATGAAGTATATACAAGTATCAATAAGCAAATCAATCAAGTGGAAGAACGGATATCAGAGACTGAAGATCAACTTAATGAAATAAAGCATAAAGACAAAATTAGAGAAAAAAGAATGAAAAGGAACAAACAAAGCTTCCAAGAAATATGAGACTATGTGAAAAGGCCAAACCTATGATTGACTGGTATACCTGAAAGTGACAGGGAGAATGGGACCAAGTTGGAAAACACACTTCAGGATATTATCCAGGAGAACCTCCGCAACCTAGCAAGAGAGGCCAACTTTCAAATTCAGGAAATATAGAGAACACTACTAAGATACTCCTTGGGAAAAGCAATCACAAGACACATGATCGTCAGATTCTCTAAGGTTGAAATGAAGGAAAAAATGTTAAGGGCAGCCAGAGAGAAAGGTCAGACTACCTACAAAGGAAGCCCATCAGACTCACAGCAGATCTCTGCAGAAACCCTTCAAGCCAGAAGAGAGTAGGCGACCAATATTCAACATTCTTAAAGAAAAGGATTTTCAACCCAGAATTTCAAATCTATCCAAACTAAGCTTCAGAAGTGAGGGAGAAATAAAATCCTTTACAGACAAGCAAATGCTGAGGGATTTTGTCACCAACAGGCCTGCCTTACTCCTGAAGGAAGCATTAAATATGGAAAGGAAAAATTGGTACCAGCCACTGCAAAGACATACCAAAATATAAAGACCAACAACCCTATGAAGAAACTGCATCGACTAATGTGCAAAATAACCAGCTAGCATCATGATGACAGGATATAATTAATACATAACAATATTAACCTTAAATGTAAATGGGCTGAATACCCCAATTAAAAGACACAGACTGGCAAATTGGATAAAGGAGTCAAGACCTTTTGGTGTGCTGTATTCAGGAGACCCATCTCATGTGCAAAGAGACACACACAGGCTCAAAATAAATGGATGGAGGAATATTTACCAAGCAAATGGAAAGAAAAAAAAAGGCAGGGGTTGCAATCTTAGTCTCTGATAAAACAGACTTTAAACCAACAAAGATCAAAAGAGACAAAGAAGGGCATTACATAATGGTAAAGGGATCCATGCAACAAGAGCTAACTATCCCAAATATGTATGCACCCAATACAGGAGCACCCAGATTCATAAAGCAAGTTCTTAGAGACCTACAAAGAGACTTAGATTCCCACACAATAATAGTGGGAGACTATAACACCCCACTGTCAATATTAGGCAAATCAACAAGACAGAAAATTAACAAGGATATTTAGGATTTGAACTCAGCTCTGGACCAAGCAGACCTAATAGACATCTACTGAACTATTCACCCCAAATCAACAGAATATACATTCTTCTCAGCACATCACACTTATTCTAAAATCAACCACATAATTGGAAATAAAACACTCCTCAGCAAATGCAAAAGAACGGAAATCATAACAAACGCTCTCTCGGACCACAGTGCAATCAAATTGGAACTCAGGATTAAGAAACTCACCCAAAACTGCACAACTACTTAGAAACTGAAAAACCTGCTCCTGAATGACTACTGGGTAAATAACGAAATTAAGGAAGAAATAAAGATGTTCTTTGAAACCAATGAGAACAAAGACAAAATGTACCAGAATCTCTGGGACACAGCTAAAGCAGTGTTTAGACGGAAGCTTATAGCACTGAATGCCCACATCGGAAAACTGGAAAGATCTAAAATAGACAACCTAATGTCACAATTAAAAGAACTAGAGAAGCAAGAGCAAACAAATTCAAAAGCTAGCCGAACAGGGCTGGGTGCAATGGCTCACGCCTGTAATCCCAGCACTTTGGGAGGCTGAGGCAGGCAGATCACGAGGTCAGGAGATCGAGACCATCCTGGCTAAAACGGTGAAACCCTGTCTCTACTAAAAATACAAAAAATTAGCAGGGTGTAGTGGCGGGCACCTGTAGTCCCAGCTACTTGGGAGGCTGAGGCAGGAGAATGGTGTGAACCCAGGAGGCGGAGCTTGCAGTGAGCCGAGATTGTGCCACTGCACTCCAGCCTGGGTGACAGAGTGAGACTCTGTCTCAAAAAAAAAAAGCTAGCAGAACAGAAGAAATAACCAAGATCAAAGCAGAACTGAAGATGATAGAGACATGAAACACCCTCCAAAAAATCAATGAATCCAGGAGCTGGTTTTTTGAAAAGATTAACAAAACAGGCAACTAGCCAGAATAAAAAAGAAGAAAAGAGAGAAGAATCAAATAAATGCAATAAAAAATGATAAAGGGGATATCACCACTGATCCCACAGAAATACAAACTACCTTCAGAGAATACCATAAATGCCTCTATACAAATAAACTAGAAAATCTAGAAGAAATGGATAAATTCCTGGACACATACATCCTCCCAAGACTAAACCAGGAAGAAGTCGAACTCCTGAATAGACCAGTAACAAGTTCTGAAATTGAGGCAGTAATTAATAGCCTACCAACCAAAAAAAGCACAGGATCAGAGGGATTCACAGCCAAATTCTACCAGAGGTACAAAGAGGAGCTGGTACCATTCCTTTTGAAACTCTTCCAAACAATAGAAAAAGAGGGACTCCTCCCTAACTCATTTTATGAGTCCAGCATCATCCTGATACCAAAACCTGGCAGAACACAACAAAAAAAGAAAGTTTCAGGTCAATATCCCTAATGAACATCGATGCGAAAAACCTCAATAAAATACTGGCAAACTGAATCCAGCAGCACATAGAAAAGCTCATCCACCACGATCCAGTTGGCTTCATGCCTGGGATGCAACGCTGGTTCAACATATGCAAATCAATAAACATAATCCATCACATAAACAGAACAAATGACAAAAACCACATGATTATCTCAATAGATGCAGAAAAGGCCTTCAATAATATTCAATACACCTTCATGCTAAAAACTCTCAATAAACTGGGCATTGATGGAACATATCTCAAAATAATAAGAGCTATTTATGACAAACCCACAGCCAATATCATACTGAATGGACAAAAGCTGGAAGCATTCTCTTTGAAAACTGGCACAAGAAAAGGATCCCCTCTCTCACCACTCCTATTCAACGTAGTATTGGAAGTTCTGGCCAGGGCAATTAGGCAAGAGAAAGAAATAAAGGGTATTCAAATAGGAAGAGAGGAAGTCAATTTTTCTCTGTTTGCAGATGACATGGTTGTATATTTAGAAAACCCCATCTTCTCAGCCCAAAAACTCCTTAAGCTGATAAGCAACTTCAGGAAAGTCTCAGGATACAAAAATCAATGTGCAAAAATCACAAGCATTCCTATACACCAATGATAGGCAAACAGAGAGCCAAATCATGAGTGAACTCCCATGCACAATTGCTACAAAGAGAATAAAATACCTAGGAATCCAACTTACAAGGGACATGAAGGACCTCTTCAAGGAGAACTACAAACCACTGCTCAAGGAAATACGAGAGGACACAAACAAATGGAAAAACATTCCATGCTCATGAATAGGAAAAACCGATATTGTGAAAATGGCCACACTGCCCAAAGTAATTTATAGATTCAATGCTATCCCCATCAAGCTACCATTAACTTTCTTCACATAACTAGAAAAAACTACTTTAAATTTCATATGGAAACAAAAAGACCTCATATAGCCAAGACAATCCTAAGCAAAAGGAACAAAGCTGGAGGCGTCACACCACCTGTCTTCAAACTATACTACAAGGGTAAAGTAACCAAAACAATATGGTATTGGTACCAAAACCGATACATAGAACAATGGAATGGAACAGAGGCCTCAGACATGACACCACATATCTATAACCATCTAATCTTCAACAAACCTGACAAAAACAAGAAATGGGGAAAGGATTCCCTATTTAATAAATGGTGTTGTGAAAACTGGCTAGCCATATGCAGAAAACTGAAACTGGACTCCTTCCTTACACCTTACACAAAAATTAATTCAAGATGGATTAAAGACTTAAACGTAAGACCTAAAACCATAAAAACCCTAGAAGAAAACCTAGGCAATACCATTCAGGACGTAGGCATGGGCAAAGACTTCATGACTAAAACACCAAAAACAATAGCAACAAAAGCCAAAATTGACAAATGGTATCTAATTAAACTAAAGAGCTTCTGCACAGCAAAAGAAACTATCATCAGAGTGAACAGGCAACCTATAGAATGGGAGAAAATTTTTGCATTCTATCCATCTGACAAAGGTATGATATCCAGAATCTACAAGGAACTTAAACAAATTTACATGAAAAAAACAAACTACCCCATCAAAAATTGGGCGAAGGATATGAACAGACACTTCTCAAAAGAAGACATTTATGTGGCCAACAAACATATGAAAAAAAGCTCATCATCACTGGTCATTACAGAGATGCAAATCAAAACCACAACAAGACACCATCTCACATCAGTTAGAATGGCGATTATTAAAAAGTCAGGAAATGACAGATGCTGGAGAGGATGTGGAGAAATAGGAACGTTTTTACACTGTTAGTGGGAGTGTAAATTAGTTCAACCATTGTGGAAGACACTGTGGCGATTCCTCAAGGATCTAGAACTAGAAATACCATTTGACCCAGCAATTCCATTACTGGGTATATACTCAAAAGATTATAAATCCTTCTACTATAAAGACACATGCACATGTATGTTTATTGCAGCACTATTCACAATAGCAAAGACTTGGAACCAACCCAAGTGCCCATCAATGATAGAATGGATAAAGAAAATGTGGCACAGGGACACCATGGAATACTATCCAGCCATAAAAAGGGATGAGTTCATGTCCTTTGCAAGGACATGGGTGAAGCTAGAAACCATCATTCTCAGCAAACTAACACAGGAACAGAAAACCAAACACCACATGTTCTCACTCATAAGTGGGAGTTGAACAATGAGAACACATGGACACAGGGAGGGCAACATCACACACTGGGGTCTGTCGGGGTGTGGGGGGCAAGGGGTGAAAGAGCACTAGGACAAATACCTAATGCATGTGAGGCTTAAAATCTAGATGATAGGTTGATGGGTGCAGCAAACCACCATGGCACATGCATACCTATGCAACAAACCTGCACATTCTGCACATGTATTCCAGAACTTAAAGTATAATAAAAAATAAAATAAAATTGATTTATAATTCTTTATATTCTGAATATTATAGTAAATCATCAAATCTAAGTAACCAACCCCTTCTAAACTGCATCATTATTTTATCTCTAAGAAAGAAAAAACCCTGGCAATTATAATTGAAAGATTTCATCTATTCTAAGATGCTTCCCAACTGTAGAGATGTTAAAATGTGAAATAACTGTCTTAGTATTGATGAAGTACTGTGATCCATTGTCAGACATATGTATTGCAAATGGGGGATTTCTGTGAAATATGTTTTCTTGAAATAGTACTTTCTGAAAAATCATGCACCCATAATAAGAGAGATTATGAAGAAAATAGAGTCATGGTTGACTTCTCAAAACCTTTGCAACTTTGTAACTAGAACACTAACAAAATAAATAATGGTCCTAATTTAAAATATTAATACAGTTTAAAAGACATGTTAAATTCCCAATTAAAAATAACAGAGTAAATAAAATACTGGTCTTTTAAGAAAATGAAAGGAATGAAAAGAAAAGGTGGCTTGACAGAAACGGGTATAAGAAAGTGTTAGGCTACTAAATAATGAAGATAGGGCAAATAGTGCAATAAAGATTTTTAAAACAGAACACATGGTCAAACAGAAAAGAGGATAAATTGAAGTGTATAGGTATCATATACACTGCCATATTCTTCCTCAGCTGCAATATTCAGTTGTGTTCTTTTATTTTATTTACTTGTAGCTATTTGATGATAAAAAACATTAGCTTGCTGAGGAAAATGGCATAGAAACTAGTATAACCTGAGTTAAATTCATGTCATTTTCTACATATGTGCCAATCACATGTAAACTTTTTTGTACTGCAGAAATAAATGTAGAGGAACAGAGAGTATCTTGTCACATTCTGATTTTTTCACCTTTTTAAGAAATTGTATTTTGATGACAGAAGCTCTTAATTTTAATGTAGTCAAATGTATAAATCTTTTCCTTTACAGCTAATGGTTTTTGTGTCTAGTTGAAAAAAATCCTTTCCTAAAGCTATGGAGATATTCTATATTCTTTTTAAAAAGCACTACAGGTTTGCCTTTCACACCTAGGACTTTAACACAAAAAACAGATGGTGGGGATGGGGGAGCTGGTGAGAAGTACCAGTCTAATTTCCTTTTTTTCCAAATGACTACTCAAAATAATTTATTAAAAGTCATTAATTTCCCTTCTGATCAGCCACAGCACTTCTTTCATGGAAATGTCTATATAAGCTTGGGTGTTTACTACTAGGCTTTCTATCTACTGACCATTCTGGTATCATTATCAGTGTTATAATTATTCTATTTTCCTAATAAATCTTGATATATAGTATAGCAAGTCCACCTATCTTGCTTTTTGTATTCAAAGCCTGTCCATATACATTCTAGAATCAGATAAACAGGCTAAAAAGGCTGAAATTTTTATGGAATTACATTGAATCTACAAGTCAATTTGAGCAGAACTGGTATCTTTGCCATACTGCCTTTAATTCATGAATAAGAAATTTCTGTCAGCATATTTAGATCTTCTTTAGCATCCCTCAATTTCACACTATAGAGGACTTACGTTTCATTAGAGGTTAATTTCTAGGTATTTTTAAAAAACTTATATGCTATGGTAAGTAATATTTTCATAAACTTTCATTTTCTAAATATTGATGGTATGAAAGAAATAATTTACCTACAATAGAATGCACTAATTCTAATAGTACAATTATGTGAACTTTGGAAACCATTATCCCCCAAAGTTTCCTTGGGCCTCTTTGTAGTCCTCCACTCTGGGCAGTTACTGACCTACTGTCAGTATAGTTTTGCCTTTAATATAATTTAATACAAATGGAATCATACATTAATTTGATTCCAGTAGTTGTCTGGCTTCTTTTACTTAGCATAATGCTTTTGAGATTCACCCATGTTGTTCAAATTCTTTTTACATTTAAGATGTTATCTGCAAAGAGAGATCTTTTAAGTCTTTTCTAAGTTGAATGCCTTTTATTTCTTTTTGCTGTCTTATTACTCTGGCTAGAATTTCCAGTACTATGTTGAATAGTAATGGCAAGACCAGGCATCCTTGCTTTATTGCAGGATCTCACAGGAAAAGCCTTCTGTCTTTTCCTGTTAAGCATAATGTTAGCTTTTATTATGTTGAGGTAGTTTCCTTCTACTCCTAATTTGTTGAGTATTTTTAAAAATCCTGATAGGGTACTGAATTTTGCTTTTCTGTATTGAGATGTTAATGTGGCATAATATATTGACTGAGTCTTATATGTTGAACCATCCTTGCATTCCAGGCATAAATTTTAGCTGGTCAAGATGTATGATTTTTTAATGTGCAATATAATTTGGTTTGCTAGTATTTTCTTTAGAATTTTTGTGTCAAATATCCATCAGGGATATTGGCCTGTAGTTCTCCTTTATTGTGTCTTTGTCTGGTTTTGTTATCAGGGTAATGAGTTTAAATGAGTTTGAGAGTGTCCCTTTCTCTTCCGTTCACTGGAAGAATTTGAGAAGGACTGGTATTAACTGTTTGGTAGAATTCTCCAGGGGACCCACCTGGTCCTGGGCTTTTCTTTGTTGGGAGGTTTTTGATTACTGCTTTAATCTCCACACTCATTATAGGTCTTTTCAGATTTTTTATTTCTTTATGATTCAGTCTTGGTAGGTTTATATCTCTAAAACTTTATCCATTTCTTCTAGATCATCCAATTTGTGGGCATCTAACTTTTCACTACAGCAGTCTTTATAATTCTTTTCATTTCTGTGACATCAGTTATAATATCTCCTTTTTCATTTTTAATTTTAGAAATTTAAGTCTTTTTTTCTTAATCTAAGTAAGGGTTTATCAATTTTAGTGATTTTCTTTTTAAAAAAAAACAACTCCTGGTTTGGTTGATTTTTTTCTTTTTTTTTAATGTTTTCTATTCAGTTTATCTCTGCTCTAGTCTTTATTATTTCCTTCTTTGTGCTGACTTTGGATTTAGTTCATTCTTATTTGTCTAATTCCTTAAGGTATAAGATTAGGTTGGTGACTTGAGATTTTTCTTCTCTTTTAATCTGTTTACTGCTATAAACTTCCCTCTTAGTACTGCTTTTACTATATTCCATAAGTTTTAGTATGTTGTATCTTTTTAAAAAATTTATCTCCAGGTATTTCCTAAATTCTCTCATGATCCACTGGTTGTTTAAGAACACACTGTTTACTTTCCATGTATTTGCAAATTTTCCTGTTTTCTTTCTGCTAATTAATTTTAGTTTCATTCCATTATGGTCAGAGATGATACTTTGCATAATTTAAATCTTAAATTTATTAAGACTTGTTTTGTGGTCTAATGTGGTTTATCATAGAGAATCTTCCATGCATGCTTGATAAGAGTGTATATTCTGCTGTTATTGGATGAAATGTTCTGTATGTCGGTTAGGTCCATTTGGTCTTGTATTGTTCAAGTCCTCTGTTTCCTCATTGATCTTTTGTCTTGTTTTATTCAGTTGGTATTCTACTGTATGAATATACCAAAATTAATTATCCATTCACCAATGATGGAAATTTGGGTTGTTTCCACATTTGGGCTATAATAAATAAAGCTGCTATTAACTTACATGACTTTGGGTAGACATATATTTAAATGTATGTTGAGTTAATACCTAGGAGTGAAATTACTAGGTATTATGGTTAAGTGTATGTTTAATTTGATAAGAAAACATCACATTATTTTCCAAAGTAGATGTCTTTGCATTCCCACCTGCAATATATGAGAGCTGCGGTTGATTTATGTTACTAAGTAGGAATTCCTTCTGGAGTTTCTAGGGTAATTTGCTTTCTCTAAATTTACAACAAATCAGTTGATATGAAAAATGACAAAAAAAGTTCTAATTCTCCTGCACAAACTAAAGTTTAATAATTTGACATAGAGACATCTGGCTTGAAGAAATCAGCTGATATCAAATGAAAGCAAGAGCAGGAAACACTGAAAGGCAGAATCAAAGGTTAAGGTTGATATTTCCAGGAACCAGGACAGAAGCATGTGGGAGAGTAGTAGTCACAATACACTCAAGTCAGTCTTACTTGCAGCTGTTCCCACAAGTGTGTGCTCATGGCCATATCTGCTAGTGGTGGGTCTTTCTTACATAAAACAATACTAATAAGATGATATGTATATTATACTTCATATAAATCCTATAAGTTGAGTTCCAAGAAATAACAAGTTTGGAGGCTAAGTAAGTCCTTAAATTGGCAGTTTCAACACACAACTCTGTGTAATGCTGTTAACCATGCTCAGAAATCTAAATGTTAGGTTATTTGAATACTATCCAATAATATTTTCTGGCATTTTTCACTGATTATTTGTTACAAGCTTCAGTGCTTTGTAAATATTTAACAGAAAAAATGCAAAGAGAGAAAGTGAATGCTGTTGTGGAACATTCCAACATGAAATAAGAAACGGATCTAAAATCTGAAATAAAAGCAATATATTTAATAGATTTCAACGGCAAAATCAAAATCAGGAGAAGCAGACGAAATGCTTTCAGAATTAAAAAAGAAAATGAGATTACATGAAACAACATACTTTGTAATGCCCGATATGAGGATGTTTTTGGATACATTCTTAATAATTTGATGAATGTCAGTGCAAAATGAAATACATTTTTTTCTGGCATATTTATCACCAAACAAAGATCAAGACCATCAGATAAAACAATTGATACTTTGTGCTTTAAAATTTCATTTCAGGGTTGGGCTCGGTGGCTCACACCTGCAATCCCAGCACTTTGGGAGGCTGAGGCGGGCGGATCACCTGAGGTCAGGAGTTTGAGACCAGCCTGGCCAACATGGTGAAACCCCATCTCTACTAAAAATACAAAAATTTGCAGGGCATGGTGGCGCACACCTGTAATCCCAGCTACTCAGGAGGCTGAGGCAGGAGAATCACTTGAACCTGGGAGGTGGAGGTTGCAGTGAGCTGAGATCGTGCCACTGTACTCTAGCCTGGGCAACAGAGCAAGACTCTGTCTCAAAAATAAATAAATAAATCAAAAATAAATAAATAAATAAATAACTACAATTTTAGGTATGAAAAATTCAAATACTAAATACGTATGTGATTATCTTTCAAATTTTAAATGATTTTTATTTGGTATTTATTTTGTGTTAATGCTTCCATTCATTCATTTGTTTTAGAGGTGCAGTCTTGCTATGTTGCCCAGGCTGATCTTGAACTCCTGGCTTCAAGAGTTCCTTCCGCCTCAGCCTCCCAAAGTGCTGGGACTACAGGTGTGAGCCAACATGCCCAACCAATGTCTCCTTAAGTTTTTCTATTATCAGACATCTGTATCAAGTAGAGATCATTGAAAAATAGTAACAAAATCTTATTTTATTAGTTCATAATAATAACAACAATAGTAAACCATTTGATTTTATCTTGCCAGTTTCTCTCTGTAAGCACTTGCCACACAGGAGAATCTATCCTAAACTACAGTGTTCGTAGCCATAACTACTGCCATAACAGTCAAGTGCAGCAGTCATTTGGGCTCTCAAGGTACTGGGTTCATTTGTCATTTCTTCACAATCAACCATAAGTGATACTGTAATTAAATTGTGATGCCATGGCTTCTCATGAATTATCAGCATCCCACCTCTCATTGGAAGAAACTTGGCACTCCACGTAAGATCAGCCAAGACAACCAAAACCAATTCTGAAATCCCTTCTTAGAGGTTCTGTCTCCTGGGAGCGCTACTAGTACTAATTCTGTATCAAGATCCAGAGAAGAGAGAGAAACCACATGGCAATCTGAACAGAGACAGTTTAATATACAGAATTGTTAACTGTTTACAGGGAATTAACTAAGTAGGAATAAACGAGGACTCTAAAGAATATCACCCTAAAGCTGAGGGAGAATATTTAAATAAGGAACAAACTTGGAAGGGAGGGACTCTCCCAAGGTCTGGGATTTAGACCTCATTGAAGAGGGTATGGTAACAGCCCACTGGATGGTGGGGAATTTTCCTGGGTTGCCTGAGGACAGAGCTAGTTCACAGTTAGTGGGTCAGGGATTTAACAGGCAGGAAACTGCATGGGGTATCAGTGAAATTCGCCAGCAAGCTACCTATGGTGGTGAGTGAGGTTTGTGAATAGAAAACCAGCTAAGACATTGGCTGGACTTGCGAGAAACCCATAGGAAAACTGGTTCTCAGAGGATGTTGCTGAAAACTGGGGGACCAAATGGGATGTCACAGAACTCACCAGGAAACTATAAGTCAGCTGGTGCACTGCTGGTACTCATGAAATCACCTATCAGGGTGTTGCTGAACTTGCTGTAAGGAAGTCTCCTGCAGGTGTGCCACTGAACTTGTCACAGGGAAGCTGACTGCTAGGGTACTGCTGAAACTTGCTGGGTGTCTTTTTGGATAGCAGGAGCAAAAAGAAAAAGACACACTGGAACCAGGAAAAGAACTCTCTTCTTTCTCCAGTATCCTTTCTGTGCTCGCTATTGAAAGCTTAACACTGTGCCAATGGACAGGAGACAAATGTTACAGTATCACAAGCAGGCAAAAAAGTAGATTTATAGCCAAGAGGCAATGGGTAATAAATGGCAGACTAGTTTTCTGACAGATTCTGTCATAAATGGGAGTTGAATTTTGCCAAATAACTTTTCTGCATCTATTGAAAAAATTAATTGGTTTTTGTTTTCTAATATTACTATATTAATTTTCAAATGTTATACCAACTTGGCATTCCTGAAACAAACTCCACTTGATCATAATGTATTATCCTTTTACATATTGCTATATATATTGACTTGCTAAAATACTGTTAAGAATTTTTGAGTCTACATTCAAGAAAAATTTTAGCCTAACATTTTCTTTTAATATTTTTATCTGATTTTAGAATCAGAATCATGTTCACAACACAGAATGAGTTGGGAAATGTTCCCTCCACTATTTTCTAGAAGAGTTTGTGTAGAATTGGTATTATTTCTTTCTTAAATATTCAGAACAATTTACCAGTATCACCTGGGCCTAAAGTTTTCTGTTTTCCAACTTTTAAGTTCAGGGGTACATGCACAGGTTGTGCAGGTTTGTTACATAAACGTGTGCCATGGTATTAGCTGCACAGATCATCCTATCACCTACATATTAAGCCCAGCATTCATTAGCTATTCTTACTGATGCTGTCCTTCCTCCCACCCGCAACCCTCCAACAGGCCCCAGTGTGTGTTGTTCCCCACCATGTGTCCATGTGTTCTCATCATTCAGCTCTCAATTATAAGTGAGAACATCTGATTTTCTGTTCCAAATGAATTTTAAAATAGTTTTTTTCTAATTCTGTGAAGAATGTCAATGTTAGTTTAATGGGAATAGCACTGAATCTATAAATTACTTTGGGCAGTATGGCCATTTTGATGATACTGATTCTTCCTATTCATAAGTATGGAATGTTTTTCCATTTGTTTGTGTCATCATCTCTGATTTCTTTTTTTTTGAGATGGAGTCTCGCGGTCTCCCAGGCTAGAGTGCAGTGGCACGATCTCAGCTCATTGCAAGCTCCACCTCCCAGGTTCATGCCATTCTCCTGCCTCAGCCTCCTCAGTAGCTGGGACTATTGGCGCCCGCCACCATGCCTGGCTAATTTTTTTGTTTTGGTAGAGACGGGGTTTCACCGTGTTAGCCAGGATGGTCTCGATCTCCTGACCTCGTGATCTGCCCGCCTTGGCCTCCCAAAGTGCTGGGATTACAGGCGTGAGCCACCATGCTCAGCCATCATCATCTCTGATTTCTTTGAGCAGTCGTTTGTAGTTCTCCTTGAAGAGGTCATTCACTTCCCTTGTTAGCTGTATTTCTAGGTATTTTATTCTTTTTTATGGCAATTGTGAATGGGAGTTCATTCTGGATTTTGGCTCTCAGCTTGCCTGTTGTTGATATATAGGAATGCTAGCAATTTTTGCACATTGATTTTGTACCCTGAGATTTTGCTGAAGTTGCCTATCAGTTTAAGAAGCTTTTGGGCAGAAACGGTGGAATTTTCTAGATATAGGAGATCATGTCATCGGCAAACAGGGATAGTTTGACTTCCTCTTCCTATATGAATATGCTTTCTTTCTTTCTTTTTCTTGATCGCCCTGGTCAGAACTTCCAAAACTATATTGAATAGGAGTGGTGAAAGAGGGCATCCTTGTCTTGTGCTGGTTTTCAAGGGGAATGGTTCCAGCTTTTGCCCATTCGGTATGATATTGGCTGTGGGTCTGTCATAAATGGCTCTTATTATTTTGAGATATGTTTCTTCAATATCTAGTTTATTGAGAATTTTTAACCTGAAGGGTTGTTAAATTTTATCAAAGGCCTTTTCTGCATCTATTGAGATAATCGTGGTTTTTGTCTTTAGTTCTATTTATGTGGTGAATTACGTTTATTGATTTGTGTATGTTGAACCAGCCTTGCATCCTCGGGATAAAGCTGACTTGATTGTGGTGGATAAGTTTTTTGATGTGCTGTTGGATTCGGTTTGCCAGTATTTTACTGAGGGTTTTTGCATTGATGTTCATTAGGGATACTGGCCTGAAGTTTTCTTTTTTTGTTGTATCTCTGCCAGGTTTTGGTATCAGGATGATGCTGGCCTCATAAAATGGTTAGGGAGGAGTCCCTCCTTTTCAATTGTTTGGAATAGCTTCAGAAGAAATGGTGCCAGCTCCTCTTTGTACCTCTGGTAGAATTCAGCTATAAATCCATCTGGTCCTGGGCTTTTTTTGGTTGGTAGGCTATTTATTACTGCCTCAATTTCAGAACTGGCTATTGGTCTCTTCAGGGAATCAATTTCTTCCTGGTTCAGCCTTGACAGGGTGTATATGTCCAGGAATTTATCCATTTTCTTCTAGATTTTCTAGTTTATTTGCAAAGAGGTGTTTATAGTATTTTCTGATGGTTGTTTGTATTTCTGTGGGGTCAGTGGTGGTATTCCCCCTTATCATTTCTGATTGTGTTTATTTGAATCTTCTCTCTTTTCTTGTTTATTAATCTAGCTTGAAGTCTATTTTATTATTTTTTTCAAAAACCCAGCTCCTAGATTTGTTGATTTTTTGAAGGGTTTTTCATGTCTCTGTCTGCTTCAGTCCAGCTCTGATCTTGGTTATTTCTTGTCTTCTTCTAGCTTTGGGGTTTGTTTGCTCTTGGTTCTCTAGTTCTTTTAGTTGTGATGTTAGGTTGTTAACTTGAGATCTTTCTAGCCTTTTGATGTGGACATTTAGTACTATAAATTTCCCTCTTAACACTGCTTTAGCTGTATCTCAGAGATTCTGATGTGTTGTCTTTTTGTTCTCACTGGTTTCAAAGAACTTCTTGATTTCTGTCTTAATTTCATTATTTACCCAAGAATCATGCAAGAGCAGGTTGTTCAATTTCCATGTAGTTGTATGGTTTTAAGTGAACTTCTTTCTTTCTTTCCTTTTTTCTTTTTTTGTTTTATTGTTTTTTTGGTTTTTTTTGTTTGTTTTTGTTTTTTTGTTTGTTTTTTAAGATGGAGTCTCGCTCTGTGACTCAGGCAGGAGTGCAGTGGCACAATCTCAGCTCACTGCAACCTCTGCCTCCCAGGTTCAAGCGATTCTCCTGCCTCAGCCCCGAGTAGCTAGGACTACAGGAGTGTGCCACCATACTCAACTAATTTTTGAGTGAATTTCTTAATCTTGATTTCTAATTTGATTGCACTGTGGTCTGAGAGATTGTTATGATTTCAGTTCTTTTGCATTTGCTGAGGAGTGTTTTACTTCTGATTATGTGATCAGTTTTAGACTAAGTGCCATGCAGTGATGAGAAGAATGTATATTCTGTTGTTTTGGGGTGGAGAGTTCTGTAGATAACTATCGGGTCCTCTTGATCCAGAGCTGAATTCAGGTCCTGAATATCTTTGTTAATTTTCCGTCTCAATGATCTGCCTACTATTGTCAGTGGGTGTTAAAGTCTCCTACGATTATTGTGTGGGAGTCTAAGTCTCTTTGAAGGTCCCTAAGAACTTGCTTTATGGCCAGGCACAGTGGCTCATGCCTGTAATCACAGGACTTTGGCAGGCCAAGATGAGTAGACCACTTGAGGTCAGGAATTCGAGACCAGCCCAGCCAACATGGTGAAACTCTGTCTCTACCAAAAAAATACAAAAAATTAGCCAAGTGTGGTGGTGGGCACCTATAGTCCCAGCTATTCAGGAGGCTGAAGCAGGAGAATTGCTTGAATCCAGGAGGCGGAGGCTGCAGTGAGCCAAGATCGCACCACTGCACTTCAGCCTGGGCGACAGAGTGAGACTCCCTCTCAAAAAAAAACAAAAAAAAGGAACTTTATGAATCTGGGTGCTCCTGTATCGGGAGCATATATATTTAGGGTAGTTGGCTCTTATTGTTGAATTGAACCCTTTACCATTATGTAATGCCCTTCTTTGACTTTTCTGATCTTTGTTAGTTTAAAGTCTATTTTAAAGTCTGTTGGTTGAAGTCTATTTTGTCTGAAACTAGAATTGCTTTTTTCCATTGGCTTGATAAATTTTCCTCCATCCCTTTATTTTGAGCCTATGTGTGTCTTTGCATGTGAGATGGGTCTCTTGAAGACAGTATATTGATGGATCTTGACTCTTTATACAGCTTGCTATTCTGTGTCTTTTAATTGGGGCATTTAGCCCATTTATATTTAAGGATAGCATGGTTATGTGTGGATTTGATCCTGTCATCATGATGCTAGCTGGTTATTTTGCAGACTTGTTTATGGTGGCTGCTTCATAACGTCACTGGTCTGTGCACCACAGTGTATTTTTGTAGTGGTTGGTAATGATGCTTTTTCCTTTTCATATTTAGTGTTTCCTTAAGGTGCTTTTGCAAGGCAGGTCTAGCAGTAATGAATTCCCTTAGCATTTGCTTGTCTGTAAAGGATATTAATTCTCCTTTGCTTATGAAGCTTGGTTTGGCCAGATATGAAATTCTGGGTTGGTAATGTTGACTACTGGCCCCAATCTCTTCTGGCTTGCAGGGTTTCTGCTGAGAGGTCCACTGTTTTTATCTGGTGGCTTCCCTTTGTATGTGACCTGGCCTTTCTCTCTGGCTGTGCTTAACATTTTTTCTTTCATTTCAACCTTAGAGAATCTGATTATGAATTGTCTTGGGGATGATTTTCTCATGGAGTATCTTACTGGGGTTCTCTGCATTTCCTGAATTTGAATGTTGGCTTGGCCTGTCTTGCTAGGTTGGGGAAGTTCTCTTTGATGATATCCTGAAGTATGTTTTCCAACTTGGTTCCATTCTCCCCATCATTTTCAGGTACCCCAGTCAGTCGTAGATTTGGTCTCTTTATATAATCCCTGATTTCTCGGAGGTTTTGTTCATTCATTTTCATTCTTTTTTCTTTATTCTTGTCTGCCTGTCTTAATTCAGAAAGCCAGTCTTCCAGCTCTTAGGTTCTTTTCCCCGCTTGGTTTATTCTGCTATGAATACTTGTGATTGCATTGAGAAGTTCTTGTAGTGTGTTTTCAGCTATAACAGGGGGTTATGTTCCTCTCTAAAATGGCTTTGGCTGTCAGCTCCTGTACTGTTCTATGATAATTCTTAGCTTCTTTGCATTGGGTTACAATGTGCTCCTTTAGCTCAGTGAAGTTCATTATTAACCATCTTCTAAAGCCTACTTCTCTCATTTCAGCCATCTCAGCCTTAGCCTGGTTCTGAGACCTTGCTGGAGAAGTGTTGTGGTCATTTGGAGGAGAGGGGGTACCCTAGCTTTTTGAGTTTTCAGCTTTTTTTGCATTGATTCTTTCTCATCATTGTGGGCTTATGTACCTTTGATCTTTGAGGTTGCTGATCTTTGGATGGGGTTTTTGTGGTTTTTCTTCGTTGCTGTTTTCTGTTTATTTGTTTGTTTTTCTTTTAACAGTCTGGCCACTCTTCTGCAGGGCTGCTGGAGCGTGCTGGGGGTCTGCTCCAGACCCTAGTTGCCTTGGTTCTTCCTGTACCTGGAGGTATTGCCAGTGAAGTCTGCAAAACAGCAAGGATGGCAGCTTGCTGCTTCCTCTGGAAGCTCTGTCCCAGGTGGGTACTGAACTACTGCCAGCCCGAACGTACCTGTAGGAGGTGGCTGGATACTCCAGTAAGGAGGTCTCACCCAGTCAGGACGAATGGCATCAGTGTGGCTGCTTTTTGGTAAAGGAGTTGTGTTGTGTTGTGTTGGGGATCCCTTCAGCTCCCTATTGGTCTGGGCTCTCCAAGGCCTACAGGTTGGACCCGTTGACGAGCCCAAACGGCCAAGGTGGCAGCTTGCCCACCCCTCAGGCACTCTGTCCCAGGGAGAAATTGGAGCTCTGTCAGTTCCATAGAACATGGGTGGTGGCTGGAGGCCCTGGCTGTGAAGAGCCAGCTGGGAGGATCAGCTGAGATGAGGAGCGGATCAGAGTCCCGCTTAAAGAAACAGTCTGGCCACACCTCAACAAAACAGCTGTGTCCTGGTGGAGAACCACTTCTGCCCATCAGCTTGGACTCTCCAAAGCCTGCAGGCTGGAACAGTTGAGTCATCCATCCAACCCAGGTGGCAGCCCTCCCCTCCCTGGGGCACTCCATCCCAGGGAGAGATCAGAGCTCTGTCCATAGTATGTGCCAGTGGGCATGGCTGAAGGGCCCAACTGGGAGTCCCTGCCCAGTGAGAAGGAAGTGATCCAGGCTGCTTAAAGCAGCAGTCTGGTCATGATCTGGCAAAGCCACTATGTTGTGCTGCTGGGGGGACGCTCCCTTGTCTGAAACTTTTGGACTCTCCAAAGCCCGCAGGCTGGAATGGCTGAGTCGACCAAACAGCAGAGATGGTGCCTACCCCTCTCTGCTAAAGTTTTCTTTATAGGAAAGTTAAAAACTAAAATTCAATTTCTTTAATAGATAGAGGATTTTTCAGCTCACCTATTTCTTCATGAGTGAGCACTGGTAGTTTTTGTCTTCTAAAGAATTTGTCCATTTCATCTAAGTTGTTGAGTTTATTGGCATAAAGTTATTCAGAATATTCCTTATTAGGCCGGGTGTGGGGCCTCACGTCTGTAATTCCAACACTTTGGGAGGCCAAGGCCAGAGGATCGCTTGAGCTCAAGAGTTTGAGACCAGCCTAGGCAACATAGCAAGATGTCGTCTCTAATAAGAATTAAAAAAAAATTAGCTGGGCATGGTGGCACACATCTGTAGTTCCAGTAACTGAGGAAGTTGAGGCAAGAGGATAACTTGAGCCCAGGAGATGGAAGAAATGGAAGTTGAGCTCTAATCACATCATTGAATTCCAGGACCTGGGTGACAGAGTGAGACTCTGTCTCAAAAAAAAAAAAAAAAAAAAAATCTTTATCATACACTTACACACTTAACATCTATAGGATTTTCAGTGATGTCACCTCTCTCATTCCTGATATTGTTTTCTTTTGTAGTGACAGAGTCTCACTATTTGCCCAGGCTTGTCTCAAACTCCTGGACTCAAGCAATCCTCCTGCTTCAGCCTCCCAAAGCACTGGGATTACAGGCATGAGCCACTGCACCCGGCCTCCGGATAGCACTAATTTGTGCTTAATTTCTTCCTAAGCAGTCTAGCTAGAGGTTTATCACTTTTATTGATCTCAAAGAATGAGCTTTGTATTTCATTGGTTTTTTTCTATTTTCTATTGCACTGGTTTCTACTTTTTATTATTTTCTTCCTTCTACTTAAAATAAGTATTTTCCTCCTTCTTTTTAAGATTCTCAAGGTAGAATTTTAGATCACTAATTTGAAATCTTCATTATTTTCTAATATAAGTATTTAATACTGTAAGTTTCCATTTAAATACTACTCTAGCTACAACCTACAAATTTTCATATATTGTGTTTGATACATTTCAATTTGTTGGTTGATATGTGTAATATTTTGTAATCTCCTTTGTGATTTATTCAACTCACAGTTTATTTAGAAGTGTGCTATTAATTATTAATTTCTGAATATCTTTCTGTTAGTAATTTCTTTCTTTCTCTATTTTTTTTAAGAGACAGGGTCTCATTCCTGACATGATTATAGCTCACTATAGCCTCAAACTCCTGGGCTCAAGGGATCCTCCTGCCTCAGCCTCTCGAGTAGCTAGGACTACAGGTATGTGCCACTTTGCCTGCCTCATTAAAAAAATTTTTTTTTGTAGAGACGGGGTCCTGGTATGTTGCCCAGGCTGGTCTCAAACTCCTGGCCTCAAGCAATCCTCCCACCATCGTTAATAATTTCTAATTTAATTTCATGATGGCTAGATAACATGTTTCATATGATTTAAGTCTAAATCCTCTTAAATCTATCAGTTCTTGTTTTGTGGTGCAGAATATGGTCTATATTTGTAAATGTATCATCTGCACTAGGAAAGCATGTGTATTCTGCTGCTGTTGGGTGGCATCTTCTAATAAATAGTAACTCGGCCAAGCTGGTTGAAAATACTGTTCATGTTTTCTATTACCTTACTGATGTTTTACTTAATTTTAAAATTAATTACTAAAAGGGGATGTTGAAATCTTGAACTGTAATTATAAAGTTGTCTATTTTCCTTTCAGTTCTATTGCTCTGATATCATTTCTCTTCCACCTGAAGAATTTCCTTTAACATTTCGTTTGTTGTTTGTGCATTTTGTCCAATCTTTAATATTTCTTACAGTGTATATCTGCTGCTGAAAACTTCTTTCACTTTTTGTCTGAAAATTCTTTATTTCTCTTTCATTTTTGAAGGATATTTTTGTTGTACATAGAAATCCAGGTTGGCGTTTTTTTTTTTCCTTGCAGCATGTTAAAGATGTTATTTGATGGACTCTGGCTTATACTGTTTCTGTGGATACTGCAGTCATTCTTTGTTCCCTTGCATGTAATTTATCTTTTTTTTCTGTATTTTGCATTTTCTTTTTCAAAAATTTTTATTTTATTTCACTTTATTTAGAGATGGGGTCTCACCATGTTGCCTAGGCTGGATTTGAACTTCTGGGCTCAAGTGATCCTCCCACCTCAGCTTCCTGCTGTGTTGAGATTACAGGCACATGCCAGCATGCCCAGCATCATTTTCTTTTTATCAATGGTTTTTTATAATCTAATTATGATGTCCTTTGATATGGTTTTCTTCACATTTCTTCTGCTTGGGATCTATTGAGCTTCTTAGATCTGTGCACTTATTATTTTCA
The DNA here is from genome assembly GCF_000001405.40 of Homo sapiens. NCBI lineage: Eukaryota > Metazoa > Chordata > Mammalia > Primates > Hominidae > Homo > Homo sapiens. Next base: position 113,554,720 of record NC_000001.11, on the reverse strand, counting down.
TCAAATTTGGAAACATTTCAGTCACTATTTCTTTTTTTTCTCCTTCCTCCACTTTGGCTTGATAGTTTGTCATGGGTAAATATAAATGCATCATAGTCCTGTTCTGCCTGTATTTCAATGTCTGAAAACAGCTGTTACATATTCCTCGTCCAATTTCCAGTTCTTTATTACAAAAGGGTAAATCTAGTACTAGTTATGGTACTGGTACTTCATTGCAGAAGTAGAAATCTCTCCCCTCCCCATTGTCATCTGGTTGCTCAAAAAAAAAAAAGTTCACTTTTTCAGTCATTTTCTTCTCTATGCTTCAGTTTCATTAGTTTATATTGCTACGTGTTCAGGTTCACTGATCTTTTCTTCTCCAGTTTTGAATCTCCTGTTGAGTCCATTCAGTGAATTTTTAAGGTTCCACTTCATTCATACACACACACACACACACATATGAATATTTATATATAATTTTTCTCTTCATTATGTTGATACTGTTCTTTAAATCCTTGAGCATATTTCTAATAACTAAAACTCCTGGTATAGTAATGCCATCATGTGTCATTTCTGTTTCTTTTTTCTATCAGCTGACTTTTCTTTTGATTATGGGTCACATTTTCCTGCTTTTTGCAGGTCTAGTAATTTTTTATTAGATGCTGGACACTCTGAATATTTTGTTACACAATGTTTCCATTTTGTTGTCTTTCTATTTTTTTGTTTGTTTGTTTGAGACGTAGTCTCGCTCTGTCACCAGGCTGGAGTGCAGTGGCACGATCTCGGCTCACTGCAACCTCCACTTCCCAGGTTCAAGCAATTCTCCTGCCTCAGCCTCCCAAGTAGCTGGGACTACAGGCACCCGCCACCACGCCCAGCTAATTTTTGTATTTTTAGTAGAGATGGGGTTTCACCATGTAGGCCAGGATAGTCTCAATCTCTTAACCTCATGATCCGCCTGCCTCAGCCTCCCAAAGTGCTGGGATTACAGGCGTGAGCCACTGAGCCCAGACACTATCTTTCTTTAAAGAGTGTTGATTTACTTCTTTCCTTCTTTCTTCCTTTTTTGCTAGCAGTTAAGTTGCATGCATATTCACTTGATCCTTTGGGGTCTTGCTTAATTAAGCTTTGTTAAAGCAGGCCTAGAGGAGCTTTATCTGACTATTTTAGCCCTGCTAGTAAGGGAGGACCCTTATGGGATTCTTCCACCAAGCTGATTAGAACTCAAATGTCTCCTGGCCCCTGGGTAAGCTCTGGGAATTGTTAAACTTAAAACTCCGAGAGATTTTTTGGTTTAACCTTGAAGAGTCTGGTCCTACATATTCTCAGCTTAGTATTCAGCCACAGAGTCAAGGGGGTGCCTTTACAGATTGCTTGAGCTCTTTTTCTTCATAGCCCTCTCCTCTGTGACATTCTGTCCTGCAAATTCCAGATACCTCAGGCTTCTTGAACTCAGATTTCTGTCCCTTCAACTCAGAGTCCATTGTACTCTGCCTGGACTCTCCCTCCTTGTGCTGTGGTCCAGAAAGTGCCTCTAAGTAGAAAGTTGAGGAAATTATAGGATTCCTCTGTGTGTGGTCTCCTTTCTTCTTCTCTCAAGGATCATAGTCCTGTTCCACCTACAGCTCAATATCTGACAATAATAGAAGTGCCCTCTTTTTTCAACGTTGTTGCTCAAATTGTTTCAGATTTTTGGAGTAAGTATCAAGCACCCCTTCTAGGTGGCTTCTATGTCCTTCTGATATGTCTCTATAATGTTTTAAGCACTATATACTTTCTGATACACTTATATGCTCCAAAGCTCATCTTGTACTTTCCTTGTACCAGACCTAGAATCAGAACTATCTCCAAGGAGACCTCAAACTTTTTAGGAAAGTATGATATTTAGAGATCACATGTGACCCTTCAGTATGCTACCTGCTACTGATGTGTCATTGCGTCTAGGTTCCTAGAGGGAGCTTTGGACACTTCAATTTTTGTGTAAGTTAAGAGGGCCTGTTGAGATCTAAAAGGGCTACAGCTGCTTGGACCCTGTGAAATGAAACAAAATAAATTTTAGCTCCCTTCTAGGATAAAAACCTCACACTGAGGAAACTGCAAAACTGGAACAATAAAATTAAAAGAAAAACTTAAGTGAAAGTGGCAGAGGGCAGTATAAAAAAAAGACCTATCTTAGAAAGTACAAGTACATATTTTTATTATCTTGTTTTAACAAGGGAAGAGGAAGCTCTAGAGCTATGAAACTAAAAATGAGACATCCCATGCAGGCAAAATATCAAGTTACTTACAAAGGAATGAAAATTAGATTGCTACCAAACTCTTTAAGAGCAATGCTTTATGCCAAAAACAGTTAGATAGTTGACTAATATATTTAAGATAGTCAAGGAAAGAAAATGAGTCAAAAATTTTATATCCATCCAAACAAACATCAAAGTATAAAGGCCACAAACAAACTCCTAAGATGATCCTGTGAGCCTTTGCTGGGAAAACGAGTAAAGAAAAAGCTTTAGACAACTACAATTAGTGAAAAATAACAACATAAGGATTGGTGGTTATATTAAATATGTATTTACCCACAGAATAAAAGATAAATGATAATTATAAAGGAGGAAAGTACAGTAATGTAATGGCTATTTGCTTAGCCAATGTAGAACAACAGCCCAACTATCAAAAAAAGTAGGGTAAGAATGAGAAAAGCACAGCAAAGTGTGGGATACATTTACTGATTACCTTATATTTCGTAGGAATAAAAAGATATTACTTCAAGTCAGATGATGGGAGAGAAGGAAGGAAAAAGAAGAGATGACTAAGTAATTTTAATATTACTCATAGTAGAGACAGAAGCAAAAAAATAGGGAGGGAGGAACAAAGATTATTATATAAAGGTATCAAGGTAACCATTAAAAAAAAGATCCCTACAAACCTTCCTAAAAAGAGATCAAATAAAATGACTACACAGTGAAAAGCTTTTCATACAAAAGGCTTATATATGGTAAATATAAAAACCATGACAGAACTGAGGCTAAAGATATTGATCACATCAATAAAAATTTAAGAAGTTTCACACTGGCTACTGAGTAAAGTCTAGAACTATTTGTAAAACAGAGATTCAGAGACTTTAAGAATAACAAGATGGACAAAGACACATCAGGCAAATACAAATTGAAATAAAGGCAGAAGTTACAATCTGCAGCTACAAGGTAGATTTGTAGGAGGAAATCATAGATAAGGAGGCAGATTAAAAAAACAAAAAATATTTTATGCGATGCTAAGGAGTCTGAACTTTGTCAGTAGAAATCTTTGAAGGATAAACTATAGATTTTGGACAAGAATCAGATGTCCACTTTATTTTTAAATTTTTTTCCCTTTCCTATAGTGCTGAGAAATGTGCACTTTAAAAACTGATTGAATCGAGGTGAAATGAGAGGGAGGAGATCCAGTTAGAATGGGGGAAGGGGACAAACACTGCTTGAGTGCCTCTCTAGGCCAAGCAGTTTACATATATGCTCTCATTTTAAATCCTAGTAACAGCTATATGAGGTAAGTCTTGTTATTCTAATTCTATATAGAGAGTTTCTGAGGATCAGGAACATTAAGTAACTTGCCCAAGTAAAGTAGCCAGTAAGATGCTAGAGTAAAGATTTTGAACTCAATTTTACTTAGCTCTTTGCCACTACATAGTCAAGGGAGGAAGGGAAGAAGCCACGGAGGGAGGGAAAAAAGAAATTATTCCAAGTAAGAGAGAGTCCCTTTCCTTTTTCTTCTTCTTCTTTTTTTTTTTTCTTGTTGGGGAAGGGAAAGATTTTAAAATTATTTTAAAATAAAGTTCTAATAAAATACTTGTTCTTGGTATGCAAGGCACTGGGAGCTAAAAAGTCTTCTTACTGCATAAGGCTTTACAAATTGATTTACAGGAATAAAATCTAGTTAACAACATGTAAAAATATATATATATTTTTTTTCGTTTTTTTCTTTTTTTTTTTTGAGTTGAGGGTCTTGCTCTTGTTGCCCAGGCTGGAGTGCAACGGCATGATCTCGGCTCACTGCAATCTCCGCCTCCTAGGTTCAAGCGATTCTCCTGCCTCAGCCTCCCAAGTAGCTGAGATTACAGGCGCCTGCCACCATGCTCGGCTAATTTTTGTATTTCTAGTAGAGATGGGGTTTCACCATGTTGGCCAGGCTAGTCTCAAACTCCTGACCTCAGGTGATCTGCCCACCTCAGCCTCCCAAAGTGCTGGGATTATATAATCTTAAATTCTAGTCATCACTTTTTAAAACTCACAATATAGAATCTTCCAGTTTTTCTACTTTCTACTTTTTTTTTTTGAGACGGAATCTCGCTCTTTCACCCAGGCCGGACTGCAGTGGCGCTATCTCGGCTCACTGCAAGCTCCGCCTCCCGGGTTCACGCTATTCTCCTGCCTCAGCCTCCTGAGTAGCTGGGATTACAGGCGCCTGCGACGCACCCGGCTAATTTTTTTTTTTTTGTATTTTTAGTAGAGACGGGGTTTCACCGTGTTAGCTAAGATGGTCTCGATCTCCTGACCTAGTGATCCGTCCGCCTCGGCCTCCCAAAGTGCTGGGATTACAGGTGTGAGCCACCGCGCCCGGCCTTTTTTTTTTTTTTAGACAGAGTATCGCTCTGTCACCCAGGCTGGAGTGCAGTGGCATGATCTCGGCTCACTGCAACCTCCTCTTCCTGGGTTCAAGCGATTCTCCTGCCTCAGTCTCCCAAGTAGCTGGGATTATAGGCGCCCGCCACCACACTCGGCTAATTTTTTTATTTTTAGTAGAGATGAGGTTTCACAATGTTGGCCAGGCTGGTCTTGAACTCCTGACCTCAAGTCCACCCACCTCGGCCTCCCAAAGTGCTGGGATTATAGGTGTGAGCCACTGCACCCGGCCCAGTTTTTCCATTTTTCTACTTTTAAAAACAAAACCTCTCAAGTTCTTTGAAAATTTTTCTTCTTATCCAATTTTTGTTTCATTCTTGTTCCCAACTTAGTCTTCACAATTTCATGTGAAATACTCCATCAAACTATCTGTAGATGTTTAATTAGTTAAGAAAGGACATTTCTGCTTCAGTTCTTTTATTCCATCACATACTTACATGGAATGGTTCTCAAGTAGAGATTATCTCTGATCACTTGCTGCAGTTTGTGGTCAATTGATCCTTTTTGAAACTGAAGACTTAGGTAATGCCGCAAATCTTTATTAATGACTTTGCCTGGAGCAAAGACAAAAAAAAAAAACAGAAAATAAATGCATAATTTTTAGACGTTCACTTAAATATAGAAGCTAGTAACTGAATACTCTTAAACCAGTTAGCTATAAACAGGATAAAGAAATCAGAGAATTTTACTAAAAAGAAAAGAACACCAAATTATTTATAGGTACTATAATTAAAATATGTACCTGCAATATAATGTGGGAATAATTTTACATGGTAAGGGAGGGAGAAGGTACAGGTCAGAGAAGGTGACAAAAATATTCAGAGTAATTTCATTTAGTCCCATGGCTTTAAATACTATCTATATAATGATAACTTCCACATTCATATCATGTATCCATCCTTGATCTACCTCTGCCAAGCTCTAAACTCATCAAACTGATGCATATATATTGCAGATATATTTGGAAGTCAAATAAGCACCTCAAGTTTCAGATAGCCAAAACAGAACTTTTAATTCCATCTGCCCCCAATGTTTCCTCCCCAACATTTTCCCTATTGTAGAAGGCACCATCAACTTGCAAAACAATCTCGAAATCTAGAAGTCATCCTTGATTTCTCCTTTTCACTTCTACCCATCCAGATCCAACACATTAGCAACTTTTGTCGGTTCTACTTCCAAGACATATTTGACTTTTCTTCATTTCATTTGCCACCACCCTAATCTAAGCCACCACTGATTCCTCATCTGGAATTCTGTCCCAGCCTTCTAATCGGCATCATTCTTGTCTCCTTCCTGCTGCCCACCACTTAGAAGCCAGAGTGAGATTTAAAACATAAATCTGATAATTACTACTCTGTTTAGGGTCCCCTCAGATATCTTATACTTGCAACAAAATCTAAAATCCCGAACAGGGACTAGAAGGCCCTACATGTTCTGGCTCCAGCCATCCCTGATCCTAATTTGGTCACTCTTCCCACTGTCAAACACTGCTCCACCTATTCTTGGCCATCTTTCTGATCTTCGAAAAGGCCAAACTGGCCCTACCTTAGGGTCCTCTTCCTATCACTAGATTGAACAGGCATTTTCTGTCCACTTGCTTGACTCCTAGATACAATGTGAATAATTAAGAAAGTCAAAAATTTTCTATTATTTGTGGGGAAAATGGGAAATAAATAGAGAGATATAAGGGCTCTCAAAGAAATATTAAGCAGAAAAAACAGGATTGCAGAAATCTGATAGCAATGAATTTATAGTAAGGGTTGAACTTAAAATGAAACTCCAAACAGTCCAAACCATTGTTCATTAGACAAGGCTTCAGATAATTAGAAAAAATCAATGCTAAGGCAAAATAGATTATTTTATTGAATAAGAACAGTTGATTAAAGTATACTCTTTTATTTAGAGCAACGCACTTATGACAAGCTTAGATAAACCAAATACTATTGATCAGCTAATTTTTTTAACTATTATTCCACAATATTACATTTCTAACTCCCTCTTTTGCTCTTCTCATATGTATAAATGAACATAACCTATGCAAGACGGTGTTAACATAAGCAGGAAATCAGTGTATGTCAAAAGTTCAGCAAACATATTCAGATCCTAAACTAATAAACACAAACCCTAAAAAGTCCTTCTTTTGTCTTGCTAAAAATAGATGCTGAGCAAGGGGGAGCCTTTGTGATTTTAATAAACCTGAAAGATATTTACCAGGATGAACACAGAAGAATCTCTGGTCCCAGAGGTTGTTTCTATTAAGCATTTAGGGATCCCACTAACCCAAGCCTTATTTAGATAAAAATAATATTATTTCATTTTTTAAATGTATAATACAGAATCATACAGTATACTATTCATCACCGGATAGAATAAAATGCTAATTTATAATCAATACTGTATAGTCTCATTACTTATTGAACAAAAATATACCAAATAATGAATTCATTAAGTATTTTTAAAATCAGGTAAGAGATGTCTCAAATGTTTTGTAAATGTTATACAAAAGTTTTCGTAGATCGCTATATAGTTGTCTAAAGGTGTTTTGTGATATTTGGGGAAGTTTGGTTAGGGTTTTTGAATGGACAGAGAATGCATCATTGTTTTTTCCCCCACTTAAAAACAACATAATGTAGGCTCCGACATCTAAATATCTGCTATACAACATATTTTCAGAAAAAGACTTAATTTGGATAAAAGATAATACATGAATAATTTAAAAAGACAATCTGACTCAATACTTTGTTTTATTAACTCACGATTTCCTTTTTTTTTTAAATTTGAAGCTTTACTGTCAGATATGGTATAACGTACAAAGATAACTATAAAATGCTAAAAACTCAGATTGCATTTTAATCTATAAAATAACAACCATTAAATTAGATATAATTAAGGACAAAGCCACAATAAAATCATAAATTACAGCATAATGGGTCTCTTAAGGCAAAATAATTGAAACAACTCAATTCTTGCTTTTTTTTTTTTTTTTTAGATGGAGTCTCACTCTGTCGCCCAGGTTGGAGTGCAGTGGCACAATCTTGGCTCACTGCAACCTCCGCCTCCTGGGTTCACGCCATTCTCCTGCCTCAGCCTCCCGAGTAGTTGGGACTACAGGCGCCCGCCACCATGCCTGGCTAATTTTTTGTGTTTTTTAGTAGAGACGGGGCTTCACCGTATTAGCCAGGTTGGCCTCGATCTCCTGACCTCATGATCTGCCCACCTCGGCCTCCCAAAGTGCTAGGATTACAGGCATGAGCCACTGTGCCTGGCCTCAATTCTTGTTTTAAGGGCCTACAAGATCTTAAGACTCAGAGGCCAAGGCTGGAATTGCACTCTGTTTTTCACCGTTCATTTCTACTGGGATTCTGGATGTAACACCGAGACGAACAGTTGTAAAGAAAAGTGTGAGGGACAATTTTGTAAGTGTGATATTTTGGCTGGGTGCGGTGGCTCATGCCTGTAATCCCAGCACTTTGGGAGGCCGAGGCAGTTGGATTACTTGAGGTCAGGAGATCGAGACCAGCCTAGCCAACATGATTAAACCCCATCTCTACTAAAAATACAAAAATTAGCAGGGTGTGGTGGTATGTGCCTGTAATCCCAAATACTCCAGAGGCTGAGGCAGGAGAATCGCTTGAACCTGGGAGGCAGAGGTCGCAGTGAGACAAGATCGTGCGGCTGCACTTCAGCCTGGGCAACAGAGTGGGACTCTGTCTCAAAAATAAGCAAATAAATAAATGTGATATTTTATGTAAACATCTGCAAGTATTCAAAAAAGTTATCACACTTTTTTGAGGCTAGAAACAAAATATTACAAGCATCAAAGAAATATCAATTATGAAAGTTTAATAAGTTAACTATGGACTTGCATTCTCTAAAAGTAACAATTAATTAAAAAATATATTGGATGTAGCAGCCATCATGGACTGCCAAAAGAACTTCCTAAGTGAACAAAATATATGGTTCTCTCTTTGATATGATTCCAGGGAATTTGTATTTTTTTAAAAAATATGTAAATATCTTGAACAGGCAGCTGACTGTGGGATTACCAGAAGGCCAACAGACACATTAACTCAGAAAGACACTGCTGAATATATCTGTATTATCAATTTGTATATGAACATCTGCCTTTTGTTTAGGGATAGTTCACAGGAATGACATTTCAAGGGTATGAAAAACATCCAAGTGAGCTTACTATAGTTGTTACTGAACAAAGAAAAGATTCTTCATAACGTTAGCATTCTTAACATAGCCAGACTTTGCTCTAAATGCTAATATTACGCCTTGGCTTCTAAGTAATTTATAAGTCAAGGTTACATATGTAAATTAAAAACAGATTTATATATCTTACAAATACAGCTTGGTTGCAAAAAAGTCCCTAACAGAAACCTCAATCATGAATAAATCCAGGAACTCAAGTTTCAACATACAAATCCTTAAAAAAACTCGTTAACTACAAATCCATACTTTCTGAATATATGCAAATTAATGTTCACCACCAGTTCTCTGTGAGGAACCAGTATATAAAGTAACTATTATTTAACTAAACGCTGGGCATGCGGGCATGGCAATGGCCAGGCAAGCAGCTGTAAATCAATCTAATTACAATCTAATTTCATCATGTTTCCACAAGGATAGTTAAGGAAACACTGTCAACCACTTGGCGAAAGTCAAGATACAACATGTCTTTACTATTCTCTAATCCAATAGCAATTATACAACTAAAAATAAAGCAAAAAAAAAATGAGGTCATTTTGGCATGTCTTATTCTTATAAATTCATATTGATTCATGGTGATCATCCCATTCTCTTCTAAACACAATATTTCATTTTTTTACAATCTCTTCAAATTTTACCACAGTTTAAAGTAGGGAATTGGTCTTGGGTTTTTGCAATATACTTTATTCCTTTTTGGAAACTAGGACATTTGTCTCTCTCTTGTCTCCAAGTATTTACCCCATATTCTCAGTGATTTTGTAAAAAAAAAACAAAACAAAACAAACAAACAAAAAACTATATTTTGTTAAAAAAAAAAAAGTGACAATAACCCTACGATTATACCTGAGTCCGTCAACTCCTGGGAGGCAATACATTTCAGTATTGAAAATTTAAATTCATTTAAAGTGAATGATACTCCATCTTCTCATATTTTTTGTTTGTTTGTTTAATTTCCTCTGTTTCAGGTTGTTTGTTTTACCTTTTACTATAGGAAAAGGATTTCTGCTATTGCAAGATTATAGAAGCAAAGTAAGAATTGTATAGGTCTGATTTTTACCTGTAAACAGACATTAAGAATATCTTCTTCAGACAGTGAGCTATCTCTTCCCTCTTGTTGCTCTTGCTCCAAACACAACCTTAAAAGCTCTTTGTGCACTCTGAGGCATCTTAGTTCCTTTTAAATTTTGGCCTTTGAAGAGAAAATTCTTAAATGTTTATTTCTTAAAGTCTTAGCACTGTATAACTGTGTGATGATTATGTGCTCCTTTCATCTATTAATCATGCACATCCTTTAAGAAACCTGAGCTGTTCAGGGCATTTTGTACACCTATAAGAATTTCTTCTAATAATTTTTCTTTTAGAACTCTCTAGCCTTGAAATCACAGCCATAGATGCTATAATCTTGCAAATATCTGTTTTCCTTAAAGGCAAAGGATGGGCATAACCATGTTTCAGTTCTCTTCTTTACAATGATGTCTGTAAGACAACTTGGTGACTTTCCCAATAAACTGTTCAATACAACCACATCAACACACAACCAATATTACAAACTAGTCCTTTTCCATTAGACCAGGACTCAGAATAGCAGTCCCTCTTATTACTTCTTCTACCTCATGAGATCTATAGCAGTAAGGGAAGCCTCCATGAAAGTGGTAAGATTAGCCTAATGCCAGACTGGCTCCCTGGCTCAAGGAAGGGGATCCCTAAAAAATAATAAATCAAACTGTCTACTTCTTTGTAAAAATAAAAGTATTTACAATGCTTTTCTAGATAATCAGTATCTATACATTTCATAGTAAAACATATTCATTCTATGACACAAAAGCTGTTCAAAAATACCATATACATTGTTAAACCTAAATTGTCAGCTATCTAAAGGCCAAGGCCATGGTTTATTTTTATTGATTTAGTTTAGTTTTTATAGATTTAGTGTGTACCTAGAAAATAGAATAAGTTAATCAGTTTAAATTTTTTTTTTTTTTTTTTTAGATGGGGTCTCACTCTGTCAACCAGGCTGGAATGCAGAGGTGCGATCTCGGCTCACTGCAACCTCCGCCTCGGGGGCTCCAGCAATCCTCCCACCTCAGCCTCCCAAGTAGCTGGGACCACAGGCACACGCCACCAGGCCAGGTTAATTTTTGTATTTTTGGTAGAGACAGTGTTTTGTCATGTTGCCCAGACTGGTGTCAAACTCCTGAGCTCAAGTGATCCGCCTGCCTCAGACTCCCAAAGTGCTGGCTGGGATTACAGGCATGAGCCACCATGCCTGGCCTTAATTTGTATTTTTAACTATTCATTTGACCCTCTCCATCCTTGAATACATGAAATTTTAGAAGACAGTGCTCACTTAACTGATACAGCACTCTTTAATAGTCTATCTACAAGTTTATGTTAAACTGTGTTTCTTCAACAATGAAACTGATTTTATTTTGGCTCAGTCAAAACACTAAAATAAATTCTTCATCAATTTCTTCAATTCTTCATTAAAGCAGCAAGCTCTATGAGTCTTTAAAGTAGGTTTTAATTATAGTTTATATGTCAATTCATCAAATTTTGTTCTTTATTTATTAACATTTTAAAACATATTCACAAAATGGTATCTGGACTGAAATATAAAATAAGGCTAAGCTAACCATTTGAATCGATTATCTTCTGGCACCATTGGGTATAACAAGTCTACAGCAGGAAAAGCCAAAAACACTTCTTTCTGTGGAAGAGGCATAGGAATGAGACAAGAACAAGAAATGGAAACACTGATGACTAGGGCTGTTATTTTAGAATTATTATCATTATTATATACATATTAATTATATTTATTATAGTATATGCTATATGTTTTAACTCACTCCTCATGATAACCTTTGAAGTAGGTGTTATTATTATTCCCATTTTATAGGTAAGAAGCTAAAGTATTGAGAAGTCAAGTAACTTGGCCAAGGTTACACTGCTAGTAAGTGACAGACCTGGGATGTGAACACAGTCAATCTGTCTTCAGAGCCTACACTGTAAACATTGTAAGCGCTGTCCTAGAATATCCCTGTTTCTTTCTCTCTCTCCCTCTCTCTTTCTCTGTGTGTTTGTGTGTGTGCACACGCGTATGTACCTGTGTGTGTAAGAGACATGGTCCCTTTTGATGAATTTCTTCTTTTGCATAAGCTTATAGAGTACAGGTTTCCTGTTTCATAACAGCCTACTTTTCCATGACACAGTCTAGTCATTTCTGAGTTCTGAGGAGTAGGTACTTAGGGCTAAACGCAGTGAATGAGAGTGAGCCCAAAGGGAACTTAAAGTCTTGCAGGGAAGATAAACATTGAAGAAGAAATTTCAAACGTGGAAACATTATAAAAGAGAAGTACAGGAGTTCCTCTTTATCTAACGTTTTGTCTTCCACGGTTTCAGTTACCCACAGTCAGCCTTGGTCTGAAAGTATTAAATGGAAAGTTCCAGACATAAACAATTAATGAGTTTTAGATTGCATGCCATTCTGAGTGCTGCAATGAACTCAACTCCCATACCGTCCTGTTCCATCCCGCCTGGGATGTGAGTCATCCCTTTGTCCTGCTGTATCATCTCTATATCCATGCCATACATGCTACCCACACATTAGTTACTCAGTAGCTATCTTAGTAGCTGTCTGGGTTATTAGATCAAAAAACATAGTATATGTAGGATCTGGTACAATCCATGGTTTCCGGCATCCACTGGGGGGTCTTGGGACATATCCCCCAAGAATAAGGAGGGGGGGACTACTGTACAGAGTATTGTGGGAATTTACAACTTAGATCCTAAATCTGGGAGTTATGGGAAGACTTCACTAAGTGCCATTGTAGCTGAAATCTGAAAGATAAATAGGAGCCAGCAAGGCAAAAAGGGCAGTGGGGGAAATGTTGGTAGAGGAAACAAGACATGCGACAGCACTTACTTGAGCTGGGGAAGAACACAGTGGTTAGAGGAACTGAGAGAAATCCAGTGTTGCTGGCTCTTAGAAAGTGAGGAAGAGTCCACACAATCTGAGATAAGAGTTCCATAGACCAGTAGGTTACGCAGAACCTTGTAACAATAATTTAAAAGAACATCCACTAACTCAGGTCTGACACTAAAACCCTTTGCAATTCCCATAAGCTAACAACTATCAACATATTCTTTCTGGTCACCTCTATATTCCACATCTGTGTTCAAATGCTTTCTCATTATTTCTAGTCTGTCTCCTACTTAAAAGAATATATCCAAGGTTTTAAACTCAGAAGGTTTATATCTACACATTTCTCTAAGTATGCCACGCTCGTTACAGGCAAGCAGGAACTTAATGGATTTTTAAAATAATTTATATAATTAAATTCCTCTCCAGTCCCAAGTGTGAAAAGCATTAAATACTCTGGAGTCTCTTGAGCCATTTCCATTTTTAAAACTAGTCAGTTTTTCAAGTTACAGTTTGAAGAAACAGACTAAAGCAATGAAGCAATGTTATTATATTCTACATAATAGAGCCACCACCTCAGCAGTCACAAGAAAGGCTCCTGCTAACAAAGGTCACATTCTTCGTCTATATTACGAATTATGGCAATAGTAAACATTAAAATGGGAGTGTCCACTTTCCATAGGTTCCTGGAAGGGGCCATCACAAATGTATTGGTCAGATTTCATCTGTTGCCCTGGGTCCTACATATCACTGGCATTTGAAGGTCAAGCCTGCTGGTTTCCTTACACATGCCCAGAAAGGTTTTCTTTTCTCTCTCCCCTTCCTTCTTATTTCTTACATTCCTCCACTTCATCCTTCCTTTATTATTTTTTAATGCATTTATAATCAGAAGAATTATAATCATAGCTAGAGAAAGAACTCTTTGGCTTAAGCAGCCTATACATCTGGAAAATCCATGAGCTCTACCAAACTAAAAATATATATTCTAAAAGTCTAACACTGTTTATCACATGTAGAATTCCACATTAATGCAGCATCAAAATTGCTCCCTTATATTCAAATTATGTATAACTAAAACCCATCATGCTGTGGACTTTTTTTTGTTTTTATGATTTTTATTTGCTTAAAAAAGCAAGTGTTTCTGTGTATGATGTATTTACAAATAACAATCATTTCTCTAAAAAACTGTCAGACACATGGCCAGGGATCTGAGATGTAAAGAAAAAGAGGTGGTGCCCCAGAGGAAAATGCTATTGCATCTATATCTATATTCTCACTTCTGAGGCAACTACACCAGTCTGTCAACACCCAGCTCTACCCTTCTAACCTCCACACCCAATTGTTTTATCTAGTGGTTTCAGTTTTGTGTCTACTCTAACTAGTGCTCTACAGTGCTGTGTACACATAAATCTACAGTGCTGTGTACACATAAATAAGGTTAAAGCAAAAGACCTGCACATTGACCGCTTGTCCACCTGCTCTGAAAACAAGACGTGGGCAGAACTCTGGAGTCCACACTAAGAAGGTCATCTTTTCATCTCTCCTCCCCATTGGTTCTTGCCACAGAACAGTGGGTACGTGTCTGCTTCCCTCACTGGATCTTAAGCATGTGTGAAGTCAGAAATTATGTTTTGTGTGTCTCTGTATCCTCCAAAATATCTAGCATAGTGCTAAATAAACGCTTGTCTTAAACGTGCAAAAATGACATTTTAAATAATGTGATTGTTATACTGATAGTGTTTCCAATAAATTCATATTAGAAAAATACTTTTACTGTAGACTTCAAAGACACACAAACCCTTTCACTAAGCAACATCATTAAAAGTAATGTTTTGGCCAGGTATGGTGGCTCACACCTGTAATTCCAGCACTTTTGAGAAGCTGAGATGGGTGGATCGCTTAAGCCCAGGAGTCCGAGACCATCTCTATTTTTTGTAGAGATGGGTAAAATGCTGTCTGTATTTTAAAAATACAAAAAATTAGCTGGGCGTTGTGGTGCACACCTATAGTCTTAGCTACCTGGGAGGTTGAAGAGGGAGGATCACCTAAGCCAGGGAGGTCGAAGCTACAGTGAGCCATGATCGCACCACTGCACTCCAGCATGGGGAACAGAATGAGATCCTATCTCAAAAAAAAAAAAAAAAGTAATGCTTCAATATATGACAATGCAGTCCAATGCTCATGATATATTTTAAATGAAAAAAAGCAAGTTACAAAATAAAATATTTGGTATGAATCCAAATTAAACATAACTGAATATATGCAAATACCTAATGCTAGATGACGAGTTAGTGGGTGCAGCGCACCGGCATGGCACATGTATACATATGTAACTAACCTGCACATTGTGCACATGTACCCTAAAACTTAAAGTATAATAATAATAAATTAATTAATTAAAAAAAATGTAAGCGACACACATAAAACAAACTCATTCTTAAATACTTAACAATACTTAAGGTATTATCAAAGGATGTAATTACCTTGTGATTTTGAAAAGCATTTTAAATAAACTTTTTGCTTTTTCTTTTTTTTTTTTTTCTGAGACGGAGTCTCTCTCTGTCACCAGGCTGGAGTGCAGTGGCGTGATCTTGGCTCACTGCAACCTCCACCTCCCGGGTTCAAGCAATTCTCCTGCCTCAGCCTCCCGAGCAGCTGGGACTACAGACGCACACCACCACGCCCAGCTAATTTTTGTATTTTTAGTAGAGATGGGGTTTCACCATGTTGGCCAGGATGGTCTCGATCTCTTGACCTCATGATCCACCCGCCCTGGCCTCCCAAAGTGCTGGGATTACAGGAGTGAGCCACCACATCCGGCCTTAAATAAACTTTTTTCTTTAAAAACATTTTTCTTCATAGCTTTTGTTTTTCAAATTTTCTGCAGTGAAAATATGTTACTATAATGAAAAAAAAAGTTTTACAAACTGGAAACCAAATTGTGAAAAATTGTGCCCTTTAAATGTCATTAATGGAAAAGGAGGCCTAACATAGTGGACCATTATGACAAAAAACTTCCAAGTTCTACATGAAAGCTGAGACTATTTGTGTAGGCTTTTCTTTGGTCAGCTGTCTTCAAAATAAATATTATTTTCACCATTCCTAGGATAAATTGCAATCATTTCTCTTTTAACTGAAACTCTCAGTCAACGGATAAACTAAAGAACTAAAACCTATGTTTGAAAAATAAGATGGAAATCATCATTCTAGACAAGACACAACAAAATCACCACAACCTCCCCTTAAAAGGTCATATATCAGGAAGGGCAAAGTAAGATGGGACCTTCCTAGCAGAACAGAGTAGAAAAAGTGAAAAAGTAAATAATCAAAATTGGGTCCTTTTCTTTTCTAAACTTTTTATGGGATTATGAACATTTAGTACTTAAAAAAAACCCAGCATTTTAGAAGTGTTATCCTGAGGCTATTTACAATTTTTTCTTTGTGACGCTCACATCAGGAATCATTAGCAAACCTGTCGTAATGCCAGATAACCAATGCCTGGCTGGCACACCAATAACTGAGTCATATTATATGCTTCATCCTTTTGACAGGAGCGTACAAAACCATCTATTGTGCACTGTCATTTTCACTGAAAACATAATAACTGGGTTTAGTAGTCTTTACAAATCAAAGTTATGCACTTCAACAGAATGTCCAAGACTTGAGGTGGAAGATCTGTTACTGATATTTCATTACAACAGCTAATAAAGAGACAGCTGAAAGGGAATATTGACCCAAAAAAGATGATAATTAGAGAATTCATAGTGTGTTTTAAGAGACTTCATTATTGTAAACAATTTCAACCTCTGGATTCAGGCAGTAGGCTGATATAATTAACCAATATGAAAGGAACAATTTAATAGTTTTCTTTTCTCTGATAGCTTTTAAAAATATATACTGACCCTCAGAACTTTTCTGCAGTAAATGGTTAAAGATCCCCAAAATTCTATTATACATCAAAAGTAATCTGAGTCCAGAGAGAGTCAACATACATTCAACAAACAAAATAATTTAAGTATTTCCAATTTCCATTTCTAATCTCTCTTTAATCAATAACACATTTAAAATATTTTTTAAAATGATCCTTCAAAATGTAAAATGTCTGTTCAAGAACTGGAAGAGTCTTCTAGGCAACATGACAATATAAGTCACTTTTACAAAAATCCCTCTTTTCAACACAGAAAATGAGAAAAAATAATCAAAAATGAAAGAAAAAATTTATTATCTCTTAAAAACGTTATCAACTCCAGAAAATACAAAACAATTTGGACTACACTGAGGGAATGCCAAAAGCTGACAAGCAACTCTCTAGCTCATAAGGACAGCACGTTTTGCAAACTCTGAATAGAAAATATCCGGAAGGCCTCCACTGACATCCCCAGTTTACGTGAGCTATCAGAAAGCACGGCAGGACTGAAGGTGGAACTCACTGGCCAAACTCATTGGCCATTTTTCTTCTGTACAAGGTTCTTAACTGGGAGGTGTGATGTCAGTAGGCAAACCTACTTCAAAGCTGCAGACGACAGTAACTTGAGAGTGGAATAGTACATGACAAAAAGTGTATGAGCTGTGGCAGAGTACCTTCTAATTCACCATGAGTTCACCCTGAAGCAGAGGGAGCCAAATGAAGCCACCATGCCTGCTCCCAACAGGGAAAGCAAAAATTCCCAATGCCTAGGAGCAAAAGACAAAAATTCATAGAGAAACGGAGATAAAGCTACCAAAATGTTCCCTCGGCTCTAGCTCCCTCCTTACCCACTACTACCAATGCAGGCATTTTAATAGCTAAATAGAGGCTATCTGCTATCTATATCAAGCTGAAGACTTCATGTGCTAATGGTAAGAGCCAAGTTGTACCAAGGTAAACTGAAAAGGTAGTCAAGAAATAGCACTAATGGGCTTTATGTAAAGAAGTAAGAAAATTAGACTGGCATATTAAAAAAGTAACTTTGTGTGGAGAATGTACAGGGGGGCAAGAATAGCTATGGGGCCTGCAATTAAACAGTGAGGGCCACTGTCCAGGTAAGAGATGATTTTGATTTACAGTGGTAGTGAAGGAGAAAAGGAGATGGATTTGAGATTCACTGTACAAACCCATATATATGAAGAGTTTTTCAATATCAAAAACTATCCTTAGAAGAGGAAATCATCTTATATTTGAACCTTAGAATATTTCAGATTACAGACTGACATACAAATTATTTTGTTCTGAAAAATCACAAAGTACTCTCTGGAACAGTCATGTTAGCTGGAACCAACAACAATTGCTTCAAGAGATAATTTGACACAACTGGTAAAAAAAAAAAGAAAAAAGTAAGCAAAGTAAGAAGATTTAGTAATTATTCCATGACGTATTACCTCCCTGCTGTGTGTGTTAGATGTCACCATCAAGCAATATTTCAGTGATCATTTGAAAAAAGCAATTCAGTCCATGCTTAGGTAACAGGATCATGAATATATGCCAACAGAAAAAGTAGGGGGAAAAATTCTGCCCTAATTGTACTTGGAACTGAGACAGCATTATACACAGATTCAAAAAATACATTATCTCAAACAACTTAGATGGAAGGGAGGAGGAGATGATCTGGAAAACTGTATTAGATGACTCATTCCAGTGTTGAAAAAGCACCAACAAAATTTTTGTATGACACAGTGGCAAACCCTGTATCTCTAAATTGTGAGTTTAAATACATGTATAATTAAATTAAATATTAGAAGTAGAAATTTGATTATATCCCTAACAGTTAGATTCATACTGTCTAATCAAATTTTTTTAAAAAAAAAAAAAAACACATGTCTTCTAGTAATTGTGGACAGCTTAAGAACAGGCTCTTCTTGTATTTGGCTATACATGGGATTGTGGGTAGAAGCCATAATAGTTGGTGGTACATTTGACAGGAAGATTCAGGGAGAGAGGCAGAGACAAAAAATAATAATGACTCCAGGTTTCTCATTTGAGAAACCAGGTAAATTTAAGTTCTATTTAAAGAAAAATAGAAAGGAGAAGAACAGGTTTCAGAATTGAGGCAGGAAATCAGGTTGGATTGGGGCATGTTGTTTTGATATGTTGGTGAGACGGACACCTTGTAGAAATATCAAGTAGGTTGTTGGATATAACTATGTGGAATTCAGAGAAGAGCTCTGAATTTAGGGCTGGAAATTGGAAGACTTTACCTCACAGAGAGTAACTGACAATAATCTAGCTTTGAAAGAGATGTGCGGTAATAAGTATTTTCATGCACTATTAATGAGGGCATACAGTTGCACAACGTTTCTGAAAGGCATTATGGCAATATCTATTAACATATACTTGCATATCCTCTTAGAAAAAGATCTACTAAGGTAATATTCAAATACAAATGTAAAAAAATGTGTCCAACTATAGGGAACTGATGAGTACATCATTAATAATGAAACGTGTCTTCAACTACTGATTTATAATGTTTAAATATATTGAGTTAAAAAAAA
Organism: Homo sapiens; assembly: GCF_000001405.40. Lineage (NCBI taxonomy): Eukaryota > Metazoa > Chordata > Mammalia > Primates > Hominidae > Homo > Homo sapiens. Next base: position 113,535,466 of record NC_000001.11, on the reverse strand, counting down.
GAGGAAGGTGCAGAATAGCATTTAGTATACAATATTTACAAAATTGGTACATGTTTCTTATATGTGTATGCAAAACATATTCTAAAATGTGCTTATTTCTCAGTGGCAAGACAATGAAGAATTTTTATCCTCCTCTTCATAACTTTCTATTGAGAGGTTTTTTTTTTAAGCGAACAACAAAAGTATACCATTTTTTAGAAATCTATAAAGCTTCTGTTTTTTCCCCTATTCTTTTAAGTGCTTAAGAATTAGAGCAAATATAATCTTTGAGGCAAACAATAAAAACAAGAGAATAAGACCACCCTGGCCGAGTACAGCTTGCTTTCAAATTTCAGAGCTGCATAACTAGGAACACATGTGAAAGCTGAGCACCATCCCAGGCTTCAGACCAAACAATTAAGCTAGAGAAGTCAGTCCTGGTTGACTTAAGCCTGTAATTTGGTTACTGAAATGAATACTAACTGGGCCTTTTGCAGGCCACTTACAGAACTGGTTCCTCTACCCTGACCCAGTGACTGAATACCATATGGTGATTTAAGGCAATTTACTGTTAAGACCACATCTTAGGGATTAGTAAATTATGTACAAGAAAACATGGACAGGAGAAAAACAATTAAACAGTCTGATTCCAATAAAAATACTTCCCATAAAAAAGAAAAAAAAATCACATGATAGAGGTGATCATTACTTTCTCCCTTAAAATAAATAAAACGAAGAGGACAGAAGGGTAATAAAACAAAATACCAAGCACTATGCTAGGCATGGGGGATATAAAAATCACAAAGTAATACCTGTCTTTGGTGTCATAATGGTCACCCCAGTGTTATAGTATCATAAACCAGTCTAAACAAATAACTACAAAAGCCAGTTAAGAAGCATGTACAAGGTACATAGGAGTATGTACCCAAGAGAAAATAATTGTGACTGGTAGGGGAAGCCAGGCAACATAGACTGGAAGAATGAATGGAGAGGATAGATAGAGGGAGCACAGTGGGCATTCCAGGCAGGAGAAAGGGCATGCTGAATGGCATGGAAGGAAAGGCAAGGCCGCAAGGGATTATATGACTAGAGTGATAGGCGGGAGGCTCAGATGAAAGAAGGATCTAACTCATGACCTTAAAGGATTAGAGCATTACTCTGTGGTGAAGTCACTAAATATTTTACCAGGATGCATGACATAGCCAGACTTGTATTTTAGATGGATCATTCTGGCAACAATGTGGACTATGGGAAAAGCAGAACAGTTGGAGGGCACTAACAGCAGCACAGGATAAATTTAGCCACAAACCAATTAATACTGGCAGTAGAAGCAGCATTAGAAGAATCAGCGCAGCAGAAAATTGTATTGGTGAAATAGGAGGCAGAGTCAAGAAACATACTAAACATAAGAAATTAGCTGAGACGTGAAGTGAATGAATGCTCACAGATGTGCAGGGGAAGTGCTGTGATTCAAACTTCAAATTATAGGTGTCCCTGCAGGAGAAAAGAGAATGAACTAAATGTTTAATAAACAAGAAGCACAGTTGAAGAAAACTCAAAAATTAAAAAGAAATTACATTGAAATGAGAATATTAATATTCACCGTGTCCCAAGAAAAAGGTAAAAACAACAGCATCATAAAGACAAATTTAAATTCTTTAGCTATGGGGACGGGGAATCTGATTCCAAAAAAAAAAAAAAAGAAAAAGAAAAGATATTTAAACAGTCCAAATCAAGGGAGATTAAGATGAAAACTCTGTGATGAAAGACACGGTGTGTTATCTGTATTCCGTTCGCTTGGCAACAAGGTCTTTCTGAGTTGTGGTGGTAATGGTGGTTTTAAATTAATAGATATATAGCTAAATTTCATCTATCTTTTTATCTTTATTTTTCAACTTTTACTTTAGGTTCGGGGGATACACGTGCAGGTTTGTTACATGGGTAAATTGAGTGACACTGGAGTATGGTATACAAATGATCTTGTCACCCAGACAGTGAGCATACTACCCAATAAGTAGTTTTTTGACTCTCACTCTCCTCCCACCCTCCACCCTGAAGGAGACCCCAGGGTCTATTGCTCTCCTCTTTCTATCCATGTGTACTCAATGTTTAGCTACCATTTATAAATGAAAACATGTGGATTTGGTTATCTGTTGTTGTGTTAATTGATTTAATGTAATGGCCTACAGCTGCACTGAAGTTGCTGCAAAGGACATGATTTTGTTCATTTTATGGCTGCATAGTATTCCATGGTGTATATGTACCACATTTTCTTTTATTTTTTTCTTCAGAGAGACACGAAACAAGTAATCCGGAGGTCTATGACTAAAGCTAAAAGAAAACCATATAACTTAGAGCTGCTGTAGGCAAATACTAATACTACGTTATTTAGCTACTGTGATGAAAAAATAAACAGGTGTCACATGAGAAAAAACAAGGCACACAGGTAACGAGACCAATAGATACAGGGGAGAGGTACAATCCACACACCACCTTATTTTTCATGGTCAAAATGAATGGATGTCAGAAGTTACTGCTTTCTAGAGAGATGTAAATTAATCTCAATTCAGTTGGAAAAAGTCTGTTGTAAGTTCAAGTAAGCACTAACATCAATTCTTTGTAGCTCTTTAATAACATACATCTTCATATATTACATGATTCTATTACCTTGTTTTTGACATGATGAGACAGATTTACAATACATACACTTAAAATTAACATTTCCAAGCTCTCTAATAAATAATTCACAAGTACCTTAACCTCAGTAAACACGAGATACTTTGTTAAATTTTAAATTCAAAATTAAAACCAAATACACTTTTGTTGCTATTGAAGAATACTATCGTATTTAAAAGAGGGACCAGTAGGCAAAAAGTGCCACTGAGGAGAAATTATTCTTAGAGATCAGGATTTTTAAAGAAACAGATGTGACAATTTAGAAGAGACATTAAAAAATAAGACAACTGACAATTAAAAAGCTGTTAGTGATAAGATTATGAGTGGCTATGCTCTGTCTTTACACTTTTGTCTTAAATGTTGTTACCATTTTTACAACTTAAAAAAAAAAGTAGAAAAGGTCCAATACAAACATGCAGGTAACACTATAAAGACAAAGATAATATATATATAAATACTGACTGAAAGGGAATTTGCAGACATGGAGATAAAATTTCATGTTCAATTCTGTTTCTGGGAAGCTGTTTATATATAATATAAAAGTTTAATAACTGCAATACAAACATTCATATTTGACTCTATAAAATGAATATACAATTTTTCTTTCTTAGCAAAGTATAAATAGTCTTTAAGCAGTAGGGCTATATTTATGTGATAATTATTTTAATTAAATTGCCTAACTCAATTCAGTGAAGAAACCAATTTAACTGATTTTATTGGTTAAATTACTAATTTCTAATTATGTAGCTCTTATTGTATTATGGTATATTATAAAATTTAAAAGAACCACTGATGTTTGTTCTCACTTTATAGCAGTGATTCAGAGACTTAAGAACTGAATTATATCTTAAAAGAAACTGTGTAAGAAATTCCAATGTATAAAAACAGATGAAACTGTGAGTCCAATTTGAAAAGCTCTACTTCAACAGTTTCCTAGGCTCATACATATGAAGTTGTTTTAGTTCCTTAGTGTGGCTGCAGTATGCATAAGCCACCTTAAAGGGAGACATGGTGATTTCTGTTGTGTATCATGTTGAGTACTAAGGTTTCGAGAAAGGTACCCTGTCCCCGCCCCAGCCCCCCACCCGACCCCCACCCCCCGCAATACCACTTATGTTCAAACATAGAGTCGGGGAAAAACTACCACCAAAACAAATGGCAAAATAAATGACTAGGCATTTTATAGAAAAAGAAATGCACGACCTTTAAACTTATAAAAGCCTTCACTCATAAGATGAATGCTAATTAAAACAATATGATTTCTCACCATCAGACTGATGAAACATTCAACAACACTCTGTTGGTGAGGTTGGGAAGAAACAGATAGTCTCATACTTTGCTAGTGGATACAGTGGCATACCAAAGGTAGGGTGGTAGAAGCAGATCACCCTTGAGGCCCACAACAAGGGGGTGCATTCTACATAGAGAACTTAAAAATTAAACCTAACTAAAAATTATTCTGCTTTTTATCATCAAGTGCCAGCAATTCTAAACAATGTCAGTGATAAAAATACTCCCTGAAAAAGAATTTGTGTTCTAAATTCTAAATAATTGTTCCAGTGACTGTTAAGTTTTAATAACCTGTATGTAAGCTTTAAATTAGCAGATTTTTATTACTTATTTCTCAATAAACACTGATTTATATATGAAAATTAACTTAAAAAAAAAGAAAGTGGAGAACTCACAGTTTAGCCTCTGATGCACATGGACTCAGTTACATTTATTCAGAAGTTAATTTTGTAATGTTTCAAAATTATTCAAGTTTCCTTTGAGTACAGTTTATGTCTCTAGCCCCTATGACACCATATATTTCTGCATTTAAATAATATATTCCAAATAAATAATGATCAGTGTATGCTGTTTCTCTTTTTCTCTTTCCTTTCCTTTTCTTTTTTTGAGACAGGGGCTTGCTCTGCTGCCCAGGCTGGAGTGCAGTAGTACAATCACAGCTTACGGCAGCCTCGACCCCCTAGGCTCAAGCAATCCTCCCACCTCAGCTTCGCGAGTAGCTGGGACTACAGGTGCACACCACCAGGGCTTATTTTTGTATTTTTTTAGAGATAGGGTTTCACTATGTTGCCCAGGCTGGTCTTGAACTCCTGGGCTCAAGCAATCCTCCTGCCTCAGCCTCCGAAAGTGCTGGGATTACAGGCATAAGGCCGCTGCACCTGGCCTTGTTTCTCTTTTCTAAGTTGTCTTTTTTTTTTTTAACTTTTATTTTAGGTTTCTGGGTACATGTGCAGTATTGTTATATAAGTGCGTGTCATGGGGGCTTGGTGTACAAATTATTTGGTCACCCAGGTAATAAGCATAGTGCCCAACAGGTATTTTTTTTAATCCTCTCCCTCCTCCCACCCTCTACCCTCAAATAGGCCCTGGTGTCTGTTGTTCCCGTTTGTGTCCATGTATTCTTGTTTAGCTCCCACTTAGGAGAACATACAACATTCGGTTTTCTGTTCCTGCGTTAAGTTGTCTTTTTTTTTTTTTTCCTTTCTGGTAGGAAGTTTTAGATGAGCTAATCAGACACAAAAATGTTTGCAGACAGCCGGAATCAACTTTCAACAATGGACAATAAAACATAAAGCTTTAAAACTGTTATTTAAAGAACAGTACATAGAAACTGTGGCTATGGTCATTACTCAAAAATAAAATGTGAGGAAATGGACATTTATATTGAGAAAAGAACAAAAATGTGAAGAATGCTAAGGGAAACAACAAAAGATGCTGCTTTTACATTACTAGAAGAAACCAAATGGCACTGTTTATTTGAATGCACAGTTATAAACTAGTGGGTCAAATAGCATCAATGCCCACTATCACACAGTCATTTTCTCTGCATTTTCCAGAAAAAGAAAAACTTTCAGAAGTTTTTTAAAAAAACAAATAGAAAAACTTAAGATGAATTTTCTGGTGAAAATATTTTAATAAACATTTTCTGTACTGTAATATTTATTTTATTTTTAATTTATTTTTATTGGCATGATTATATATTCATCATTCAATAAAATAAAATATAATGTTTATATCTCATTTCTACCCATTATTATATTTTGTTTTATTTCATGGTTATTTTTGAAAATAATTTTGTCATATAGGAGAGATATATATTAAAAAGTTATCTGCTTTAGGCATCAAATATACTAGGCATGCCTCTATGGAGTACAAGATGATACATCCAGTATAGAAGAAAAAATAAGGATAGTTAGAGTTGTAGTACTGCCACAGACTAAATATTTATGTTCCCCCAAAATCATATGCTGACACCTAACCCCCAGTGTAATGGTATGAGGAGGTGGGGCCTTTGATAGGTGATTAGATCATGAGGACAGAGCCTGCATCAATGGGAACAGCGTCCAATAAAAGAGAACCCAGAGAGCTCCTTAACCTTCTGCCTCATAAGGACACAGCAAAAAGATGGACATCTTTGAACTAGGAATTGAGCCCTCATCAGGCATCAAATCTGCTGGCACCTTCAACCTAGTACTTCCCAGCCTCCAGAACTGTGAGAAATAAATGTTTGTTGTTTGAACCACTCAGTTTATGGAATTTTCATTATAGCAACGCTAATTAACAAGGACAGTTACACAGTTATATCACAACACATAGAAACACACTAGGAGGCTAAACTAGAAATGAATAAAAATGTTTACCTATGACAGGGTGGTAAAAGGACAGAGGTAGAGGGTAGATGTACAAAATAAAAGCCAAACTTCTCCAACTATACTTTATAATATAGTGTGACTTCTGAACCAACAAAAGTTTTATAAATTCAAGAGAATAAAACTAAATATAAGATCTAAATAAGCAAACTTTGACCGAAAACAAGTAGAAACAAATGAACTTAATTGCTTGTCAAATCAGTAACATAACCACATGAGAACAAAAAATATTTCAAGTCACTTTTGAACATAGTATTCTGACTTACATTCTTATTGGCATATATTCTAAGGACAATAAAAACTATTAAAAATATTGAACCTCACATTATGCTTATAGTATTAACACTGGGTTTTGTCATTTTAAACCTATTTTTGTGTACTGTAGGATAAAGCAAATAAGTAATTATGTTGTTCATTTCCAGGTGCAAAATTCTTATTTACCTAAGAATGCCAGCTAACAATGTACAAGGAACGATAGAATTAGCAACTCCCGATGAAATAACTGATTCAGTCATCAATAAATGCTAAGCCATTTAGTATGAAATTATTCCCACCAATTTCCTGCTAATCTCAAAGGAGAAAAGTATTTTATTACACAGAAAAGATCAAACTTATTATTGCTAATCTGATAGCCATTTGATGCAATACAATATGAAGTTTACAGTGTCATCTATGAAGTATTTTTGCCAAAACATTTAATCTGAATAGAATCAACTTGGTTTACATTCCAGTTTATAGGAATTACAAAGGATAGATGAACAAGACAAATGATACCATGAAGAAGCAATCAGACAAATTTAGAATTTAGAACATTCTGCTCTCTTAAAAAGTCTCCTCCTTTCAAAAAAAAAAAAAAAAGGTTGGGGGAGGTGAAGATTTTCAAACAAAAGAGACTAAAGAGGTATAACACCTAAAGGCAATATGTCAACTTCAGTTGGATCCTGTTTAGGAAGGGAAAAAAAAGCCATAAAAAATATTTTTGTGATAACTGGGAAAATTTGACTATAAACTGGATAGTAGCTAATATTAAGATATTACTGTCAATTTTCTTAGATGTGATAGTGGTGTTGTGAGGTATAATATGGAATACATGCTAAATATTTTAGGATTAAAGTGTCATAAAATTTGCAATTTACTTTGAAATGGTTTCACTAAACACAGACATGTACGCATACACACACATACTTATAGATAGGTGGGTATGGAATCTAAGTGGTGGTTATATGGGTATTCATTGTCCTGTTCTTTCTAATTTTCTGTATGCTTGAAAATTTTCATAATAGTTGAAAAAATATAGAATTCCTTAGTAAATACAATATTAACTAATTCTAGCAATAGGTACTTAAGACAAATAATTTATAGAAAGACTTAACTCATTCTTTGCTATTCTGCCAATTAAGAATGAATCTTTTATCTTTTTTCCTTAAGTCAGATCCAAAACAGAAAATAATCAGCAACATCTTCCCTGTGTTAGCAAAGTGACTTCTCTGCAGTTTCCTCAATAGATGAATGATTTTCTTTCATCTAGCTGCCCATTTTACTCACCTCAATATCCTCTGAAGACCAACCTAATTTAAATGAAGTTGTATTGAATGCTGAAAGTTTTCTAAACTTTCCATTTGGCACCAAGTTTTATACTTTGGCTTCTGGCCTAAATAATAAATTCTTAAAGATAACACAATCTTTTATATGCCTTTCTCCCTATTTAACTAGTTCTTCATTTGGGTGAATTCATTCTATTTCCACAGCTTAATTATCACCTATATTCTAGTAATTTTCAAACTGATATCCTCAACTCTTTCTCCCTACTTCCAAATTCATGTGCCTATTGAGCGATGCCAACTGGAAAAGCCTCTCAAACTCAGCAAATCCAAATGTGAATGCATCAGACCTCCTCCCTGCCCGCCCCCGCCACACACATAAAATCTGCCACAATTCACCTCAACTGCCATTTTAAAAATCTAGGAGTTAGCCTTGGCTCTTTTTCTCCCCCTCACTGACATATCAAATCAGTAATAATAATATTAACAATTGCAACAATAACTATTATAGAACACTTATATGATACTTACTATGTACCTGGCACCTGTTCTAAATTCTGTACATATATTAATTCTTTTAGTTCTCACAATAATCCTATAAAATGAGTACTGTTTTTCTTCCCATTTTACAGATGGGGAGAATGAGGCATAGGGAGGTTTAATAACTGACCCAAATTTACAAAGCTACTAAGTGACAGACTTAGGACTTGAACCCAGATGTCTGGGCTCTACAGTCTTTTTCTTAATTAATATGTTATACCTCTTCTTCAATCACCAAATACTGTTGATACCATCTCCCAAATATTTCTCAAACTCATTCAGTTCTCTCCATTTCAATGACTACTACCTTAATCCGGGTCACCAACATCTTTAGCCTGATTGAGCCAACAGCTTCCTAACTGGACTCCCTGCCACCAGCTTTGTTTTCCAATTTTCCTAAAGTACAAATCTGCTTATATCATACTTCTACTTTTGTAGGTAACCTTCCAATTGAGCTAAGAGTAGCCTTCAAATCCCTTAATGTGGTTTATAAGACCTCCAGCATTCCCTTTCAGCCTCTTCTCCTGCCACCCTGTAGTTCCTTCTCCATACTGCATACCCACCGTCATTCTGACATTCCTCAAATATTAGGTTCTCTCTCTCTCATACGTAGAGCTTGGGATGTGATGTTCCTTTTCTCTGGAACACTCTTCCCCTAACCCCTTGTCTGGTTGTCTCATAATACCTTTATACCTACATTAATATGTCTATACACAGATACTATATCTTTGGAGAGGTCTCTCTAATCTCCCAGTTCTAAGTTAGCTGCCCTTCTTATTTGCTCCCCTAGGACTCTGTAAGCTCCTCATCACATATACCCACATGCCTTATCACACTGTACTACACTTTCCTAACAGCTTGCCTCACTCCCTGGATTTCAAACATTAGGAGAACAGGAACAACTTAGCAAGAGCTCAATAAATATTAAAGAATTAATAAAATGAGACTGAAATATTTTTAAAGCCTTTTTCAAATAAAACAACTTTTTTGGTCTAATTTTTTTCTTTATAAACCTAATCTTTTGGAATATTCTACTCAAAATATGTTTGTTTTGTTTTGTTTTGTTTTTTTGAGATGGAGTCTCACTCTGTCACCAGGCTAGAGTGCAGTGGTGCAATCTTGGCTCACTGCAATCTCCGCCTCCCAAGTTCAAGCGATTCTCCTGCCTCAGCCTCCTGAGTAACTTGGATTACAGGCATGCGCCACCACATCCAGCTAATTTTTGTACTTTTACTAGAGACGGGGTTTCACCATGTTGGCCAGGATGGTCTCAATCTCCTGACCTCGTGATCTGCCTGCCTCAGCCTCCCGAAGTTCTGGGATTACATACCTGGCCAATATGTATTTTATTTTTAATGATCTTTCACATAACCCAAATTATCTCCATTATTTATTTATCTTCTAAAAACTTTAAAGTTTAATTAATTAAACCACATTAGTTATTAAATAATTAAATAATAAAATGTAGCCTTCATTTAATAGTTAAATTATTTCATATAATAGTTAAATAATTTAACTATTAAATGAAGGCTACTTTTACTATCATTTAATTATTTAGTTCAATGAAGACCACAGAGAGGAAATATAATTTAACAAAGTCTGTTATCTTTCAATCAGTATGTGCAGTTTTCAAAAGAACATGTTACAAAGCAAGCTACTGCCCTATAGTCTTCTAAAATGTCAAAGTCACAAGAAGACAGGAAAAAAGGAAGGAAGACTGGTCTAAATTAACAGACTGAAGAGTCAGGACAACTAAAGCAAATGTGATTCTTGTTTAGTTCCTAGACGTTTTTAAACAGAGAGAGAAAGAATAAAAAAAGGAAAAAGCTATAAAGGAAATTTTAGGAACAATTGGGAAATTGTGAACACAGCCTGTGTATTAGTCCGTTTTCATGTTGCTGATAAAGACATAACCTGAGACTGGACAATTTAACAAAAGAAAGAGGTTTAATGGACTCACAGTTCCACATGGCTGGGAAGGCCTCACAATCATGGTGGAAGGTGAAAGGCATGTCTCACACAGTGGCAGACAAGAGAAGAGAGCTTGTGCAAGAAAACTCCCCTTTATAAAACCATCGGATCTCATAAGACTTACTCACTATCATGAAAATAGCATGGGAAAGACCCACCCCCATGATTCAATTTCCTCCCCTGGGGTCTCTCCCACAACATGTGGGAATTGTAGCAGTTACAATTCAAGATGAGATTTGGGTGGGAACACAGCCAAACCATATCATTCTGCCCAGGGTCCCTCCCAAATCTCATCTCTTCACATTTCAAAACCAATCATGTCTTCTAACAGTTCCCCAAAGTCTTAACTCATTTCAGCATTAACTCAAAAGTTCAGTCAAATGTCTCAACTGAGACAAGGCAAGTCCCTTCTGCCTATGAGCCTGCAAAATCAAAAGCAAGTTAGTAACTTCCTAGACACAATGGGGATACAGGCATTGGATAAATACACCCATTCCAAATGGGAGAAATTGGCTAAACAAAGGGGCTAAAGACCCCATGCAAGTCCGAAATCTAGTAGGGCAGTCAAATCTTAAAGCTCCAAAATTATCCCCTTAGACTCCATGTCTCACATCCAGGTCATGCTGATGCCAGAGGTGGGTTCCCATGGTCTTGGGCAGCTCTGTCCCTGTGGCTTTGCAGGGTACAGCCTCCTTCCTGGCTGTTTTCATGGGCTGGTGTTGAGTGTCTGCAGCTTTTCTGGTGCAAGCTGTCTGTGGATCTACCATTCTGGGGTCTGGAGGATGGTGGCCCTCTTCTCACATCTCCACGAGGCAGCACCCCAGTGGGGACTCTCTGTGGGCATACCCACCCCACATTTTGCTTTGGCACTGCCTTAGCAAAGGTTCTCCATGAGTGCCCCATCCCCGCAGCAAACTTCTGCCTGGACATCCAAGCATTTCCATAAATCCTCTGAAATCTAGGCAGAGGTTTCCAAATCTCAATTCTTGACTTCTATGCACCTGCAGGCTCAACACCACATGGAAACTGCCAGAGCTTAGGGCCTGCAACCTCTGAAGCCATGGCCCGAGCTGTACCTTGGCCCCTTTTAGTCACAGCTGGAGTGGCTGGGACACAGGGCACCAAGTCCCTAGACTGCACACAGCAGAGGGATCCCGGCCCAGCCCACTGAACAATTTTTTCCTCCTCGGTCTCCAGGCCTGTGATGGAAGGGGCTGCCGCAATGGTCTCTGACATGCCCTAGAGACATTTTCCCCACTGACTTGGGGATTAACATTTGGCTCCTCGTTACTTATGCAAATTTCTGCTGCTGGCTTGAATTTCTCCTCAGAAAATGGGATTTTCTTTTCTATCACATTGTCAGGCTGCAAATTTTCCAAACTTTTATGTTCTGTTTCCCTTTTAAAACTGATTGCCTTTAATAGCACCCAAGTCACCCCTTGAATGCTTTACTACTTAGAGATTTCTTCCACCAGATACACTAAATCATTTCTCTTAAGTTCAAAGTACCACAAATCTCTAGGGCAGGGGCAAAATGCTGCCAGTCTCTTTGCTAAAACATAACAAGAGTCACCTTTGCTCCAGTTCCCAACAAGTTCCTCATTTCCATCTGAGACCACCTCAGCCTATATTTCAGTGTCCATATCATTACCAGCATTTCGGTCAAAGCCATTCAACAAGTCTCTAGGGAGTCCCAAACTTTCCCAGATTTTCCTGTCTTCTTCTGAGCTCTCCAAACTGTTCCAGCCTCTACCAAGTTCCAACGTCACTTCCACATTTTTGGTTATCTTTTCAGCAGTGCCCCAATCTACCAGTATCAATTTACTGTATTAGTCCATTTTGATGCTCCTGATAAAGACATACCAGAGACTGGGCAATTTACAAAAGAAAGAGATTTAATGAACTTACAGTTCCACGTGGCTGGGGAGGCCTCACAGTCACGGCGGAAGGTGAAAGGCACGTCTCACATGGTGGCAGAAAAGAAAAGAGAGCTTGTGCAGGGAAACTTCCCCTTATAAAACCATCAGATCTCGTGAGACTTATTCACTATCATGAGAAGAACATGGGAAAGAACCACTCCCATGATTCAATTTCCTCCCACAACACATGGGAATTGTAGTAGTTACATTTCAAGATGAGATTTTGCTGGGGACACAGCCAAACCATATCAGACTGCATAGTAAATACTTTCATTGTCTCTTTCTTACATTTCCTGGGTGTGCTTGTATAGGAAAATGTCCTTACTCTTAGTAGATATGTGCTGAAGTATCATAATATATGCAGTTTACCTTCAAGTAGTTTCGTTTAAAAAAATTACACACACACTTACAGAAATAAGGAAAATTTGGCATAAAGTAAAAAATTAGTTCAAGCAAAGGGTATGTGGATACTTATTCACTCTTACCATTTTTGAAGGTTTGAATTTTTAAAAAAAGTTGGGGAAGATAACATTTATCAAGTGGGCTGGAGACATCATTCTAAGATATTTACATATATTAATGCAATCCTTACAAGGTCCCTGTGAGGTGAGTATTATTATCTCTGTTTTATAGGTGAGTAGCCAGAGGTATTAAGAGGTTAAGTAACTTACCCAAAGTCACACAGCTGGTTGTATAAATTGTGGTAAAAAAGCACAGCGTCTGAGAGGACAGAAGACAAAGATAAGCACATGAATAATTATAAAAAAGTATATGACAGGCCAGGTGCAATGGCTCATGCCTGTAATCATAGCACTTTGGGAGATTGAGGCAGGCAGGTCACTTGAGGCCAGGAGTTCAAGGCCAGCCTGGCCAACATGGTGAAATCCCATCTCCACTAAAAATACAAAAATTAGCTGGGCATGTGGCGCAGGCCTGTAATCCCAGCTACTTGGGAGCCTGAGGCATAAGACTCACTTGAAACTGGGAGTCAGAGGTTGCAGTGAATAGAGATCGTGCCACTGCACTTGCCTGGGTGACAGAGTGAGACCCTGTCTCAAAAAAGAAATAAATAAATATACGACAGACCAAAAAATACACGTGTTAGTGTAAAAATTTAAAGCAAAGGGGAAGAAGAGTTAGTAAAGCTCCACACCCAGAGCTCAGGTTCTTGAGTTATTTTGTGGAGCTGTGGGCATGATAGAAGACTCTGATACATGATTAGAAGATAAACTGAACAACCACCTAAAGCAAATTCCAAGCTCATTATATTAAGGAAGTCATATCAAAAGGAGAAATGAAAGAAAGCAAAACTGACTAATAATTCAGTTATTTCAGAAGAAGAGGCAGGAATAAAAAGGCAGATTGCATGGGGGAAACAGGAAATTATGATAATTGATTTCTTTTTGTATAAAGCTTTATATAAAATTCAAAATATGACTACTACAAGTACTGGACATTAAGAATAGCACTAACTGTGGCTGGGTGCAGTGGCTCACACCTATAATCCCAGCACTTTGGGAGGCCGAGGCAGGTGGATCACGAGGTCAGGAGATCGAGACCATCCTGGCTAACATGGTGAAACCCCGTCTCTACTAAAAACACACAAAAATTAGCTGGGCGTGGTGGCGGGCACCTGTAGTCCCAGTTACTCAGGAGGCTGAGGCAGGAGAATGGCATGAACCCGGAAGGCAGAGCTGAGTGAGCTGAGATCACGCCACTACACTCCAGCCTGGGCGACAGAGCAAGTCCCCATCTTAAAAACAAAAAACAAAAAACAAAAAAAAACAGCACTAACTGGCCAGGCGTGGTGGCTCACACCTGTAATCCCAGCTCTCTGGGAGGCCTAGCCAGGTGGATCACTTGAGGTCAGAAGTTCAAGACCAGCCTGGCCAACATGGTGAAACCCTGTCTCTACTAAAAATATAAAAATTAGCTGAGTGTGGTGGTGGGCACCTGTAATCCCAGCTACTCAGAGGCTGAGGCAGGAGAATCGCTTGAACCCGGGAGGCGGAGGTTGCAGTGAGCCGAGATTGAGCCACTGCACTCCAGCCTGGGTGATAGAGCGAGACTTTGTCTCAAAAAAAAAAAAAAAATGAATAGCACTATGGCAAAATTTTTCTTAAAGGCAGTTACTAAAATGTTTGTGATGGCTGATGTAGGGAGAGCCTAAATAGGTTCCAGCACAGTGACTTACTGTGATAAACCACTTTATAATTAAGCATGCCCTCTCTCACTTTCTCTAGCACAAAAATCAAGAGAGTTGAAGAAAACAGGACACTATGCCAGGTGCGATGGCTCACACCTGTAATCCCAGCACTTTGGGAGGCTGTGGTGGGTGGATCACCTGAGGTCAGGAGTTCGAGACCAGCTGGCCAACATGGTGAAACCCCACCTCTACTAAAAAGATAAAAATTAGCCACTTGTGGTGGCTTACGCCTGTAATCCCAGCTACTTGGGAGGCTGAGTCAGGAGAATCACTTGAACTGAGGAGACCGAAGTTGTGGTGAGCTGATTGCACCATTGTACTCTAGCCTAGGTGACAGAGTGAGACTCCATCTCATAAAAAAAAGAAGAAGAAAGAAAGTAAGAAAACAGGAGACTAAAATTTTTTTTAAAAAAAAGCCCTAAGATTACATAGCAGTGTCCGTGGAATATACACTGACACATAAATAGCAGTATAAGTAAGCTTATTTTAAAATCTCTTAAAAAATACAATTTGACAAAATAATGTTCCTTATACTAATCTATAAACATATATTTATTTACATTCCTGTCATCTTTCTTAGAATATGGGCTTCTTCATGGCAGGAATCATGCCTGATTCATTTCTATGTCCCTAGTATCTAGAACAGAAATAGGCATACAGTGGCACTCAAATGTTTGCTGAATTTAAACACATTTATGGAACTTACACAGGAAGAACTAAAAAAAAAAAGTCTCAATATATTCATTCCTATTGTGATCATTTTGTAACATGCAGTTTTTTATTTCTATTTAAAAAAAAAAATAGCATCTGTTCCAAAAGTTAACATGCTTGATGTGTTGAAGTCTGAACTGACCATGTTTATATTTATTTCAAACTATGGATATTAGCCATCACAAACAGGCATGGATGTATGACCACCTTCCAAAACTGCAGTAATTATGATAGACAAACTTTACCTATAAGCATTCAAGTTACATTGCACATGCAGTGAAAAGACAATAAAACAGGGCTGAGATGCTATCCTTAGAAAAGCTTCCTTGCAAGATTAGCCCTTGGCTAGCCCCTGGGATTCTGGATTTTGGGAGAGTTCCTACTATTCCCTGATAAGAATATCTCATTTTGCCTAAATTGTGCAAACAATATGGTTTACTTTTCTTTGGGAGTCTGGAAATCTGGTATGTGCTAGGCTAAGGCTGCCCATGTGACAAGCCTCCATAAAAATCCTGGCCACTGAGTCACTAATGAGCTTCCCTGGCATATGACATTTCATATGTGTTGTCACAACTCAATACTGGAGGAGTTAAGGGCATCCTGTGTGACTCCACTGGGAGCTTGAGCCTGGATTCCTTGGTCTTTGCACCATTTGCCTTTTCCTTTTGTTGCTATAAATCAAAGCTATTAGTAGGACTATGCACTGAGCCCTCTGAGTTATCCTAACAAATCACCACACTTGGAAGTGGTCTTGAAGACCTCTGACACAGTATGCCATATCAGATAATAGTCTCATTATTTTGGGATAATGAAAATTATCAAACATTTAACAGATTTCCATAAAAAGTCATATCAAAAAGAAATTTAATAGGAGTCATTAAGATTTTGACTTTGAACTATGTTTTACAATAATTACTTCTATCCAGTAGTTACTATAGACTTCCCTCATGGGGCAAGAAAGCAAAAAGATAATTAATTATGAGAAACCCAATCATACTTTGAAGCTATGAACTAGGTCTCAGCCTCAAAAGTAATGGAATTATTCTTAAGAAATCTCATTTCCACCCCTCTTCCCCCACCCCCAAGTTCACATAAATCCCAATCGGCATACTTCTAAGAACAGGTTTCTGGAGCTCAAATATTACATTTTAATAGCCCAAATTCTTGAGGCTTTGGTTTCTGTTTTCATAGAGAGAATTAGGGTGATGTCAGAAAGCATCAGTACCCCCTTTTATTTCCCTCCAAAAATAATGTGTAGTTCGTAGTAACGGGGGAAACAAACTTGTTATTCATTCCTCTGAAGAAATATAACTTGGAGACAATATATATCCAAAAATTGTCCAGCTGCCTCTTGCATTACCTGTTTTCATTTTAAAATAATCACTGACAAGAACTCTTAAACATTTTCTTAGAATAAGCATATTTTATACAAAATATTAAGTAACATTCTAGATAAATAAAATTATTTTAAATTAAATGGATTAGATTTAAGATCCCTATGGAGACAAAACACAATACACATGTTTTTCTATTACAGAAAAATGTATTGACCTAAGGAGCTTCAGTAGCAGCTGCACTGCACTTTGGAACAATTCTGTTAGCTATAGAAAGAATAGGCGCATCACTCAAACTTTAAATCACAGTCTGAAAGGAAGCAACTAATAAATGGGAATGAGGATGGAGCAGGAGATCTGTTAATCTAATTATAGTTGAAAGGTTTCAATATCTAATCAAACATCTACATTAAAGATACTAAAATTATGCTTTTATTGTACTATATGTAGACACAAAAAAAACAGTAAGGTTCCTTTCTGATATGATTTTAACTACCTTGCTTTTCCCAACTCCTAAAATGTATATAAGGAACTAAGTATGAGGTAAATCATAATATTCAATGGAAAGCCACTGCTAATATAAATAAAAAACATCTCATTACTACTATTGAATTTATAAAGCCATACTCAGAGAAATATCAAAACACAGGAAACCAGTCAAGTTGAACACACTGAATAAAATCTATAACCATAAATCTGAAACCACATTCACTCATTCAGTCATCATAAATGAACCACCATGGGAACAGAAAGATAGACTCTTTGCACTCTAGGAGCTTAGGTGGAGTAGAAGGGGAGACAGGTCAGCAATGTCAGTGGTGTGTTATTTGTATTACCACAGAAACCAGTAAAATAGATTCAGGGGCTCAAAACAGGAAGGGGTCAATTTTAGAGATATTGAAGTACATGACAGTGGAGAAAAAAGTTTCTTACATGCAATGAGGAACCATTATAAGATTAAGAGAAAGGGTATTAGGAGGATCAAATTTCTGTTTTAAACCCATAGATGTGGAAGACATAGTGAGAGAAAGAGGGTACAATAATTCAGGCCTTAAGGTAGAGGGAATCTAGGATGACTCCCACATATTCAGTTGGTGGAACAAGACAGAGAATGCAGGAGATATCAGGTTTTGTGACTCAAATCTAGTGAATTTGACATGTTATGGGACATAAAAGTATAGATAGATGCTTACTCTGAAGCTAGACTTAGAAGCTAAGATCAGCCTAAAGATTTTGAATTGGTAGTATCAACATATGGATGATATGTGAAGCTACAGGCACAAATGAGGTAATCCAAGACAGCTACCAGAATGAGAAGAAAAACAAAAATATAAAACCCTCAAGGACACTAAAATTTTAAGGGGGAAGGGGAGAGAGATTAGAAAAGGTAAGTAAATATGTACTTTGCACCTTTGTGCCTACTAGGTATCCTAGGCATTTCCATTAATGTTATTTCTCCACTAGGGACTCAACAGAAACAAAAATGAAATATACTTTTTTTCTCTATGGTATTAACTATAATGGTGATTTTCTCAACTAGGTGAAATTTTGCTCCCTAGAGACATATGGCAATGTTTTGAGGCCTTTTTAAAAAAAATAAATAAAACTTTTATTTTAGAAAAGTTTTAGATTTACAGAAAAATCGTAAAGATAGTATAGAGTTCCCATATACTACACCAATTCCCCCTATTATCAATATATTATATTACTATGGTATATTTTTCACAATTAATGAACCAATATTGATACATTATTGACTAAAGTTTATATTTTATTCAAATTTCCTAATTTTTTACCTAAAGTTTTTTTTCCCCTTTTCCAGGATCGCATCCAGAATACCACATTACATTTACTTGTCATATTTCCTTAGGCTTCCCTTATCTGTGACAGTTTCTTAGACTTTCCTTGTTTTTGATGACCTTGAAAATTTTGAGGAGTAGTAAACAGGTATTCTGTAGAATATCCTTCAATTGTAGTTTGTCTCATGTTTTTCTCACGATGAGACTGGGGTTATGTGTTTTTGAGAGGAAGACGAGTAAGGTAAAGTGCCATTCTTATTACTTCATGTTAAGGATACACACACTATCAATATGATTTATCACTGCTGAAGTTAACTTTAAATACCTGGCTAAGGTAGTATTCATCAGATTTCTCCACTGGAGCATTATTTTTCCCTCTCCTATACTGATTGTGCTCTTTGGAAGGAAGTCACTATGGGTAGCTCATACCTAAGGAGTGGGGAGTTATGTCCCACACCTTGGGGGCAGGTAGTTACATAAATTATTTGGAATTCCTCACAGGAGATTTGTCTACTTCACTTCAATTTATTAATTTATGAGATCATTTATTTATATCAATATGGGCTCATGGATATTTGTTTTATACTTTGGGTTATAATGCAATACTATTCTATTTATTTTTTTTGCATAAATTATTCCAGATTTGGCAGTTGAGAGCTCTCCTGTTAGTTTCTGTGTCCCTTTGGCATACTCTTATAATTGTGGGGGATTTTTGTCTTTTTTTTTTTTTTTTTTTTTTTTGTGAGAACTTCCTTAGTTTCTGGCACTACAAAATGCTCCAGGCTCATCTTGTAGTTTTTTCCAACCCAGTCCTAGAATCTGCCATTTCTAAAAGGAGTCCTGGTTCCTTGTGTTGGAGAATATTAGAAACCAAGATTTGAATGTAAGGTCTGCTTACTGCTACTGAGCAGTCACTGCTTCTAGACCTTGTCAGCTGACAGAACAAGGAAATATGTGTGTCTATTAATCTATGTACTATATACATATTGATAAATATCCCATCTGTACCTACATGAAGTTAAACATGAGTTCACTCTTCTGTTGGAGATAGAAGGATGATGATTTTTCTGAAAGTCGTGACAATTTTTCATTGTCACAAGGGAGTGGTATACGCATCTAGTGAGTGTAGCCAGAGATGCTGCTAAACATCCTATGGTACACAGGACAGTCCTCCAGAACAAATTAATTACCCAGTTCAAAATGTTAACAGTGCCAGGCACAATTGATCTATAATAGTACAATTCAACAACCTGCACATGCCTACCTCTGTGGAATGATTTCAATAATCAGTACCACGGATCATCATGATACACAGTCACTACATATACTGTCTTTTAAACTAAAAGGTAAATGTAACTTAAGCCTTAAATAATTCCCTCACTCAAGAACTATGAGTTTGTTTTTATAATAGTGACTAAGCACACAGGCTTTGGAATCAGACAAAACCTGAATTTTGAGTCCTACCTCTGTCATGTATTTACCAGCTGAAAAAATGGTCTTGAACAAAATACTTCTCTCTCTGAACCCAATGTTCCTTATCTGTAAATGAAGATAACATCTATTCCATGAGGTTGTGTTAAGGATTAAATGAGATAATCATGTAAAAAGCTGGTGTGCTGACTGGCACAGAATTTGTATTCAAAAAATATTCAATCATTTTTGGAGGTCATATATAAATAAAAAAACTTTAACGTTTTTAATGAAATGAAGTTCTTGACTAATTTTAGACAAACATTTGAGAAGAGATAGTAAAAATTCATTTCCTAGTCTTCATTCTCTCAGTCTCTTTAGTCAAAGCTCTACATCAAGCCATGCTACTAGTTTACAGATCAGATTCCAATACAACAAATGTCAAATCACAAAACTCAATAGTCCCAAACATTATAGATTAGTTAACTATCACAACAAAATGGCAAACATCAAAGGCCTTTGGAAGTTTGCTGCCGTGAGATCAAAAAAAAAATTTTTTTTTACCATTTTTACTCAAGAAATGGTTTTCTCCTTCTCATATCTACATTTTGCCACTGTGAGGTTCATCACAAGAGAAACTTTTATTCAGAAACCAAAATCAACATCTATTCAAAAAGCTATATTGTATCCACACAGATTTACTTACAAAGATGCACAATATATGCCTTAAATGTCAGGTAAGGGCAATAAGGGCACTGACCCAGAACTACTAGATGTGAGAATTTAGTGAAGTATGAAAATTCCTCTCTTAGTTTTCTTCAAATTTTACACTGTAATATTATTCTTTCCCATCTTTCATATCCTGGAGTTACATTCTAGGATTGGAATTTGGATTTGTGGTTTAAGAAAACTACAAGGGTACAAATGTTGCTTTTCTTTTTTATTATTATACTTTAAGTTTTAGGGTACATGTGCACAATGTGCAGGTTAGTTACTATATGTATACATGTGCCATGCTGGTGTGCTGCACCCATTAACTCATCATTTAGCATTAGGTGTATCTCCTAAAGCTATCCCTCCCCCTCCCCCACACCCCACAACAGTCCTCAGAGTGTGATGTTCCCCTTCCTGTGTCCATGTGATCTCTTTGTTCAATTCCCACCTATGAGTGAGAATATGCGGTGTTTGGTTTTTTGTTCTTGCGATAGTTTACTGAGAATGATGATTTCCAGTTTCATCCATGTCCCTACAAAGGACATGAACTCATCATTTTTTATGGCTGCATAGTATTCCATGGTGTATATGTGCCACATTTTCTTAATCCAGTCTATCATTGTTGGACATTTGGGTTGGTTCCAAGTCTTTGCTATGGTGAATAGTGCTGCAATAAACATACATGTGCATGTGTCTTTATAGCAGCATGATTTATAGTCCTTTGGGTATATACCCAGTAATGGGATGGCTGGGTCAAATGGTATTTCTAGTTCTAGATCCCTGAGGAACCGCCACACTGACTTCCACAAGGGTTCAACTAGTTTACAGTCCCACCAATGGTGTAAAAGTGGTCCTATTTCTCCACATCCTCTCCAGCACCTGTTGTTTCCTGACTTTTTAATGATCGCCATTCTAACTGGTGTGAGATGGTATCTCATTGTGGTTTTGATTTGCATTTCTCTGATGGCCAGTGATGATGAGCATTTTTTCATGTGTTTTTTGGCTGCATAAATGTCTTCTTTTGAGAAGTGTCTGTTCATGTCCTTCACCCACTTTTTGATGGGGTTGTTTTTTTCTTGTAAATTTGTTTGAGTTCATTGTAGATTCTGGATATTAGCCCTTTGTCAGATGAGTAGGTTGCAAAAATTTTCTCCTGTTTTGTAGGCTGCCTGTTCACTCTGATGGTAGTTTCTTTTGCTGTGCAGAAGCTCTTTAGTTTAATTAGATCCCATTTGTCAATTTTGGCTTTTGTTGCTCATTGCTTTTGGTGTTTTAGACATGAAGTCCTTGCCCATGCCTAGGTCCTGAATGGTAATGCCTAGGTTTTCTTCTAGGGTTTTTATGGTTTTAGGTCTAACGTTTAAGTCTTTAATCCATCTTGAATTAATTTTTGTATAAGGTGTGAGGAAGGGATCCAGTTTCAGCTTTCTACATATGGCTAGCCAGTTTTCCCAACACCATTTATTAAATAGAGAATCCTTTCCCCATTGCTTGTTTTTCTCAGGTTTGTCAAAGATCAGATAGTTGTAGATAGGTGGCATTATTTCTGAGGGCTCTGTTCTGTTCCATTGATCTATATCTTTGTTTTGGTACCAGTACCATGCTGTTTTGGTCACTGTAGCCTTGTAGTATAGTTTGAAGTCAGGTAACGTGATGCCTCCAGCTTTGTTCTTTTGGCTTAGGATTGACTTGGCGACGTGGTCTTTTTTTTGATTCCATATGAACTTTAAAGTAGTTTTTTCCAATTCTGTGAAGAAAGTCATTGGTAGCTTCATGGGGATGGCATTGAATCTCTAAATTACCTTGGGCAGTATGGCCATTTTCACGATATTGATTCTTCCTACCCATGAGCATGGAATGTTCTTCCATTTCTTTGTATCCTCCTTTATTTCATTGAGCAGTGGTTTGTAGTTCTCCTTGAAGAGGTCCTTCATGTCCCTTGTAAGGTGGATTCCTAGGTATTTTATTCTCTTTGAAGCAATTGTGAATGGGAGTTCACTCATGATTTGGCTCTCTGTTTCTCTGTTATTGGTGTATAAGAATGCTTGTGATTTTTGTACATTGATTTTGTATCCTGAGACTTTGCTGAAGTTGCTTATCAGCTTAAGGAGATTTTGGGCTGAGACAATGAGGTTTTCTAGATATACTATCATGTCATCTGCAAACAGGGACAATTTGACTTCCTCTTTTCCTAATTGAATACCCTTTATTTCCTTCTCCTGCCTAATTGCCCTGGCCAGAACTTCCAACACTATGTTGAATAGGAGTGGTGAGAGAGGGCACCCCTGTCTTGTGCCAGTTTTCAAAGGGAATGCTTCCAGTTTTTGCCCATTCAGTATGATATTGGTTGTGGGTTTGTCATAGATAGCTCTTATTATTTTGAGATATGTCCAAGGGTACAAATGTTTTGCCTCATCAGTCAGCAGACCACTCTGAAGAAGACAGAATGAAAAGAACAGGCTTTAAAAATCTTAAAATTTATGCCCAAAAACATATTTTTATTTCTCTCCCTTACAAATGCAACAAACTACATGTTGAGGAGAAAGAATAAAAAGAACACAAAGATCTGTAGATGGTTTTGTAGTGACTAGTTCTCCCTCTAATTTTCAAATAGAACACTCCAAAATATTTAGATCTTTAAGTGGTTGCTGCAGTAATAGAGTTAATTATTCTCTCTTCAAGGCCTGTGATTTTACAATTAAAGCCAAGCTAAGAGAGGTCTAAACATTATAATAGAAGATTAATGTGCTTAAACATCAGTCTTTGTATGACTTTGATTTTATAAATCTAACACTGGACATACAGAAAAAAATGTTTTGCTTTATTATGACTCCCGTAGTCCTGCAAATATATATGAGTCATTTTTACCCATTTTGTCTTGCCCTAAGAATAATTATTTTACTGATTTTAAATGTGAAAAAAATGTTGGCATTTGAACGTTTTCAAATTACTGTCTTTTCCCCCTTAAAGAACTAAATGACCTCTACATTTAAAGAGAAATAAAGAAGACTTAAGAGGAAACCTTTGGTTATGTAAGGGAGTTTGGGGGAAGAGGTAAAGATCATAATCACAATAATGCTGTTTAATGTGCCACCCCTGGGAGCAAATGCTCCTGAAAGGTGACTTTTTCCTTCATTAACTCAACTTTCACTGAGTCAAAACCATTTAAGTTATAGCCCAATATCAGCTTCAGTAAATTCATTAAATGTCCTATCTTAGAAATTAAATTTTATGGAACTACTATTTATCTAGTCATTTGTAACTACCCAATAAGAAATCTGCCAGATGATCTGACCCAATCTTTTAATTGTACAAGGACCTGTTCAAGGTTGTCTAGAAAGTTAATACATGGAAATTAACTGTATTCAATTTTAAACCTTAGCCAATCAAGTTAGCTTAGATTGTGAGGTCCAAACCCAGCCAATGGGGAAAGGACACAGAAGTGCTAGGAACTTTGTTAGGGATAAAAACCCCTGCCATACCCTGCTCGGTGTGCTCTTGTGACCACACCAGGTATGAGTGGCACCCTTCTTCAGAAGTGAATTGCCTTGCTGAGAAAGCTTTTTGCCAGAGTGCTGATTCTTCTTTGCAGCACGAAGCATTTGTTTCTAACAACCATCTTTTCATTCTTTCCTAACTTGTGTTAGTATAGATAACTCTCTTGGGCTATTTAACTTAGTTTTAAATATTTACTGTCAAGTGAATTATAACAAGATTTTATATTTCATACTTTAAGGTTACCTCCCCCTACCCACAACTAAATTACCAGAATATCCTTAACAGGTCCTACTTTGGAAGAATGTGATAGGGGAAAAAGGTACTATATTCCTTAGACACTTTTACAGTTCAAACAAGTTCTTTCAGAGGGAAAAAGTATTTAAACCCTGCAACTGCACCCAATACAATATATAAAGGCATGTCACCTACCACATGTCAAGTCCCCACAATGGGCACAGGATAAGGGATTTACAAAAATATTGGCTAGTTCATGCTTTTAAAGGGTCCCTAGTCTAGTGAGAAAGACTTCAACAATTAACTGTAATGTAATGTATTAATGTTATGGTGATCTAGGCACAGTGTTATAAGGATGCAGAATCCTAGAGAAATCAAGGGACATTTGAGCGGCAAAATAAGGATACTCAGGGCAAACAGTGCGTGTGAAGATGGATTCATAAAGGCAGGTGTGGAAACAGCATGCAGTTAAATGTGGCTTAATAATATGGTGGTTAGAGGAGGATCACTGGGCAAACTATGAAACTAGTAAAATTAGGCTAAGGACAGATTGCTGATGGCCTCTAAGTTCATGCTAGAGTTTAGAATTTCTCCTCTATACAACATAAGATGTTGGAGATATTTCAGCAGGAATGTCATATGACCAAGATTTTGCCTTTAGAAAGATAATCTGGCAACAGCGTGAAAGAGAAACAGTCTAAGTAGAGAAAAACTTAAGGGCGATATCTCAAAAGTTTATTTTTAGTCTTGATGAAAGATGAAGTTATTAGCAGAAGGGATAGCTACCCAGGAAGAATTATTGAAAAGACCAAACAGATATTTGGTGCTTTGAATCATGTGCACATTTACACAAGTAAATCCACTTGAAATGTCATGGGAGTAGATAATATTATCCAGAATGTAAAAAAAAAAAAAAAAAAGTCAAGGCCTAGGATTAAATGTATTTTACACTTCTGTTTATCTTAAATGCCTACTGTTCTTATGTATAATGTTTAGAAGCATCTTATCAAATACTTATAACATTTCTGTTACCTAAGTAGCACTTACAGTACCAACAATATGCAGGAGATTATGGTTTACAAATGTTTGATTTTTAAAAATACTTAAAAATTGCATTTTTTATGCACGAAAAACAACAGAAACCATAACTCTCATAAACAATGATATAGAAAACACTACATTGACAATCTTTAAGAATTATTTTTATGGTGTCACGCTCATTCCAATGCCACAGAAACTGCATGTGTATAACAATGACATCATTTCTATGAAAAGATAATTGAGGTCCATCCGATGAGACGGATGCTCTGATGCTCTGAGGCTTCTGGGAGGCTGGGCCCTGGAGGCAACGTGCTGCAGGCGCACTCTGTCAGAGTGAACAGCACCGCGAGACAGGCCAGGCTCGTGGCTCGGAAGACAAACCCCACACACACTCAAGGGGTCGAAAACAAACCCCACACGAGGGCTCTCACCTCCTTCTCCTAGGTAGTATTTATTTTCAGCACCTGTTTGATGCAGTTTTTAATCCTCTACCTATTGCACTGTTGTGACTCGTTGGCCATTATTTGATTTTTGTACGAAAAAAAGCTTTGTTATAGAAATCAGCATACTATTTTTTTAAATCTGGAGAGAAGATATTCTGGTGACTGAAAGTATGGTCGGGTGTCAGATATAAATGTGCAAATGCCTTCTTGCTGTCCTGTCGGTCTCAGTACGTTCACTTTATAGCTGCTGGCAATATCGAAGGTTCCTTTTTTGTTTGTGTAAACTCTAATTTCTATCAAGGTGTCATGGATTTTTAAAATTAGTATTTCATTACAAATGTCTCAGCATTGGTTAACTAATTTTTGCCAGGACCATTATTGATCAAGCAAATAAATTCAACAGCCATTTGGGAAAAAGAAAACAAAAAAAAAAAAAGAAAAGATAATTGAATAGTATTCAATAGTGATGGAAAAAACAAAACATTATCCTAATTTCAGCTGAGGGAATTCATAAAAAGAAGGTAAAAATAACTACGGAGTCATTCATTTTAGGGTTGTTAGTGGGGTTTTTTTAAACAATAAAGTTTTAAAATGAGTAAACGATTTTGTTGTTATTTGGGCTGGGAAAAATTTCTAGATCTCAAAATGGTAATTTAAGAACAACAACAACAAAAAAACAAACCCTTATATCAAGCTGTTTGGGTAAATATGCAAACAATATTAACAGTAAATTCTCCACAAAGATCCTCTTGCTTAATGTTAGGGTTGCCTAAGTGAAAATAGAATGGTTTCTAAATAATACCACCATTTACTCACTTTGTATAATTTCTTCCCACACATTTTTAGAAAGAAAAAAAAATCAAGGAAAATATTTTCTCCAGATAATTTATGCATAACTGTTTTCCTATTTTGCAACAGCAATGGCAACATCCAACAAAGGCTCCTGAAGTTTTTTTTTTAAAAAAATCAATCAATTTCTCAGCAGAGAGCAGCAATGTAAGATAAGCACAGATCAATAAAGCTTAGATGTTTCCTTTTGCTCTGACTCCATTCTTTCATTAGGGAATACTTCCTGCATAGAGCAAAATGTCTATAGGTACATTTAAAAGAACAAGGAATAGCACTAGAAGTTTATTAGCGATGGAGGGGAAAGCATATCAGCACTCACATCTCTCCCATTTCCCAAATGGTTCTCTATCCAATTCTGTTCTTTCTCACATCCTCCATAGCTGTCAGAAACAAGCTTGGCTTACTAGGAACTGTGATAACTGCCCCTAAGCAAGTTCAACTACACAAGGTGAGTTGTGATAGCTTCAAAGCACGTTTATTTACCACTTCAACAGACCTTTGAGCCCATGAGGAAAACAGTGGAAAAATGAGCCAGGCCTGCAAAAACAACTTGAATTGCAGCCTTTTGACCAAAGGAATTAAAATCTCTGTACGGAAACTTGAAAAGAGAGGTGCCTACCCTTAAGATTTCTATTTTCAATCACTTCACAGAGTTCACCTCTGCTTCTCTTTCCCCTTAACAAAAATACTAAAATGTACATTTCCCATGTTTACATACCATGTTTCTTTTCTTTTTAACTTGCACTTTTTCATAAATTTATAATTTTCATAAAATTGCAAACAAGAGTTGAGACTTGTTTGGAAATTTTAATTCTATATAATTTTTGTTGTGGATAATTACAGCTGCCATTCTTTGTTTGCTCAAGCTCCACATAGCTTTCCTTTCAGTAATGCAATATACCTCCATGGCCATTAAAAGGAAAACTTGACCTAGGCTTAGCCAGTTGTAATAGCTCATTTTTTTTGGCAGTAATGATTGGTCCAAAGAGCAGGCACATGACCCCCAAAAGGGCCAGAGTTCTTCAATAAGGTTGACATGAATACTGGAAGATAGAACCTCTCTCTTTCCACTGGGGTGTCTAATCTGGGGCAGTCAGTGATCATATTTTCCCATCTTAGAAAGCAAACCTGTCTTTCTTTAGTAGGTAAAAATGAGATCACATTATACAGAGAAACTGTTCTCTCCATTCAGTCATTCAGTAAACATTCACTAAGCATTTTCTGTGTGCCAAGTGCTATGTGGGCACTGAGGATACAAAGATAAGGTAATACAATGACCATATTCTGTCAATCAAAAATCAAGACATTATCTGTTGAAAGATTTTTGTGTAACTTCTAGAGGTGAAATGTTATCTGAGAGACACTGTTTAGGTTCAAAAGCAAGGTAATTTTCAAGATATTTGGGTGGTCTAAGAAAAAAATCAACAGGATATTCAAACTTGGAAGTATAAGAGAAAAGGTTAGATTTACAGACGCCAAAATTTTAAAGCATTATCTATTCCCTCAAACCTTCTGCTTACCGTTTTTCAATACCATGTAAAACAGAAAAATATAAAAGATTAGTGAAATAACATAAACGCTATCCCCTTACAAGTAGTAGAGAGGATACTATAAAATATAATATGCCATGCTGAGTAGGCTTAGGTGCTGAGTTTATCTAATGCCACTTACAGTACATATATACTAGTAGTTTCCTCACATGTAAAACAGCTACAGCAGCTACCTCATAGTGTATCCCAATTTTCCAAGAGATAGTTTAATTATTTTTTCTCTCTCTCTCTTCTTTTCTCTTCCCTCCTTTCCCCAACTTTTTACTTAGCTCTATTTTACTTCCTCTTTACCAGACATTTCCTACAGGGCAAGTTCATCTAACTATGTACTTAGAAGCTCCAGAGCAGAACTCTCACCCATCAGGAGGTTGCCTCAAGAGACAACAGTCCATCTACAACCCAAAGCATGCTCACTATGAATCTCTCTCCCATCTGGAGAGTTTTGGGATGCTTTTTACAACCTAGGCCTGCCCAAGAAGGCGCCAGCAGTCACCAGCTCGACTACCCAGTAGATAAAGCACCAAAGCTAGTACATCGACTCCCCACCTGCTTGCTTTCTCCCCTGCATGCCATTCATGCCGGTGTGCCAGGCAACCCCTTTAAAAGCACCCTCTTTCTGCTCCAAAAGGGAAGTGGTACCCTTAAGGCAGGAAGCCTATACTTCTTCCTATAAGCTACCTTTGGAATAAAAAGTAGCTGTCTTTATACCAGACCTTGCTCTTGTTAATTGGACTCTGTGAGTGGCAAGCTACTGAACTTGGTTTTTGTTACAATAGGGTTGTTTGAGGATAAAAGGATTTAATATAGCAAAAGCACTTAAACCAATACTTTGCACATGATAAACAATAAGTGGTTTTTGTTACCTTAACTTTCATTATCATTACAACAGAACGACATTGAGGGTCAAAGCAAGTTCTGAGAGAATATGAAATGTAGAACACTGGTGTGATCTACAACCATTAGCAAAAAAAAAAAAAGGGATATGAGGTTTGGAGGGGTCTTGTGATTGCTTTGAGATTTATAGGAAAGAGAAGTTTTAACCACTAACCTCCTTTTAATTTATCTGCTTTGCTTTTAAACAGCCTAAAACGTTCTGCATAATTAATGCTGGGGGCACTAAAGTATATTCAAAATTAAAAATAGTTTTGTGTGATTCCAAAGTGGACTCAACTAAAATATATCAGTCTATTCTCTCATGATCTTCAAGCACCCCTCCCTTAACCTTCAAAATGTATCTGAAATCTGACACCTTTCTCACTACTTCTACTAATTAATAGGGTCACCATCATCTCTTGCCTACTCCAGAGCAATAGTCTTTCTTGCTTCTCCTCTTATACCCTATAATCAATTTTCTACAGAGTAATCAGAGTGAGCTTTCTTAAATCCAAATTAGCACAGCCTCCAATGTCATAATCTTCCAGTGCTCATAACCCTCCACAGCTTCCCATCACAACCAGAATAAAATCCTGTCTCCTTACAAGGGTGACAACGCCCTACAAGATCAGGCCCTACCTACCTTTTGGAACTCATCTTTTCACACTCTATGTCCCTATGCTTTAGTCACTCTGGTCTTCAAGTTTCTAGAATAAGTCAAGGCCTCAAGGTCTTCTTACTTGTTCTATCTGACTGACAGGTTCTTCTCCCAGATATACAGTTGGGCTGGTTCTTCATTTCATTCAGCTCTTTTGTCAAATTCACCTTCTGAAAGAAAACTTTTCCTCACTACCTTATCCAAAATAGTTAAACCTCCTCTCCTTTTCCCTTCCCTGCTCTGTCCCTTATTATCCGTTGAAAAAATGCTTTTTCTTCATAGCTTTTATGTGATCTGACATTATATATTTATTTATTTATTTATTTATTTATTTATTTATTTATTTATTATGTAGGGACCCTGTATGTCTTATTTGTCATTGCAGGGGCCATAACAATGCCTGCCAGAAAGCAGGTGATCAAGAAATATTTGTTGAATAAATAAAAGCTGTTAGAAGTTTTCAATTAATATGTGTTTATTTGAGCTAGTTAAAACAGAAAATATTACAAAACCTATTGCTGAGCTTTTGCTGACCAAGGTGAAGCAGAAACTGATTAAAATATAGGACAAAAAATACAGATAGATGTTAAAGGGTTAGCCATTACATTCGGTTTTGTTAGCATCTAATATTGCCTCTATAGTTCACTCCCAAATTTAAATCTTGAGTCTTGACTTGCTCTTTGAGTTCCATTCTCACATCTAATTACCTGGTATGGGCCTACCTCCCTTTTCCTTCCTACTCCTGTTGTATTATTATAACTCTCTAAAAACATGCTAACCACTGAGTATGAATTCTTCTCTTTTGCTACATACTGCCCTGCCATATGAACATATAAATGTGTAGGTTCACACACTCATACATAAACTCACACACAGGATTTTGGTCACTGTTCTACAAAAGAATTGGATATATTAATACATACTTCTGTATATCTTTCTTTCCTCATTCAACAGTACCTCACAGAAAGTCCCTCTAATTCATATAGTGCTTTTTGTGATAGTAATATAATGATCTGTGCCGCAATATACTATAATTTATTTACCCATCCCATTAATAAGCATTATTTTGTTTGTAATTTTTGATATTATAAACAGTGCTGAAATAAACATCCTTGTACATACCAGTACTTTTATTTCTTAGGGATATATTTCCTGAAGTGGAATTACTGGAGCATAGAGTATGTGTATTTTCCATTTTAATAAATATTGCCAGATTGCCTTCCAAAAAAGAGATAAAATAACTCTTACATTTCCAACAGCAATGTATTCAAATCACTTCCCACATCCCCATGCCAAAGTAGTAAGTGTTTTGACTATTTTAATCTTTGACAACCTTATGCATGTAAAATGATAGTTTGGTGTTATTTTAATTTGCATATCACTAACAGTTAATAAGTCTGAGCATCTTTTGAAACATTACTGACCATCTAAATTTGATCTTCCAAAATTGCCTATTCATATCCTTTGCCCATTATCCATTGGGTTATCTTCTAAACAAATTATAAGAGTTGTTTCCATATTATAGATACAAATTTGTTATCTGGCATCTCTGTTACAAATATTTTATTTTCTGAATTTTATTTGGACTATTAATTTTATGTTCTCTTTTGCAATATAAGTTTTAACTTTCATATAGCCAAATTCTTTTTTTCTTTGTCTAGTTTCTAGATTTCCTGTTTAATCAACAGGGTCCCCTAGAAGATGGTTCCTACTTAAATATCAAAGTTCCTTCTTTCCATATAAAATATGAGAAATCCTCTTTAACCGTATTTTGTTAAGAAATCTCCTTTCTAACATCTGGTTCTTTTCTAGTTTTTTACTCTATGCACTCCAACATCTTAACCTTATTATTAAAGTAAATATACTTTTCATAGAAATTTGAAGATAAAAGATCCTAAAGGTCACTTTGAACTTTCTATCCATTATAGAGACTCTCTGCTTCAATATCAATGTCAAAGAATAACCTAACCTCTGCTTGCTCATTTCCAGTGATGAAATATTTACCACTTCTCTAGACCTTACCATTCCATTTTCCAGAAGTTTCTATTCATGTCATTCCCAGTCACATATATTTTTATATTCTTGTTACAAATAACCAAGCTAAGCCAATATATGAGAATGCAAATTAGATTTAATAATAATTTAAGTGTAATGTTCTTAGTATCTGAAGATTATTCATTTCCTTCCTCCTTTACTTCTAATGAATATCAACTTGATGCCAAGTATTGGAAATAAAAAGATAAAGAAAACACAACTTCAAATTCTGACCTTACAGTTATAGAAAAGTAATGCTTGTATAATGTATGTGCATATATGTGACTATATAAATATATACAGAGAGAAAAATTATCGTACTGTGAAAATGTTACTCAAGATCCATTTTAGGGAATTTTAGTACATGTCAGGTAATAATTGGGATAATTTCAAATTATAGAAGTTAATGAAGCTGAAGATTGAAAAATATTTACAGTATTGAGAAAATTATAATTTAGCACTGTTTTCTCGAATCTGGTTCAATCAATTAAGCCTTTTTTTTTTTTTTTTTTTTTTTTCCTGAGACAGGGTCTCGCTTTGACACCCAGGCTGGAGTGCAGTGGTGTGATCTTTTTTTTTTTTTTTTTTTTTTTTTTTTTTTTTTTTTTAATTATACTCTAAGTTTTAGGGTACATGTGCACATTGTGCAGGTTAGTTACATATGTATACATGTGCCATGCTGGTGCGCTGCACCCACTAATGTGTCATCTAGCATTAGGTATATCTCCCAATGCTACCCCTCCCCCCTCCCCCGACCCCACCACAGTCCCCAGAGTGTGATATTCCCCTTCCTGTGTCCATGTGATCTCATTGTTCAATTCCCACCTATGAGTGAGAATATGCGGTGTTTGGTTTTTTGTTCTTGCGATAGTTTACTGAGAATGATGGTTTCCAATTTCATCCATGTCCCTACAAAGGATATGAACTCATCATTTTTTATGGCTGCATAATATTCCATGGTGTATATGTGCCACATTTTCTTAATCCAGTCTATCATTGTTGGACATTTGGGTTGGTTCCAAGTTTTTGCTATTGTGAATAGTGCCGCAATAAACATACGAGTGCATGTGTCTTTATAGCAGCATGATTTATAGTCCTTTGGGTATATACCCAGTAATGGGATGGCTGGGTCAAATGGTATTTCTAGTTCTAGATCCCTGAGGAATCGCCACACTGACTTCCACAATGGTTGAACTAGTTTACAGTCCCACCAACAGTGTAAAAGTGTTCCTATTTCTCCGCATCCTCTCCAGCACCTGTTGTTTCCTGACTTTTTAATGATTGCCATTCTAACTGGTGTGAGATGATATCTCATAGTGGTTTTGATTTGCATTTCTCTGATGGCCAGTGATGATGAGCATTTCTTCATGTGTTTTTTGGCTGCATAAATGTCTTCTTTTGAGAAGTGTCTGTTCATGTCCTTCGCCCACTTTTTGATGGGGTTGTTTGTTTTTTTCTTGTAAATTTGTTTGAGTTCATTGTAGATTCTGGATATTAGCCCTTTGTCAGATGAGTAGGTTGCGAAAATTTTCTCCCATGTTGTAGGTTGCCTGTTCACTCTGATGGTAGTTTCTTTTGCTGTGCAGAAGCTCTTTAGTTTAATTAGATCCCATTTGTCAATTTTGTCTTTTGTTGCCATTGCTTTTGGTGTTTTGGACATGAAGTCCTTGCCCACGCCTATGTCCTGAATGGTAATGCCTAGGTTTTCTTCTAGGGTTTTTATGGTTTTAGGTTTAACGTTTAAATCTTTAATCCATCTTGAATTGATTTTTGTATAAGGTGTAAGGAAGAGATCCAGTTTCAGCTTTCTACATATGGCTAGCCAGTTTTCCCAGCACCATTTATTAAATAGGGAATCCTTTCCCCATTGCTTGTTTTTCTCAGGTTTGTCAAAGATCAGATAGTTGTAGATATGTGGCATTATTTCTGAGGGCTCTGTTCTGTTCCATTGATCTATATCTCTGTTTTGGTACCAGTACCATGCTGTTTTGGTTACTGTAGCCTTGTAGTATAGTTTGAAGTAAGGTAGT
The DNA here is from genome assembly GCF_000001405.40 of Homo sapiens. Taxonomy (NCBI): domain Eukaryota; kingdom Metazoa; phylum Chordata; class Mammalia; order Primates; family Hominidae; genus Homo; species Homo sapiens. Next base: position 113,501,797 of record NC_000001.11, on the reverse strand, counting down.
GTGATGCCTCCAGCTTTGTTCTTTTGGCTTAGGATTGACTTGGCAATGCGGGCTCTTTTTTGGTTCCATATGAACTTTAAAGTAGTTTTTTCCAATTCTGTGAAGAAAGTCATTGGTAGCTTGATGGGGATGGCATTGAATCTGTAAATTACCTTGGGCAGTATGGCCATTTTCACGATATTGATTCTTCCTACCCATGAGCATGGAATGTTCTTCCATTTGTTTGTGTCCTCTTTTATTTCCTTGAGCAGTGGTTTGTAGTTCTCCTTGAAGAGGTCCTTCACATCCCTTGTAAGTTGGATTCCTAGGTATTTTATTCTCTTTGAAGCAATTGTGAATGGGAGTTCACCCATGATTTGGCTCTCTGTTTGTCTGTTGTTGGTGTATAAGAATGCTTGTGATTTTTGTACATTGATTTTGTATCCTGAGACTTTGCTGAAGTTGCTTATCAGCTTAAGGAGATTTTGGGCTGAGACAATGGGGTTTTCTAGATAAACAATCATGTCGTCTGCAAACAGGGACAATTTGACTTCCTCTTTTCCTAATTGAATACCCTTTATTTCCTTCTCCTGCCTGATTGCCCTGGCCAGAACTTCCAACACTATGTTGAATAGGAGCGGTGAGAGAGGGCATCCCTGTCTTGTGCCAGTTTTCAAAGGGAATGCTTCCAGTTTTTGCCCATTCAGTATGATATTGGCTGTGGGTTTGTCATAGATAGCTCTTATTATTTTGAAATACGTCCCATCAATACCTAATTTATTGAGAGTTTTTAGCATGAAGGGTTGTTGAATTTTGTCAAAGGCTTTTTCTGCATCTATTGAGATAATCATGTGGTTTTTGTCTTTGGCTCTGTTTATATGCTGGATTACATTTATTGATTTGCGTATATTGAACCAGCCTTGCATCCCAGGGATGAAGCCCACTTGATCATGGTGGATAAGCTTTTTGATGTGCTGCTGGATTCGGTTTGCCAGTATTTTATTGAGGATTTTTGCATCAATGTTCATCAAGGATATTGGTCTAAAATTCTCTTTTTTGGTTGTGTCTCTGCCCGGCTTTGGTATCAGAATGATGCTGGCCTCATAAAATGAGTTAGGGAGGATTCCCTCTTTTTCTATTGATTGGAATAGTTTCAGAAGGAATGGTACCAGTTCCTCCTTGTACCTCTGGTAGAATTCGGCTGTGAATCCATCTGGTCCTGGACTCTTTTTGGTTGGTAAACTATTGATTATTGCCACAATTTCAGAGCCTGTTATTGGTCCATTCAGAGATTCAACTTCTTCCTGTTTTAGTCTTGGGAGAGTGTATGTGTCGAGGAATGTATCCATTTCTTCTAGATTTTCTAGTTTATTTGCGTAGAGGTGTTTGTAGTATTCTCTGATGGTAGTTTGTATTTCTGTGGGATCGGTGGTGATATCCCCTTTATCATTTTTTATTGTGTCTATTTGATTCTTCTCTCTTTTTTTCTTTATTAGTCTTGCTAGCGGTCTATCAATTTTGTTGATCCTTTCAAAAAACCAGCTCCTGGATTCATTGATTTTTTGAAGGGTTTTTTGTGTCTCTATTTCCTTCAGTTCTGCTCTGATTTTAGTTATTTCTTGCCTTCTGCTAGCTTTTGAATGTGTTTGCTCTTGCTTTTCTAGTTCTTTTAATTGTGATGTTAGGGTGTCAATTTTGGATCTTTCCTGCTTTCTCTTGTAGGCATTTAGTGCTATAAATTTCCCTCTACACACTGCTTTGAATGCGTCCCAGAGATTCTGGTATGTGGTGTCTTTGTTCTCGTTGGTTTCAAAGAACATCTTTATTTCTGCCTTCATTTCGTTATGTACCCAGTAGTCATTCAGGAGCAGGTTGTTCAGTTTCCATGTAGTTGAGCGGCTTTGAGTGAGATTCTTAATCCTGAGTTCTAGTTTGATTGCACTGTGGTCTGAGAGATAGTTTGTTATAATTTCTGTTCTTTTACATTTGCTGAGGAGAGCTTTACTTCCAACTATGTGGTCGATTTTGGAATAGGTGTGGTGTGGTGCTGAAAAAAATGTATATTCTGTTGATTTGGGGTGGAGAGTTCTGTAGATGTCTATTAGGTCTGCTTGGTGCAGAGCTGAGTTCAATTCCTGGGTATCCTTGTTGACTTTCTGTCTCGTTGATCTGTCTAATATTGACAGTGGGGTGTTAAAGTCTCCCATTATTAATGTGTGGGAGTCTAAGTCTCTTTGTAGGTCACTCAGGACTTGCTTTATGAATCTGGGTGCTCCTGTATTGGGTGCATAAATATTTAGGATAGTTAGCTCCTCTTGTTGAATTGATCCCTTTACCATTATGTAATGGCCTTCTTTGTCTCTTTTGATCTTTGTTGGTTTAAAGTCTGTTTTATCAGAGACTAGGATTGCAACCCCTGCCTTTTTTTGTTTTCCATTTGCTTGGTAGATCTTCCTCCATCCTTTTATTTTGAGCCTATGTGTGTCTCTGCACATGAGATGGGTTTCCTGAATACAGCACACTGATGGGTCTTGACTCTTTATCCAACTTGCCAGTCTGTGTCTTTTAATTGCAGAATTTAGTCCATTTATATTTAAAGTTAATATTGTTATGTGTGAATTTGATCCTGTCATTATGATGTTAGCTGGTGATTTTGCTCATTAGTTGATGCAGTTTCTTCCTAGTCTCGATGGTCTTTACATTTTGGCATGATTTTGCAGCGGCTGGTACCGGTTGTTCCTTTCCATGTTTAGTGCTTCCTTCAGGAGCTCTTTTAGGGTAGGCCTGGTGGTGACAAAATCTCTCAGCATTTGCTTGTCTGTAAAGTATTTTCTTTCTCCTTCACTTATGAAGCTTAGTTTGGCTGGAAATGAAATTCTGGGTTGAAAATTCTTTTCTTTAAGAATGTTGAATATTGGCCCCCACTCTCTTCTGGCTTGTAGGGTTTCTGCCGAGAGATCTGCTGTTAGTCTGATAGGCTTCCCTTTGAGGGTAACCCGACCTTTCTCTCTGGCTGCCCTTAACATTTTTTCCTTCATTTCAACTTTGGTGAATCTGACAATTATGTGTCTTGGAGTTGCTCTTCTCGAGGAGTATCTTTGTGGCGTTCTCTGTATTTCCTGAATCTGAACGTTGGCCTGCCTTGCTAGATTGGGGAAGTTCTCCTGGATAATATCCTGCAGAGTGTTTTCCAACTTGGTTCCATTCTCCACATCACTTTCAGGTACACCAATCAGACGTAGATTTGGTCTTTTCACATAGTCCCATATTTCTTGGAGGCTTTGCTCATTTCTTTTTATTCTTTTTTCTCTAAACTTCCCTTCTCGCTTCATTTCATTCATTTCATCTTCCATTGCTGATACCCTTTCTTCCAGTTGATCGCATCGGCTCCTGAGGCTTCTGCATTCTTCACGTAGTTCTCGAGCCTTGGTTTTCAGCTCCATCAGCTCCTTTAAGCACTTCTCTGTATTGGTTATTCTAGTTATACATTCTTCTAAATTTTTTTCAAAGTTTTCAACTTCTTTGCCTTTGGTTTGAATGTCCTCCCGTAGCTCAGAGTAATTTGATCGTCTGAAGCCTTCTTCTCTCAGCTCGTCAAAATCATTCTCCATCCAGCTTTGTTCTGTTGCTGGTGAGGAACTGCGTTCCTTTGGAGGAGGAGAGGCGCTCTGCGTTTTAGAGTTTCCAGTTTTTCTGTTCTGTTTTTTCCCCATCTTTGTGGTTTTATCTACTTTTGGTCTTTGATGATGGTGATGTACAGATGGGTTTTCGGTGTAGATGTCCTTTCTGGTTGTTAGTTTTCCTTCTAACAGACAGGACCCTCAGCTGCAGGTCTGTTGGAATACCCTGCCGTGTGAGGTGTCAGTGTGCCCCTGCTGGGGGGTGCCTCCCAGTTAGGCTGCTCGGGGGTCAGGGGTCAGGGACCCACTTGAGGAGGCAGTCTGCCCGTTCTCAGATCTCCAGCTGCGTGCTGGGAGAACCACTGCTCTCTTCAAAGCTGTCAGACAGGGACACTTAAGTCTGCAGAGGTTACTGCTGCCTTTTTGTTTGTCTGTGCCCTGCTCCCAGAGGTGGAGCCTACAGAGGCAGGCAGGCCTCCTTGAGCTGTGGTGGGCTCCACCCAGTTCGAGCTTCCCGGCTGCTTTGTTTACCTAAGCAAGCCTGGGCAATGGCGGGCGCCCCTCCCCCAGCCTCGTTGCCGCCTTGCAGTTTGATCTCAGACTGCTGTGCTAGCAATCAGCGAGATTCCGTGGGCGTAGGACCCTCTGAGCCAGGTGTGGGATATAGTCTCGTGGTGCGCCGTTTCTTAAGCCGGTCTGAAAAGCGCAATATTCGGGTGGGAGTGACCCGATTTTCCAGGTGCGTCCATCACCCCTTTCTTTGACTCGGAAAGGGAACTCCCTGACCCCTTGCGCTTCCCAGGTGAGGCAATGCCTCGCCCTGCTTCGGCTCGCGCACGGTGCGCACACACACTGGCCTGCGCCCACTGTCTGGCACTCCCTAGTGAGATGAACCCGGTACCTCAGATGGAAATGCAGAAATCACCCGTCTTCTGCGTCGCTCACGCTGGGAGCTGTAGACCGGAGCTGTTCCTATTCCAGTGGTGTGATCTTAGCTCACTGCAACCTCCACCTCCTGGGATCAAGTGATCCACGCACCTCAGCCTCCAAGTAGCTGGGACTTACAGGCATGCGCCATCACGCCCAGCTAATTTTTGTATTTTTGTAGAAACGGGCTCTCCCCACGTTGCCCAGGTTGGTCTTGAACACCTGACCTCAAGTGATCTGCCTGCCTTTGCCTCCCAAAGTGCTGGGACTACAGGTGTGAGCCACCACCCATGACCTCAGTTAAGCTTTAATTACATTGCTTTACCTAGATAATATAATATGCAAGTCAGGCAATATAATGCATTTTATAAGAGATCTAAGGAGCCTCAGTCAATAGACAATGTAGCTTGAAGGCTAATGTGGCCTAGATAACAATTACTTTAAAAAAATGTATACAGCCTACAAATTTACTTGCTCATTAAGGGTCAGGTTTACCTTTGGTAATCGGTACTATTCCAAAACTGAGCAAAAATTCTGAAAACTATAAACACAAATATTTAAACATGCTGAAAGTTTAAACAATTGAAAATTGGCTCAATGTGGTTTTTTTAAAAAGGTAAAAAACAAAAGTCCAATATAAAATGCAATCATAATTATACTAAGAAATAGATCAATAAACAGATAAACAAACAAGAAACTGATTATCAAAATTTATTCCATCAAGTCAGAGGTTTGCTCCTTTTGTGAAATTCTAAGACACTCTGCAGATCCTTAGGGTGGGAAAGTAATCTATTTACCGATTTACTTAGTGCTGACGGTCACATTTAACAAACACATATAGGATTTCATAGACAGTGAGCTATCATAAGCATTTAACCATCCATCTATCAATTGGCATTCCCAATTCTTAATTCAAACCTCAAATTCAGAAAATATGCAGCTAACTTTTTGGAGACAGAAACACATGATGATTCTATTTATATTGACCAGAAACCTTACCCCTGGCAAAGAAAAATTTCAGCAAATTTAAAATCTAAGTTGTAATCCATTAAAATATAATATCTACCTGAAAATATGTTCATTTTTCAACAATGAAGTTGAAATATTTGGAAATCATAAAAAGCATTAGCAACAAGCAAAAAAGAAGCAAATTAAAGCACAGTTCCTTTATCAGACTATCAGGCTAAAAATAAAAGATAAACAAAAAGCTCACAGAAAGATTTCAACCACTAAATGCTTCAAAATCATTAGTCAGGTTTATCTATCATATTAAAGAAAAACTAGGAATTCTTACATATATCACAACCACTTGTCAAAGAGAAAAACCTGTTATCAATCATAGCAGGTCTAATGATGTCAGCTGTTTTGATTTATTCAGTCATAATACTGCTCTACTTTAATATGGCAGAGTTAGCTGAGCTGTTGTGCTTCTGTGATATTTTCTATAGTAATTACAGAGTTTACTATAAATATTTGTTTATACTACTCTCTTAGTCTCTAAGATCCTGGGGATAACAGACTTTATATCCCTAATAACAAACATAAACTTTTGTCCTAAATGCATTACTCTGCTTATTTGTTAAATTAATGATGTTGCATAAACAGGATGATCTTTAGCAGGTTTAGTTCTTACTATGTATATCTTACCTTCATAGACTTAGTGAAGTTAAAAGTTCGAACATGCATTATAAACTGGCATTAAAAGAAAGGTACAGTATCTTCGTACAATGGACTTTGGGGACTCGGGGGAAAGGGTGGAAGAGGAGTTAGGGATAAAAGACTACACACTGAGTACAGTGTACACTGCTCAGGTGATGGGTGCACCAAATTCTCAGAAATCACCACTAAAGTTATTCATGTAACCAAACAACACCCATTCCCCGAAAACCTACTGAAATTAAAAAAAAAAAAAAGAGGTACTTCAAAAACTAAAACAAAATGCCACATTCTTTGGAAGTCTACAAGCTAAAAATCTTCCTGAATTATATAACAGTATATGTGCTTATTGTTTTAAGTGTTATATTTATATGAGAGCCTAACAAATGGGTTTTAAAAAAAAATTAGATCCTCTATGATTTAGCAGTCCATGTACTTTGCATTACTTCGAATCACTTAGCAGTTAAACTGGTTTCAATTTTGTTGCATTTCTTGAAGTAAATGGAGCATCTAGCTGCCGACAACATAGTCTAAAAGGTGCTTTGAAAGAGTTAATTCCTATGAAAACCTACAAAAATTAGGGTACTAACAATGAACTAAGAAGATTTTTCCAACATAAATGTATGTTTTGGTTTGTTTTTTTAAATATGTGCCCCCTTTTTGAGGACATATTTAAATTAGCATAGATCTGGAATTGGTCGTTCTTAAAAATAACAAAAACAAGTAAACAAATAAAATCTAGCTAGTTCAAATCAGTATTAACAAAGCTCATTAATCTGAATTAAGTATAGTATATAAAAGTACTCAAACCAGCTATCAACAAAGAACCCTTGGCTGAGCAATCAAAATTCAAAAGGGAAAAGAGCCCTAACTACAACAGAGTTGTTTACAGACACATTGATTGTCAGTGACCCATGCATAATATGTAAACAACACTTATGAATGCTACCTTTTAAAAGACTCTCCTACTAGAAAATAATTTCAGTTTCTGCCTAGTTTTATATTTTAAATAAAGAGATATTGGGATACATCATTTAGCATGTGGGAACTGTTACTAATTCAGAGATTAAGATTTTTCAATAACCATTTTCACCTTAATAAACTTTTAAAAAATTTAAGTTCAAGGGTACACATGCAGGTTTGTTATATAGTACACTTGTAGCATAGGGGTTTGTTGTACAGATTATTTAGTAACCCAAGTATTAAGCCTAGTACACAGTTATTTCTCCTGATTCTCTCCCTCTTCCCACCCTTCATCCTCCGATAGTCCCCAGCGTGTGTTGTTCCCGTGTCCACGTGTTCTCATCATTTAGCTCCCACTTGTACGTGAGAACATGTGGTATTTGGTTTTCTGTTCCTGTGTTTGTTTGCTAAGGATAATGGCCTCCAGCTCCATCCATGTTCCTGCAAAGGACATGATCGTTCTTCTTGATGGCCGCTTAGAATGCCATGGTGTATATTTCCTTTATCCATTCTATCATTGGGAATCTGGGTTGATTCCATGTCTTTGCGAACTATTGTGAATAGTGCTGCAATGAACATATAAGTGCATGTGTCTTTATAATAGAACGATTTATAAATCTTTGGATATATACCCAGTCATGAAATTGATGAGTCAAATGGCATTTCTGTTTTTAGGTCTCTGAGGAATTGCCACATCGTCTCCCACAATGGTTGAACTAATTTACACTCATTCCCATCAACAGCGTATAAGTGTTCCTTTTTCTCTCCAACCTCACCAGCATCTGTTGTTTTTTGACTTTTTAATAATAGCATTCTGACTGGTGTGGGACAGTATCTCACTGTGGTTTTGATTTGCACTTCTCTAGTAATTAGTGATGTTGAGTCTTTTTTCATGATTGTTGATTGCATGTATGTCTGCTTTTGAAAACTGTCTGTTCATGCTCTTTGCCCACTTTTTAATGGGGTTGCTTTTTCTTGTAAATCGAAGTTCATTACAGATGCTAGATATTTGACCTTTGACAGATGTATCATTTGCAAATATTTTCTGCCACTCTGTAGGTTGTCTGTTCACTCTGTTGATAGTTTCCTCCACTATGCAGAAGCTCTTTCGTTTAATTAGATCCCATTTGTCAATTTTTACCTTTATTGCAGCTGCTTTTGGCATCTTTGTCATGAAAATTTGCCCACTCCTATGCCCAGAATGGTATTGCCTACGTTGTCTTCCAACGTTTTTATAGTTTGGGATTTTAAAGTCTTTAATCCAGCTTAATTTTTTATGTGGTGTAAGGAAGGCATCCAGTTTCAATTTTCCGCATATCTCTAGTCAGTTATCTAGCACCATTTATTAACTAGGGAATCTTTTCCCCATTGCTTGTTTGTGTCAGGTTTGTTGAAGATCAGATAGTTGTAGGTGTATGGCCTTA